>NC_000005.10:170003748-170306778 GCF_000001405.40 Homo sapiens | reverse complement strand
ACGTGCTTCATTCATTTGCATTTCCCCCTGGCCTTATCAGCCTTTGAGCTTGCAGCACCTCCTTGTAACTATTAGGAAAAGCCAACTCTACACTTTTGCTATCTGTTTACATCAGAAATATCACAGAGTACTGCATGCCACTGGTGCACACCCACATGTGATACAGGAGAGGGGAGCTCAAGGTTATCTCCAACCCAGGGACGCACAGCAGTGGAGAACCAACTGTTACTCAGGGCTGGTCCCTGGGGAGGGATGAATGAGTCAGACGTGTTCATAGTAGTGAAAACTGCCAGCAACGACACCATCTATAGTGTGCCAGGGGCTGTGATCCATGCTTCTAATTCTCTTTCACTGAATCCTCACAACCACTCAATGAGATCCATGCTATTGTTTAGCTTTTCCCATACCCCCATGGCAACTGTGGGACAGAGAAGTAAGTTGCACAAGGTCTCACAGCAGGAGTGTAACAGAGTTGGGATTCAAACATGTTATTCTGACTCCAGAGTCTGCGTCTTGATTCCTGTAGGTTCTGTCTCTAGAAAGAAAAAAATATCTGCAGTTTGAAACTTTTGAGGGGTTGGACTTGGGAAGAAAAGCTAGACCAGGGAGGATCATTCTGCCAAATCTCCAGAATGGACTTGAGTCCCTCGGAGAATCCAGGTTCACACAGGAAGCCCCCAGAACAGGAACAAAGGCCCTCCTTAAGGGGACACTGCAGTTTTGTGAAATTCTGGCCTTCAGTTGTTTAGGACAGACTACCTAAATCACAAGCCTGGCCGTCAGGGAGCACAAGAGATGGCCTGAAACGCTATAGTAGATAGCAAAGAACAATGGCAGGGCTGAGGGGGATGAAACAGGGCAAGTCTGTTTGTAAGAATCTGGCACTTCTGCTGGCTAGTCACACATTTAATTTAGAGCTATGAGCCTATGCAGTCACCTTGGTTTAAAGATAAAGTGGACCCTCCAGTTCCAGTAAGGGCAGGATAAGGCAATGCTCTGAAGAGGCCTCATGAAACAGCTGGGAATGAAAAGTTGCTGGGCTCAGGGAACATAAGCTATTGGCATGTGCTCAAACTATCCCCACCTGAGTTACATTTGGAGTTTCTGCCTGTGACGAAAAGTATTCCAATTTTTTGCTAAATGCAAATAGAGTCACCATTTGTCACAAGCAAGGAGTAGGAAATTCTGCTTTGGTGGATCAGATGAAACTCTGCAGGAGGAAAACAGACCAAGGCATCAGTATAATGGGGTGAGAACTCTGTGACTGGGGATCCCATATGTTTCCATTGCCAGGGGCAACCCCAAAGTCTGCCGGCCATCCCAACATATCACAAGCAGCATCCCTTCCACTTCCAAAAATATCCTAGTTTGGCAGATCACATGTACCGTCACCCTCTGATGATATTCCGTGAAAGCTTTTCAGAATAAATTCTTGATATCCAATTATTTTTATTTTATTTATTTTATTTTTTTGAGACGAAGTCTTGCTCTGTTGCCCAGGCTGGAGTGCAGTGGCGCAATCCCAGCTCACCACAACCTCTGCCTCCCAGGTTCAAGCGATTCTCCTGCCTCAGGCCGCCGAGTAACTGGGACTATCGGCACACGCCACCACACCCGGCTAATTTTTGTATGCCCCGTCTCTACTAAAAATACAAAAAAAGATTATTTGTTTCTTTTGCTTGAGGCTTCAAAGAGAAGTGAACTGAAAATTAACCTGCCACTGAGACGAGCATAGACTAAAAGGAAGATCTAGAAATTGTCTGGGGGATGGAAATGAACTTGTAGCATCTCCATGTCAGATATGTCAGACACAGGACAGACATGTAACACAAGCAACTTCGTGTGTCAGCAAAAGCACGTGAAGTGGGATGTTAAGTTTTATCAGTCCCTTTTAAAGATGAGGAAACTTTAAAAGGGGCTCAAGGTTGGACACCCAGCTGATGGCATTGCTTGAGTAGAATCCAAGCCCGGGACCTCCCCATCTCCCAGTCCATGACTCTTCCTTACTCCAGCCTACCTCCTCTTCCCCCTTGAGACTGTTTGGACAAATTAAAGGAGAATGGTCTATGTATGTGGAAGAGCTGGGGTTTTGGTTGCAAGCAACAGAATCTAACTCTGTGCAACCTGAGCAACAAAGTTACTTATTGGAAGGATATGGAGGCGTTCGCCTACTCAAAAGGACAGTTTTGTTGTTTGTTTGTTTTTTTGAGACGGAGTCTCGCTTTGTCGCCCAGGCCTGAGTGCAGTGGTGCGATCTCGCCTCACTGCAAGCTCTGCCTCCCGGGGTCAGGCCATTCTCCTGCCTCAGCCTCCCAAAGGACAGTTTTAAGAGCAGGCTTGGAACATGCAGGAGCCAGGCAACTCCAGGGTCTCCATAGCAGGAGCAATTCAGGCTTCCTTGAGGCCTCAAGCTGGAATGAATGAAAGCTTGTGGTCATTTTCCTCCCTTATTTTACTCTTTTCCTCCACCACCCCCACCTCCCATCTGCAACTCAGCCTGACCCAGCCAACCTCTGCATCCCTCAACAGGTGTTTCTCTACTTGCAGGGTACAACTGAGGGACTCAGTGAGCCTGCGAAACTCACGTAGCATTAGATTGCTAGGCTTAATTATTTTTAATTAGAGAAAAATGTATGCAAACCAAGGATCATCATTTTACAAGAACTCAAAAACAAAATATCCTGTCTTTCCTAATAAATATGGTTGAAAAGACCTGCTCTAGGTGAGTATTGATAATTCATTTCGTAACATTTCTATTCTTGGAAAGTGCCATCTTTTGGTGGAAAGTCTTAGTGTCAGACAGATCTGGTTTCAAATCCCACATTTTACCTCTGATAAACTGTGAGGCCTTGGAAAAGCATTTGGTCTCCCCAAGCCTTTGTTTTCAATCTATAAAGTGAGTATGTATGACTCTATCCCCCTTTCACAAAGAGCAGTTACGAGGGCTATGTGACATCATACACAAGAGGACCTAGCCTTTCTTTTCGCCAAGCTCTTGAAGACTCGTGGAAGGGTTGGTAGACAAATTACATGCAATCAGGATGCGCCCACTTCTCAAACGTACCTCGAACCTCTCATCTATGCTGTTCTCGTTTACTGCAAGCCACTTCATCTTAGGGATGTGCTTGCACTTTCTGGGTCCACAGCTCTTCCTTGTGGAGAAGCAGCTGAAGTTGGTCGCAGGTGCCTTTGCTGACTGGAGATAAATTTCATTTGCTTTATTTTCTGGCACCCCTTCCCACCACCCAGAAATCTTGCCTTCTCCAGCTTGCCAAGGAAGAAGACAAGGATTTTTCTATTAAGTTGAGAAGACGGTTACCCCCTCTCTGGCCCCCAGCCCCCACTCCACCCCGCTTGCTGGCATTTGGGGAGTTTCCCTTCACAGCAGAGCTATCTGGGTTCAGGCTGCCAAAGTCAAAAATAGGGCAGCCAGGGAGGGAAGGTTTGACAGGAAGTCCAAATAAGTACTTCCTCCTACCCACCTTTGAACTTCTGAGGCAACTTAGCTAAAACAGCAGAGCAAGGCACACAGAGAAAGGGGATGAAAGAGTTTTTTTTAAAAGAATGAAATTGTCAACTGGGAGGAAGTGGAAAATATTGCTTCTCGTTGCCTTGCACAGGCTGGCCGGCTCCCAGGACGGGGGAGGTCAGAGCTGTGTCCAGGCCTGGGGGCAGGGAGTTCAGTGACTGTCGAGGTAGAGCGGAGTGTGGCCTGCAGGAGGGCTCCTATGGGGTTGCTGCTCCAGCCCCCTCCCCACCGCCTCCCACCCACGGCCGGCAGGAGTGCTGTGAGCACTGGCGCTCTGCATGGAGGATGCGTTGCACGGGAGGCAGGTCTCCCCCTGCCTGCACACTCTTTCTGAGGCCGGCTTGCCGAGTTCTGTGCCTTCTAGTGTGGCTGCTGGAGTGGGTGGGCCCCTCTGTCCAGCAGAGCAGTCAGGACCCCTTCCTGGTTCCGCTCGCTCCACTGGACTCTCTCATGTGGTGGAGCCCTTTGCCATCCACAAGGATCCCAGGCATGGAGGGTGCTCCCACTGCCTGCCTTAAGGATGGAGGGGAAAATTGCCCCCTCTCTCTGTGAGGATGACAGCTGCAGCCTTTGCTCCCATGCAGGCCCTCTAGGAAGTTCCAACAGCAAGGGACTTCAGCCTCTGGTGATAAATCTGAGATGTTAAAAAGTTGGTGGGAGTGAGGCTGGGTGGACACGGGCAAGGGCATCCTCAGATTGCCTGTGGTGTCTGTGTCACGTCAGCATCCTCTCTGGGCCACGTGCCACCACCTTATTCTCTCTCCCATGGTCAGGACCCTCTGTCCAAGTCAAATTCAAATAAGCACTTCCTCCCACCCACCTTCTAACTTCTTGTGTTCCTCTCCTAAGAAGGTCAACACATTCTCGTCTGTAAAGTCCCTGCTTTCCATTCTCCCCGTCCCTAAGCATCAACTCCCCAGACCCTTCCCCCAGCCCCACACACAGAAGTTGCAACTCCCAAGTCTCTTCTAAGGAATTGTGCATTTCTCTCGCCTCTAGAATTAGCGGTGAAGGAAGGCAGTTATCTGCCCACATGATTCTGCTGTGGGTCAGATGGAAAGGGAGGGAGCTGGGAGTCTGGACGTGATGGGTGGGGTGGGGAGGAGATTCAGGCGATGCCCTGGGCTGCAGTTTGCTGCTCCCACATCCACTCTCACAATCTGACACAGCCTCCCTGCAGGTACTGCTTTCTTGTCCACAGGCTCCACTGGTTGTGCAGTAAAGGTTCCTATCCCTTGGCCGGACGTGGTTGCTCACACCTGTAATCCTAGCACTTTGGGAGGTCGAGGCAGGCGGATTGCCTGAGCTCAGGAGTTTGAGACCAGCCTGGGCAACAAGGTGAAACTCCATCTCTACTAAAAATACAAAAAATTAGCTGGGCGTGGCGGCATGTGCCTGTAGTCCCAGCTACTCGGGAGGCTGAGGCAGGAGAATTGCTTGGACCTGGGAGGGGGAGGTTGCACTGAGTAGAGAGGGCACCACTGCACTCCAGCCTGGGTGACAGAGTGAGACTCCATCTCCAAAAACAAAAACAAAGAAAAATCATTCCTATTCCATGAGCCCTGTTTCTGTGTAGGAGCAGAATGTTGTCTTTTTTTTTCTTTTTTTTGAGAGGGAGTCTTGCTGTGTCACCCAGGCTGGAGTGCAGTGGTGCCATCTCGGCTCGCTGCAACCTCCGCCTCCCAGGTTCAAGCAATTCTGTCTCAGCCTTCCCAGTAGCTGGGACTATAGGCACTCATGCCACCACGCCTGGCTAATTTTTGTATTTCTCGTAAAGGCAAGGTTTCACCATATGGGTCAGACCAGTCTCGAACTCCTGACCTCAGATTATCCACTCACCTTGGCCTCCCAAAGTGTTGGGATTGACCCACAACGTGACTCACAGGCATGACCCACTGTGCCCAGCCCCTAGAATGTTGTTTTTATTCTGCTCAGAGGTTGTTTACCTTTTCCCAAATCTTGAGCTATGCATCACAAAGCCTAAGAAGGCCTCTGTAACCTCGTTCCTCGTTCGTACCTGCGGAGTTCTCCACCTGGTTGGGGGAGGGAGACAGACATGGGCGAGGGTATCCCCACCACTGCTTCAAATCACTATGCCCTACTGGATCCCCACCCTCTGCTCTGCTTCATGCTTGAAGCCAACAGACAGATGCTGTACACCCAGCTGCTGCCCCTGGCCTCCATGGTCATGGCAGCCACGCTGTCGGGGGCTGTACCCAGAGGCTGCTTTCATGGCCGCCCCATTTTGGAGGTGAGGGGCCTGCGGCTGAGCCTGCACAGGGTCACAGTGGTCCTTCTGGTCTCCTGAGTCTCTCTTGGGGGCTAACTAGCCCGGTCTCTGGAGCTTCAGGAACCCGCCAGCCAGAGACAGGAGATGTGAAACTCGTGAGTGTTGGGAAATCAGCAAGGCCTGGGGAAGAGGAAAGCCTCCAGGCCTGAAGCAACATGCTTCCCCTTGCACCAGCTGCCCTTTCTGAGGAATGGGCCTGTGGTTCTGTGGGGAGGGGGCACCAAGTGCCCGCCTCATGCAGAGTGCTGCATCCTTTACTGAGCTTGTTCAGATTGACAACCTCTCTTTCTCCTCACCAGAGGCCACAGAGAAGAAACTGCGCAGGCTCTGGAGACAGACTGGGTTTGAATCCCAAGTCTACCTTAGGCAGTTTCTGTAACATCTCAGAGCCTCAAGGTGGCAAATGGCCAAGGACAGGGGCTCTGGACTCAGATCAACTTTGGAAGAGTCCTGGATTCACTCCCTACTTGCTGGGTTCAGGGGGCAAGTAGTTCACCTCTTGGAGCCTCAATTTTCTCTTCTGTAGAGTAGGAGCAACAATAGTGCCAACAATTAAGACAGTCAGTAAGAAGTTCTTAGCTTGTGCTCTCTGGACCATAGGAAGAGCTCAAGGCATCGTGTCTCTTTATGTTTCTCAAAGTCACCATTATTGTCATCCAGGTTTCTTAGCTGCTTTGTCTGTCTTCTAAATGAGCTCCATGGATCCTCCATCTTGGCCACATTAATTGGATAATTCTTTCTAAAGGAGCCTAATATTTAGTGATACCTTCATTACAACTGCTTTTTTGTAGATTTTTCTTATCCTGAGTGGGGTGAACATCATTAAGAAAATTAGGCCAGTCTTGGTGGCTTACACCTATAATCCCAGCGCTTTGTAATGCCAAGATGGGAGGGTCGCTTGAGACCAAGAGTTCAAGAACAGCCTGGAAAACAAAGCAAGACTCCATCTCCACAAAAGAGTAAAAATAAAAAAATTAGCCGAGCATGGTGGTGCATGCCTGTACTCCCAGCCACTTGGGAGGCTGAGGTGAGAGGATCACTTGATCCCAGGAGTTCGAGGCTATAGTAAGCTATAATTGTGCCACTGCGTTCCAGGCTGGGCAATAGAGGGAGGCCCCATCTCTAAACATAAAACAAAAGCAAATAAAAAGGAGAAATTAAAATAAAATAAAGTAAAATTGCTTCTACTTTTAAGGATGATCTGGAATGTTCCTTTTCATAGGTGGCATGTGTTTTGAGAGATAGCGAGAGAGAGATTGATTGATCCACGTCAGGAATGCCCTCCCTTTTACTCCATCCTCCACGGCCCTGCTTAAATCCCAGTTAATTCCATGACATCTTCTGTGCTTACTCTACTTCAAAGTGATTTCTCTCTCTCTTTCTCTTCAAATGGCTTTTTATTGTTCACTGCTATGCTAGTGATTTGAAAGACCAGGTGACCTCTCACCCGTGATGGAGCTTTTGTACAGCAGAGCTGTGCTTTATACAGAATGATCAGCTACAAAGAGCTCTTAGGTGCGGCCCAGGCACAATGGCTCACGCCTGTAATCCCAACACTTTGGAAGGCCTAGGCGGGCAGATCACCTGAGGTTGGGAGTTCCAGGCCAGCCTGGCCAACAGGGATAAACCCCGTCTTTACTAAAAATACAAAATTAGCTGGGCGTGGTGGTGCATGCCTGTAATCCCAGCTACTCGGGAGGCTGAGGAAAGAGAATCGCTTGAACCTGGGAGGCAGCGGAGGTTGCAGTGAGCCGAGATGGCACCATTGCACTCCAGCCCGGGCAACAAGAGCGAAACTCCGTCTCAATAAAAAAAAAAAAAAAAAAAGAAAGAAAGAAAGAAAGAGAGAAAAGAAAAGAGTTCTTAGGTGTGAGGCCCTGCAAGGAGCAAATGGCCTGGGCTACCTTCACTGATGCCCTCAGCACCTTCTAAGGTGAGGCTAACACCAGCTCACATTGATGAGCTAGTGCTGGGCCTGGAGCAAAATGTGTATTTCATTTAAGCTGCCCACCAGCTTGTGAGGCAGGTGCATTACCGTGACGGCGGGGCTCCTCAGAGTGTGTATAAGAAGAAAACTGTGCATGGCCAAAGCTATGCTTGAAAACCCTCAGGAAGGCACCACCTCAAGGACCAACATAGCATCACTTAGTAAAGGCAACAGCCTTGGAACAGATGACTCGTGTGTGTGTGTGTGTGTGTGTGTGTGTGTGTGTGGCATTAGATGAAGTAGTAACTTGTGTTTAGAGGTTGCCTTATTGCACAAATATAGTTGCTTTTATACACTGGACTCACCCTCTGCCAATAAGTTGTTCAGTTATGAGAAATGAACAATGTCTGAAACTAAGAAAACAGCAAATTCTCACCTCCTATCTCCAGGGAATGTGCTCTTTGGCTAGAATATATGGCAGAATCAATAGTGAATAAAATATATTGTGGAAACAATAGTGAATGGAATATATGACACTACCAATAGCAATTGTTAAGTTTTTTTTCTTTTTAATTTTTCTTTTTAGGTTTGTCTAGTTGAATGCATCTAAGTTTTATGTGCATATGAAGAATCACTGTTTTCCTATTATACAGATTTGGAAACTGAGATTCCCAGCTTTTAACTCCTTGCCTAAGGTTGCATAGCACAGAAATAGTCATATCAGAAACTGAGCCCTGTCTGCACAGTGTAGCACCTTGTTCAGCCCTGGGTGCCTGACTCACTCACTCCTTGAGGACCCTCTCATGACAACTGTAAAGAGGCAGCTGAAAGAATCCCAGTCTTTGATGGTGGGAGGGGAAAGTGGTTGGAAAGCATTAAAAAAACATGCTCCAGCAGTTCACTGATGTGGGAAATTGTCTGTATTTCAGGTCAACCGTCAGGATAGATTTTGGTCTGCAAAGCCCCAGCTGAGCAAGAATGCAGTGTAGACATATGGGTGCCCAGAGTTTAAAGGAAAATTACTCAGACTCACATTGGAGTTTAAGACCCCTTCATTGCCTCTCCTACTGGGTTGGGGTGACTGGAGCCAGTGGGGAATTACCAACCCTGTGGCTCTCTCTGCATCTCAAGCCTCCAGAGCTGGGCTTCCTTGTTTACTTATTTAGAGCCCAGCAGAGGAAGTGGTAAAGGAAACTAGCTGAGTCGTTTTCTGAGAAGAGACCATATTTGTTCGCAGAGGAAGCCGTTGCTTTCTGGGATCTGGCTACGCCAGAAAAGACATCGGCTCCAACAGGGGTGTTCCACAGGGTAGCTGGGAGTTGGAAGAGCCAAGAACGCCTCCGAGCTCTGGATTTGAGCTTCTCTGCCCATGGGTGAAGCGCCCATGCTCAGCTTGTGAGCTTCTTCCCGGGAGAGCAGCCATGGCACTGAGGAATGTGCCCTTTCGCTCAGAGGTCCTGGGCTGGGACCCCGACAGCCTTGCTGACTATTTCAAGAAGGTAAGCCTTGCTCTTGTGTGAATGGTCATGATGCTAGTGCCCTTGGTGGGCTGAGCTGAGGCTTGACGATGGAATTGGGGCAGAATGTGGGAGGTGTATAAGATAGCAATGGAACCCTATGGCAACTTTACTGGTTGAGTGAGCGCCATATAGACCGCTGAGTTTTCCTGACCATGAGTTCCGGAGAGAAGGATGGGAGCAGAAGCCCTCAAATGAGTATGTGCCTATTATGTGCTAGGGTTTGAATTCGGTGTCTCACAGGCACTGTCCCATTTAGCGCTCCCTACTATGTTGTGAGGTCAGCATTGTTATCCCCTTGACTCAGCTGCAAAATCAGCTCAGGGAAGTGAAATGGTCCGAAGCCCTAGGGACTACATGTGATAGAGGCAAGACTCAAGCCACACCTATCTGGTTTTAAAGTCCATGCTCTGAGATGCAGAGAACTGTTGTAACTGCTAATGAGATCAACGCTACTTACTAGAAAGGGGAGACGTGGTGTCCTGGAGGCAGGAGAAAGAATAGGCAGGGTGGGAGGGCTGGATAGAGGACTATGATGAGCAGTGCCAGACACAGCATTTGGGCTTTCACTGCTCACGACCCTAAGGGGGGTCCTCAAGCTCCCGCCTGGGGCAGTCTCCTTGGAGCCTTATGAGAGTCTTGTGAAGCAGGACAGAAAACTGATGTGAGCCCCAATTTATAGCTATGAAAACTGAGGCCCCTAGAGGAAAAGAGGCTTGTGGCGGTGCTGGGACCAGAGCGTTGCTGTCTTATCTTCTGGACTTAGAGGAAAGGTTGAAGGATCCCTGTGCTTGGTCATTGGCAGAAGGGGACAACGCATCTGCTTGGGCAGATCTCAAGCCACATGACTTAGTTATAGTCCCTCTACCCTGACCATGTGGTAAGATGACTTGTGCGAGACGGTTAAGCTTCTAACACCCTCATCCCTGCAGGCTGGCATCGGATTCTGTTGATATTCCAGACTGTCATAAAGATGAGATTGTAAAGCTAAGATGGTAGAAGTCATCTAATTCAGCTTCGTGTTTTTCCTGGGGAAATTGAGATTCAAGAGGGTAGACGAGGTTCCCTAGGACGTATAGCCAAACCTGGGGTCTATGCATTTCCGAGGCATTTATAGTCACAGCTGTTCTCCCCCAACCTGAAGAAGAAAATGAGAACATGTTGAACTAGGTGTGGTATGGTAGGGGTACAGTTCACAGATCCTGTTTTTTGCCATATTTTGTGCTTTCATTTCTGTTATTTTCCTTCTGCAAGGTCATAATAAACTTAGATTTCAGCAAATATTGTTGCGCAACTGGTTTTTTGAAGGATGTTTCTAAATATCTTGCTCAAATATAGACCAAATAAGATAGGGCAACAAGGTAAAATTTGCCAAGAGGGAATAAAGTGGCATGTTACCTTGATAAGGGAAAAAGAAAGGAATTGAGAATTATGAAGAGAAAGACTTGGGACGGGCTGAGAGGCACAGATAGGCCTAACATTCAGGTGTGACCAGGAGAATTATACAATCCAATTGAGCAACAGAGAATTGATCCCTAAAACTCCCATCAGTACAGGGAGATGGACCACGGGTCAGGGATGGTACAGGAAGACCTCACTGCCTGAGCTGGGGGAAGGGAGAGTTTTCTTCCTGGAGATCTCAGACCCCAGGACAAATCTACAGCACCCAGGCAGGTTCCTTCTTCTGCCATAAATGGACTGAGGGAAGAAACTAGGAGACTGAGGCAAATCTGTGATCCTGGAAGTTCTAGTCCCTCCACA
Organism: Homo sapiens; assembly: GCF_000001405.40. NCBI lineage: Eukaryota > Metazoa > Chordata > Mammalia > Primates > Hominidae > Homo > Homo sapiens. The sequence continues at coordinate 170,295,754 of NC_000005.10, read as the reverse complement.
GACTTGGATAGAAACCCTTCAGATTCTGAGTACCTCAGCCCCCTGAAAGAAACTACCAAACGAATGGACCGCAGAGTCATTTGGGAATGGATCTTAGCTGTCAAACATGACATGTAAAGAATTGATCTGCAGATGCAAACTCTACCCAAGTAGTGGGGTCAGGCCTCCCTTGGAGACAGCTCTCGACTCAGCTCTGAGGTCGGACACACTTTACCCTGGCTCTGCCACCTGCTAGCTTGGCGACTTTCCTGTAGTTGCTTTGCCTCTCTGTGCCTCAACTTCCTCATCAGTGAAATAGAGATATGAACAGTAACTAACCCAATGGGTTGGTTGTGAGGATTAAAGCAAATGATGTGTGCAAGGCACTCAGCAGACAAATGGATCCTAATGCGTGTTCCTTCTGCCCTTTTACCTTCTCTATTAACTGGCTCCTAGCTGGGGACACCCATGCAGACTGGTGGGACTTTGCGTCTTCTTGTCTCTGACATGGGTACCTCGTCCTGTGTCTGGAATATAAGCTCCTGAGGACAGAGACCATGTTACATATTTGTTCAATCTCTCCAATTCCTTTTGACTTGCAGGAGAACATCCTTGGGTCGTGCAGTGGAGAGGCACTGGCTCAGAGCTGTGTGTCCTAATCCCAGGTGGGGTCCCAGCTGGTATCCCAGCTCACTGTGTGACCTTAGACCAGCCTCTTTCCCTCTAGAGGCCTCAGTCTTCCTTACTACAAATCCAGGTAACTTTTCTGGACCAGTGCCTACCAATGCTGGATGCCATAGGAATCGTCTAGGGTGCTCCTTAAAAATACAGATTTGAGGTCCACAAGCCTAGATCTTGCTGGAGCAGAATCAAATGCCTGGGTCCCAGTCTGCAGGACTCTCTGCTGATCTAGACACAAAGTTAGCACTCTTCAAAATCATCTGGTTTATCTCATAATGATAACAGTGAGAATGATGAATTAAAGGCAGTTGACTCTTCCAAGAACCACTTACCCCCCACTGCCTGTAGATAAAGGGGATACCAGGGCTCCATAGATGGGATGTGCTTTCAATATCAACTTCTAAGTCAGCTTTCTGAGTGTGATAATCATCCCACCCTTCCAAGCTAAGATTTCATAACAATTGTATTTATTCTTTGGATTTGCTAGCTATAAGATAAAAATATGGCTTAAAATGTGCTCCAAAAGAAGGCTGCCACAAACCATGAGGCCCACCCTTGTGAGAAGAACCTAGGATCCTCAAGGAGAAACATTTAACCTCAAATGCTCCACCCCAAAGCAGCAAGTTGAGAGATACTTCAAATGTGAACATTTATGCTGTTGAGGACAAGTTGAAACTAGCACCTCATATGATTGCTGATTGGTCTAGGAAAATAACCAAGATCTTAAAAATGCTCGTTCCTATGGATCCTATATAACTCGGTTCTGAGGTTCTGACTTAAACAATTTATCTCAAAGAGGGAGAAAAAAGTTCGCAAAATAGTATCCATGATTGTCTCTATTTTGATTGGGATGAGGTACTGCAAACAAATGAAGCTGCATTTTCATTTGCTCATTTTACTTACTGTATATAAGTTATGCTGTAATTAAAAGGGGAATATTTCTGAAAGAGACATTAAAGCCTGTTCTGAAACTTGTCACCTAAAACCCATGGAACCTCATGCAAGTTACTTGCTGTCTGTGCCTCTCATTCCCCATCTGCAAAATGTGAGGGTTAAATGATTGAAGACTAGTTTAACTACTTGGTACACTGCCTGCCACACAGAAAGCTTTCGATAATTGTTCGCCGTTTTTATTATCATTATTGAAACAGCAGCTTGGTAAATAATCTAAATGTTCAGCAATAAGGGCATGATTAAATAATGTTGTGGTCATTAAAATTATTTTAAATTGAGTTTGCATAACACTAGGCAGTGTTTATATTATCCCTTTAGGTAATTTAAGAGAAAAAAGTCAGAATAATGAGATTGAATATAAATCATAACCTCAATTATGTTTAGAAACATGCTAGGAAGAAAGCATGGAAAGAAACACCGAGGTCGTCTCTGGGCATCGAGACAATGGATGGTATTTCTTTTCTTCTTTTAGCTCTCCTTCCTGAGGAGCATAGGGCAGAGCTCTGCATGCCTTGAAGGCAGTCTTTCTGTAAGGGTTGGCCCCGAAGCCTTAGAGCAAGGCAATTTCTCCATTTCAGGCAGTCCCAAGGGGGTAGTGAAAGCGAGGCTGAGGTGGGGACTGGGCCCTCTGTTAGCCAAGGGAGGGCAGTGGGGAGCCTGGCTAGCCACAAGTACCGCAAAGTGCTAAGTTTCTGGGGCAGGCAAGGGAGAGGAACCAATGGTAAGAGACTGCCCGTCACTAACAACACCTTCCCCTTCTCTTTGCAGCTCAACTATAAGGACTGTGAGAAGGCAGTGAAGAAGTACCACATCGATGGGGCTCGCTTCTTGGTAAGCTCTGGCTAGTCCAACACACTGAAACCAAGACTGTTCGGCACTTTTCCCCATGGCTGCAGGGCCAACTGGCCTACCCTTTCCCTGGGGACACCCGAGGATCCCTTTGCTTTTTCCAGAAATTTGGTAGGGCCCCCTCTCTCACTACCTTTCAGGATCCTATCATCCAGAACCCCTCTCTGATCTTCCACTTACACCTTAAGGAGGAATCCAAGTATAGTAAACAAATAATCTGGAAAATCTATTTAAATGCCATCCATCCTTTGAGAAGCCCAAGGGGAAGAAGGACCATATGGGTGAACAGAAGCTTCTCACCTCCAATCTCTCACTCTGGAGCACATACTCATGAGTGGAATAAAGGATGGCATCACCCTCATTGTTTCAATTACTTCCTTCTTTCTCACTACCAAATTCATAAAGCTGATTTTGCATCAAGCACACATGTGATATGGCTGTCTCCACTGTATTATACTTCAAAAAGCTTGAAGTCTAAGACCAAGGTGCAGGTATGTATTAAAGACTAAGCCATTAAAGGGAAAAGGATGCAGCTCTAATGGTGGAGACAGAGGTGCTAGGTTGTGGTCGGGGAGGTGGTTTGAGCATTTTCCCTGAAATGACACCTTTGCCCATGGGTTAAGAAAGACCCTGACTGCACCAATCCATCCTTTCTGGGAACTTTGCTTTACTCTTTGAAAATAAGACTTCAAGGGTCTCATGGGGGTAGATGTTCCTAATTTAAATTCAGAGTGAATAGAGTAAGCTAAGTTGTGTCTCCCTGTAAGACACTGTCAGTAAGGGAACTTGACCATGAGACTTCAGGCCAGTTGGATGAGACCAGAGAGATCACAAGCTCCAGCTTGCCCCCAGAGAACACCAATCCATTTCTTATATTACATCTCTGCTACCAACATCTTCTTGAATTCCTTCAGTGATGGTGAGCTCACCACCACCCACAGTCATCTGCCCCTTTCTAGGCAGCTCTCAAGTCTTGTGCTGAAACTAACCTGTGCTCCTATTGGTCTGAGTTTTGCTTCCAGGTGCCATGTAAGACATGTTTATTCACTGTCCACCTAAATCATTCATTCATTCGCCTATTCGTTCACTTGACAAGCAGTTTCCCGAACTGCTTTTACATACTGGAGAGCATTATAGGTGGTGGGGATAGAGAAATGGCTAAGATGTGATTTCTGCCTTCTAGAAACTTGTTTTATAGCAGAAAGGTATGTTCAGAAAGGCTTCCAACTACCTCATTTGCAGATGAGGAAACACATGCAGAGCTGTGATGTGATTTGTTCTATGTCACATACCTACTAATTGAACTAAGGCATACACTTAATTTAGTCTGATACCATTTGACTTTTTAACAGTATTATTTATTTGTATTGAGATTTGAGTCAGTAGAATTCCTGGAGCTTTAGTGCCATTCTTGCAAATTACTGCTAAACCCAAATATTTCATTCTGGTGCTATTAGCACTGAGAACAGAGACTTATCACAGTTGAATGGAAAGGGAGGAAGACATCTTTGAGGATGGTGCCTACGACGCCCTGTTGCCTGGGTCACCCTGAGCAAGTACTTGCCCTCTCTGAGCCTGCCTTGCTTCCTACCCTGTTGACTGAGCACATTGGACTGGGTCATAGTGGGTGATGGCCCCTCCCGGCTCTGTAATTCCCCACAACAGTCCTGGTGCGAGTGTCAGGCCTGGTAGAACAGGGTTGTTTGAGAGATGGTATCTAGGCAGCTATGTTTCCTCTGCTCCAATCAGTCCTCTATCAGTCCTTCAGACAATGTGGCACATTCTGTTCATTGTATGAAGAGGAGGAAGTGCAAAGTAGGGTGATAGGAACCAGAAGAAAAGAAGAAGAATCCAGTGCCTGTCCCTGCAACTGGGGGATGTAAAGGCAGCTTCTGCTGAAACCCACCCTCCACCCCTAGTGCACTGGGTACAATTTGGGACGCTTGATCTAAGCTCTAATTACTAATCTATCACCCTTTCCAGCTCTGTAATATCCAGGGCCACTCTGCTATTGAAGGCAAAAGTGAAAGGCCCTAGTTATTTTTCCTTCCTTCCTTCCTTCCTTTCTTCCTTCCTTCCTTCCTTCCTTCCTGCCTTCTTTCCTTCCTTTCTTCCTTCCTCCCTTCCCTTGTCCTCCCCTCTCCCCTTCCCTTGTCCTCCCCTCTCCCCTTCCCTCTTTTCCCTTCCCTTTCCTTCCCTGTCTTCTTTCTTCTCCCTCTCTTTCTTTTCTTCCTTCCTTCCCTCTCTCCATCTCTCTTTCTTTCTCTCTTTCTTTCTCTCTTTCTTTCTCTCTTTCTTTCTTTCTTTCTTTCTTTCTTTCTTTCTTTCTTTCTTTCTTTTCTTTCTTTCTTTCTTCTTTCTCTCTCTTCTTTCTTTACTTCTTTGCCATTTTTGTTTTCCACTGAAAAGGTTAGATCCTTATCTGGTAGAAGCTATGCTTCTAGAAGTTATAAAAAGAAGAGAAAAGGAGCTTGAGACTTGTGTCAGTTGGGAAGGCATGTGACCCCATGTTGCAGAAACCTGACCACAGTGGCCTAACCAAATAAAGGTCAGTCTGTTTCAAGTAATAAATGTATAGGCGGGTGCCAGGGGATGGTGAAAGAAGACATCAAGAACCCAGGCTTCATCTAACCGATGGAAAAAGCCTGTGGCTTCTGTCCTAACAGTTGTCAGTTGGCTACTCCACCTTTAGGCATCATATCTCCATGGCAGGCAGGGAGACGGGGAGAAAGGCAAAGAGGAGAAGGTGTATGGTGAATGGTAAATGCATGCTCCCTTTTTTCCAGGGAAGTAGTAACTTTTCCAGAAGCTCCATCCAGCAGACTTTGGTTATATCTTACTGTCCACAACAGAGTCATGTGACCTCCACCATCTGCAAGGGAGCCTGGAGAGTTAAATATTTTGAACAAGCACATTTACTGCCCTGAATGAAACCCAGGACCTGTCAGTAGGAAAACAAAGGGAGAGTGGGTATTGGGTAGGCAAGCAGCCATGTCTGCCACATTGCCTCTCCCACCAGGGCCCAGTTTGTGGCTTTCCTCTTTCTGTACCCCTCTTCTCAACACCCACAGCATATAATCATACTCCCACAAAGCCATAAATCTTAACTCCAAAATCATCATGCAAATAACCCAGAGTTTACTGGAGGCTTTTGGAAAAGGTGGAGGAGGGGGTTACATCACATAGCAAAACTCTCCAAAAATTCTGTTTCAACATCTCTCATCTTTCCTCACAGTTCTTGTCCCCGTTCTGAATGTCTTCCTCTTTCCTGACACCCTGCTCCTCTGTGTCTCCAGCCAGGCTCATGTCCACCTCCTCCTCCACAATCTTCCTGAAATTCCCTCAGCTTACGCCCTCGTCTCAGCAGAGCAGAAGCTGGTGGCCAGCTGCTCAGTGCTCAGCCGCCACCCCTCTGGCAGCCCTTAGGAAGGCTTCAACTCCTCACACCACACTCAAAACATGAGTCTTGGTACCTCCCTGAGTGGGAGTAGTTCAGAAGCAGGGAGATGCTGCTCAGTGATGAAAAAAAAAAAGAGAAAGAAAAGAAAAGAAAAGACAGGAAAGGAAAGGAAAGGAAAGAAAGAAAGAAGGAAAGAAAGAAAGAAAGAGAGAGAGAGAGAAAGAAAGAAAGAAAGAAAGAAAGAAAGAAAGAAAGAAAGAAAGAAAGAAAGAAAAAGAAAGAAAGAAAGAAAGAAAGAAAAGGAGTAGTTAAGAAGCTTAACCAAAAGCCCGATGCCCTCAGGACTTCTGGCTGACTCCCTTCACCAGCCCCACCCTGCCGCAGGTGGTCTGATCAGCGTCCAGATCAGAAACCATGCCTGTGAGCTGGATCAGATGGATCCAGTGAACACATTGCTAAGATGCCCTAGCCCCAGCCTCTGTGCCAGCTGATCTCAAAGAAGAGTGCCCAGATCTTTCCAGTGGTCAGAAAACCTGACAGGCAGCTCCCAGAACGGAAAAGAAGCAAAAACACTAAACTCTAAGACTCACCCAGACCCCTGCTGCTTCCCCACCAGGGGTAGTAATTCCTCATCTTACTCCTCCATTTCTCAGTCACACACTGTGCCAGGCACTGTGCCAAAACACATTACATACATCATCTCACTCAGTCCTCACAATCCTGATAGGTGGGTATCATTATTATTATTATGGTCCCCATTTTACAGATAAGGAAACTGAGGCTCAGAGAGGCAAAGTGCATGCCCTAAATGACACAGCTGCTAAGTGAATGAACCAAAATTCAAACCCAGCCCATCTGATTCCAGAGCTCCCACCCTAACTACCCAGCCCTCTGGCCTTAACTAGAATGGTGGTGGAGCCCTTTGTTGGCTCATCATTGGTTCTATGGAAAGCATGCCCAGTCTCTTTTCTGCTCCCAATTCTGACATGCTCTCCTCTCCTCCTCCCTTCCAGATGCCTCCTTTCACCTTTCCCCCCATAATCCTCTCCAACATAGGCCACAGGGGCCGTCAAAAGGATCAGACGTGGTAGGATGGAGGTTTGCAGGAAGAAAATAGACTGTGGATGTCACAGAGTGGAATTCCAGCCCCAGCTCATCCCCCACAAGTGGAAATCCCCTTGATATCCCTGAGCCTCGGCTTTCTCTCTTTCAAAATGGGAATGCTGGTAACTCCTGCATCACAGAGTTGATGTGAGGATTCACTAAAGCATTAAGAGGTGGAGGCCCAGAGTTAGTTCTTGACAAATATGAGTTTCTTTCTCCCCTCCCTTCTCAGTTCCCTCAAGAAAGCCTTTTCATGGCATCCCCATATCTTGAGAATTCTACCAACAACCCTGGTGAAAGAGGTTCTCTGGGATGTGATGTTGGTAAAAGAGGCACAGACTCCTCCAGGCTGGCTTCTCTGCAGCTGACCTTGTGGAGACTGAGAGGGCCTGAGGTCTGGGGTGTAGGGAAGAGGTCCTAACATGGCCAAATGCAGCCCACACAACGAGTCGTTTGGTTTCACAGATTTAGCTCTCACAGTGTTTAAGTCAAAATTATTTGCCAACATTTGGAACTCAGAGCATTTCACATAAAACCCAGACTTAAGGATTCCCTTTGTAAAAGCAGATCCAGCAACAGCAGGCCCACAGGCTTTTAGGCAAAACATCTAGAGGCTGCCTACTTGGGGAGGGTGGGTGGGCAGGGCGGTTTCTCCTCTGTTTGCCACAGTCCCCACCACTCCCTATATTGTTTCACGTATCACTCTTCCCCTCCTGCTCAGAGCCCTTTCTGTGGGTTGTAACCTGCCTGCCATATGTGTCTTCATTTCAGAACCTGACAGAAAATGACATCCAGAAGTTCCCCAAGCTCCGGGTGCCGTAAGTACTCCTCCAACTCTATGGGTGATCTGGGAGCAGAGGTGGGAATGGGGAGTAGTGTGAGTGGGGGCTGGGTCAGTTCTATGTCATTGTCGGCTTGAAATAAGAAAGCAAGTAGGAAGGATGAGGGCAAGGGCAGGATGTGGGGAACAGAAGTTACATGAAGAGCTGGAAAACAGAAGTCACAGATCCAGCCCAGCTGGTGACCTGGATGCTCTTGCCAAAAACAAGCCCAACTCTGGCCAATGTTTTCATTTCCTCTCTTCTCATGGGGTGCTTGGGCCTGTGAAAATAGCATCAGTGTCAAGGTTTCATCATGGCATCACCACTGACTCAGTGATGGCTTAAGTTTTCTTGACCTCCATTTCTCACACAGTAAAATGAGAGCCAAAGCAGATGACAGCAATGGATATAATTATGTGTTGATACTGAGTGCTTGGAAATATCTGACAGGGGTGTTATGTTGAGAAGAATCCCGAGGAAAGGGAGCTGTGATTGATCATTCATGTCTGCCATAGGTGCTGAAAGGGGAAGTTGCAGTATGCATGTCATGCCATGTATTTTTCATCCCTCTAGTAAAGGTCTCACACACTCAAATACCTACAGGAGCCAGGCAGGTGCTATAAATGGTAAAATTGGTCAGGTTGAAAACACAAAGCCCCGTTGTTTTGTTTTGTTTTGTTTTATCATCATTGGACAAAACAGTGGTAAATATTCTGTATGAAGAAATAGTTCTCCATTATAAGAAAAATAATAGCACGGTTATCATATGATGAAAAAAGTAGCCATCGCAAAGCCTCATTGTTGGTGAAGCAATAGAGAATGGTGGGGATTGTGGCAAATCAGATATCATATGTTCCATTCAAAGAGTGCAGCAGCTCCTCAGCTCCAGCTAATGTGGACCCAACAATGTCCTATCTTCAAATTTATCAAGAATAACTAGAAATATGGGTTTCATGTGCTATATCTCCATTTTTAAACATTGGCTCAAATGTTTCAAGTATTGTGAATGCCACAGTAAACACACCTAAGGGCTACATATAGTCTGTGTGTTACCAGTTTGAGTTCTCTTCTCTGGACATTCTATAAGGACCCTTCTCTTACTCTAAGGGTCTCAGAGCTCATCATAATAAAAGGGAAGTAGGCCAAAGGAGTAGGAGGTGGGGAGATCTCATGAATAGGTAGGAATGCTGGCAGCTCAATTAAGGAGAATATTTTTAGCATGACTATAGGGTTTCCCTTGTCCGGAAGGGGGAGGGAAAAGAGAGGAATAAGGATTTGCCTTTGGTGCTGTCTATCTCCAGGGACACGTATTGTTGAAGATGGCTTGATCTTTCTAAGGATATCCTCTAACCACATGTGGCTACTTCAATTTGAATTAAATTTAAAATTCATTCCCCTGAGGCACTAGCCACATTTTAATAGCTACGTATAGCTGGTGACTACTATGCTGGAGAGTGCAGATATAGAACATTTCTATGATTGCAGAAATGTGATGTTGTAGAGATAAACCATAGTTCTTTGCAAAAGAGGGAACTTTCCACACAGGTGTCAGAATTGGTGGCTGGTGGGCTAGTCCCAGACTGCAGGTATGTTAAATTTGGTGACCACTGTGCTTTGAAATCAGGAAAACTTTCACAAAATCCAGCCTCTTTAGAAACAAGTGAAAGATGTGGCAATTGAGGGCTTATATTCTACTGTGGCAATAGTCAGCCGGATCTGATGTCTGCTGCCCTGTTTAGTTGGGATTTGTGCTCCCCAGTTCACCAGGGTCCCACCATTCCCTGAGGGATCGTCCTAAGGTACGTCAACCATTTATATTATATCATGGGAACTTTGGCTTTCGAACAAGATTAAGTAATAGGGATCAGATTTACTTTCCCAACTGAAATAACCAAATAACCAGGCAAAATATATGAAAGAGCAATTTTCAAGACATTGAGCATCAGACACCGAGGGATGGAAAACAAAGGCGGTGAAGCCTATGGTTGCTTGCTGCTTTGAGAATCTCCAGGCCTTGGCACAGGGAGCAGGGAGCACAGTGCTGGGTCTGGTGGACGACTTGAGTTGAGGAGGCAGCGGAGAGTCCAGGAGCCTAGAGTTCATTCAACGGGTGTCAGAGAGGAGAGAGCTGCATAGAGAGAGCATTCTGGAGAGCTTCAGAGGGGCCCCTCTTTAGCAAAGCACAGATCAGTCCATGCATGAAAGGAGAGACTACCTGTAGGTGGCAAAAGAACTACCCAACAGTATTGGAGGAAAGAGTAGCCACTCACAGGGCTGGAAATGGTGCTTATTTCTACCAGCCTGGCTGGAAAACATAGTCATTCGGTAGAGTGCCTAGAAGGATCTTGCCTTAGTGGTGGGGAATAATTAGCCCTAATCTAAAAATTGTTCAGGTCCTGGCTAGAAAACCTTAAAAGCAAGACCCAAAAGAAACAAACTGCTTCTAAGTAACTTAACTGCATCTCAGAACAAAACTTAAACCTATTTATAGGAATGCAAAAATATTCACTACCCAACAAAATAAAATTTATGATATTAGGCATCTAATCAGAGACTAACAGGCACACAAATGAGCAGGAAAATATAACCCACAACAAAGAGAAAAACTAAAACATCAAAACTGACCCATAACTGACACAGAGATTAGAATTAGCAGACAAGGAGAATGTTGAGTGTATTTCATGTGTTCTAGAAGTTAAATTTGGGCATAAGAAATTCAAAAAAAGACCCAAACAGAACTTCTAGAAATGTAAACTATAAAATCTGAGATTAGAAATACACTGCTTGGGATTAACAGCAGATTAGATATTGCAAAAGAAAATAGTAGTAGACATGAAGATACAGTAATAGAAATTGTCCAAATTGAAACTCACAGAGAAAAAAAACTAAAACAAAACACTGAAAAGAGCATCAAGGGGCCGGGCACAGTGGCTCACGCCTGTAATCCCAGCACTTTGGGAGGCTGAGGTGGGTGGATCACCTGAGTTCAGGATTTTGAGACCAGCCTGGCCAACATGACAAAACCCCATCTCTACTAAAAATACAAAAATTCACCAGGCTTGGTGGCAGGCGACTGTAGTTCCAGCTACTGAAGAGGCTGAGGCAGGAGAATCACTTGAACCTGGGAGGTGGAGGCTGCAGTGAGCTGAGATGGCACCACTGTACTCCAGCCTGGGTGACAGAGCAAGACTCCATCTCAAAAAAAAAAAAAAAGCATCAAGGAACTTTGGGACAATTTCAAAGAACCAAATATATATCTAAAGTCCCTAAAGGAGAGGAAAGAATGTGTATGTGAGCGGGGAAGGAGAGACAGAAATAAAACACTTGAAGACATAATGGCTAAAAATTTTTCAAACTGGATGAAAATTATAAACCCACAGATCCAAGAGGCTCAACAAACCCCAAATCTAAGAAACAGGAAGAAAACTAGCTCTGAGGCACATCACAATCAAATTGCTCAAAACCAATGATAAAAAGAAAATCTTAAAAGCAGTCAGAAAAAAAAAAAAAGACATATTACATACAGAGGAACAAATGCAAGGATCACAACAGCTTTCTCGAAAGTAAAATAGCAAAAGAAAAATATTGTCAACCTAGAGTTCAATACTAGGCAAAAATATCTTTCAAAAATGAAGACGAAATAAAGACTTTTTCAGACACACAAAATCTGAACTGTACTGCCACAGGTGCTTTTTAAAAGTCCTTCAAGTGGAAAGGGATGTGTACATAGGAATGAAGGGTGCCAGAAATGGTAACTACTTAGGTCTGTGTATGTACGTGGCCCTTGAGGGCATTTGAGTTTGCATCTTGTGGTCCCTATACAAGATTAATATTTCAATAATACTTTATTCATTTAATGAACTGCTGTTAGATAACTACAATGTGTCAGGCCTTTGTTAAAATTATTCAGGCTGCAAAGACATGGGACAGAATCCTCATCCTCAGGACACTCACATTCTAAAGGGAGGTCAGACAGACAAGCAAAGCAATTACACTACAATTACAACAGTGCAATGGTACATGCATGCACAAGTTCAAGCGCTCGTAGGAAGGCAGGAGTAATTTTCCCCACAGTATTCAGGGCAGACAAGGGAGGAAGGGACCCTAAGTTAAATCTTGAAATAGGAGGGATGGATTGTAGGACATTCTAGAAATGGGAACATATTACAGAGGCACCACCCAGTGTGCCTGGTGGAGCGGCAGTGGGGCAGAGCAGCTGGGGCATATACCTGGGGGAGTGGAAAGCAAAGAGGCTGAAGTGAGTGGTTGTTGTGGGGTGTGTCCCTCAATTTATAAAGGTCCCGTGAGCCATTCTCAGGAGCCAGAGAGTGTTAGTGAAGTGAGCATCAAGGTAAATTTGTGTCTTATCTCTGTCCAGGGCATGTAAGTGATGATTTGGAGGACAGCCCAGCTGGGGACATGGGACTGAGTTAGTTGGTGGTGACCAAGATCCTGCCAGTGAGCTAGGAGCCTCCCCTAGGGCTGTAGCTATGAAGATGGGGGGATGGAAGAGATTTAATCAGAACAGTGGAAGGACAGAGATAAAGAAGGCACTTTCAGCTTGGAAGATCCTTTTTCATCTTAAGGCTAAGCTCAACTGATGTCTTCTGGCTTTTTTGAGAGCCTGGAGAAAGTGGTAGGGGTGGGAAATGGTTTCTGGTTAGTGTGAACGGGAGAATTATCAACACATTGCGAATGGGCTGGGGTGGGATCTTTCTTTAGCTCTCTGGAAACTAAAACAAAAGCTTGGCCTGCGATGTAATCCCCTCCTCCAATGTGTTTGAATGTGCACCCTAGAAAGACTGTGAAGCCTGCCCATAGAACATGAAGGGTTAATATGGAGAATGATGGAGAAAATATCAAGGGAAGGTCCAGGCTGCCCTGATGAGGTGACTTAGAGACTCACTGTCCCTCTTGGCAGAAATGTATAACAAGGACCAATTCCAGCTCTACTTCCAATGAGTTGTGTGACCTGGGACACATCCCTAGACCACCCTCAGCTTCCTAAACTATAAAAGGAAGGAATGGGTTAGAGAGACTCTACAAGCTCACCAATTTTAAGTGCTACTATTTGGGGTATAAATAGGCAGACAGGAGAGCTTAGTGAGAAAAAGCGCAGGCTCTGAGGTCAGATGCTTGAGACCCAATCCTTCCATTCACAGGCTGTGAGACTTGAGGGCAAGCTAGCTCAGCTCTCCGAGCCTCAGCTTCCTTATCTGTATAATGCTAATAATGATAGAACCTACCTCAGAGGGTTAATGGGAAAATTAGGGGAAATAATGGGAAAATAACAATATGCACTGAATAAGTGTTGGCTATTCTTGCTTTATGTAAAATCCCAATTAGAACAATTTTAGCTTTTTAACTATTCTATCTTTCTGGAGAGGAGGAATTAAAGAATAGAGAGGACATAGGGTTTTGGAGTGAGGGAGATCCAGGCTCTAAAGCTGACTTTGCCTCCCACCAGCTGTAGGACCTTGGGGAAGTCATTTAGGCAATCAGAGCCTCAGCTTCCTTGTCTGTAGAAGGGAAAAGAGCTAACTTTTCAGGAGTGGGGAATATTAAAGGAGGCAGCACACAGAAATTGCCTGGTGCTGTCCTGGATACTTACAGGCGTTCAATACTTTATTCATTCCATCTCTTGTACATAAGTTTATTTGTCTTGTTCATTACCCCAAAGGCCTTTGGAAAAGAAATTGTGTTCATGTACAGAAAACCAAAACAATATTACACTCTTCTGAATGTCTCTATTTCCTTCCCTGACGTTTACAATATAAGTATTAAATAGATTTTTAAGAAGGTAAGTTGTGGTAAGGAAGGCTCTCTCAGCCTGAAAATGCAGTCACTCTCTCAGGACATGGTTGATCCCAAGACACCTGCAACATTGTAAAGGTGGAGGATTTTTAAAGAAAAAAAATGAAGGCTCCCTTTATAGGGCCTAGGTTGGCCCTCATGGTACAGCTGACAACGGTCTGGTTAAATCGATAGAATACACGAATACACGTTCAAATCTGCTGGTGCCTATTTGAAGTTCATTAAAGGATGGGATGTTATAAGTTTTATATTTAAATGCACAGTGTAACTTTACGGAGAAGAGAGTGACGGGGTGGGTGGTGCAGGCAGCAATTAGGTATTGGATGATGCTCTTTCTGCTGGTTATCCCTGTAGCCATTACCAATGGTGCAATTAGGCTGGGAAAACCTAAGACTCAAGCTGAGAAGTAATGCAGAAATATTTGTCTGTCTTCCTGTAAGGCTGTGAGTCTAATGGCAGAAACAACGTACTGAGGCATCTCCTTTGTACCTATTTCTCTACCTGAGACAGAGAAGACAGGAAAGGTGTGGAGGAAGGGACGCAGAGGCGAAAGGAACATTCTCATGCCTGTTAAAGAATGTGGCCACTCAAATGCCTGTAATCCCAGCACTTTGGGAGGCCAAGGCGGGCGGATCACAAGGTCAGGAGATCGAGACCATCCTGGCTAACACAGTGAAACGCTGTTTCTACTAAAAATACAAAACAATTAGCCGAGTGTGGTGGCAGGCACCTGTAGTCCCAGCTACTCGGGAGGCTGAGGCAGGAGAATGGCGTGAACCCGGGAGGCAGAACTTGCAGTGAGCCAAGATCGTGGCACTGCACTCCAGCCTGGGGGACAGAGCAAGACTCCGTCTCAAAAAAAAAAGAAATATGGCCAGACCCCAGCAAAACCAAAACAGGGCCTCTCTCCAACATGGTCCTCCCCTGTCCCATTCAGTGGCTAATTGCCGTCCAGGGACCCAGCTCTTGTCAGTCCTCAAGGGCCCTGCCACAGGAAAGGTGCCTCCCTTGGCTGTCCCTTCTTCTCTTCCAGTGCAAGCCCACAGCACTCGACGTGAAGCCTCCTCTCCCCATAAATGCTGGTCACGTGCCTTTAGACAGATGCCTCCCTCAGAGCCTTGCCTATTATTATTATTATTTTTATTTTTGAGTTGGAGTTTCACTCTTGTTGCCCAGACTGGAGTGCAGTGGCGCAATCTTGGCTCACTGCAACCTCCGCCTCCTGGGTTCAAGCGATTCTCCTGCCTCGGCCTCCCGAGTAGCTGGGATTACAGGCATCACCATGCCTGGCTAATTTTTGTATTGTTAGCAGAGATGGGGTTTTGCCATGTTGGCCAGGCTGGTCTCGAACTCCTGACCTCAAGTGAACCACCTGCCTCAGCCTCCCAAAGTGCTGGGATTACAGGCATGAGCCACCACACCTGGCCAGCCCTGCCTTTTTTATTTGTAAAAATGAGAATAATTATACTTGTCTACCAGGAAAATGATCGTGAGGCACCAGGAAAACACTCCATGTAAAACTACAGGGGTAGGGGACATGGGTGACAAGTAAGGAGAACACTGTGTCCTCAAATTATTATGTCCTACTCTTACACTCTCGACCGAGGCCTCAGGTGATGGTGAAAGGCTCCTTCCTGAGTCTTAAAACATCTGGCTGCCCCCGGCTTCTCAGGTGACAAGGATAGAATTTAGAAGGTTTGGCTCTTGGTTCAAGGGGGCTGGTCTTTAAAGACGGAAAGAACACTTTGTTCCTTGGAAGGAGGATTGGAATGCAGAGCGAGAGCAGGGCTGAGAGTGGGAATGTGTGCAGGGAGGAGGGGTGGGGAGGAGAAGGAGAGTTCCAGGGTCCCACTGAGAGAACAGCACAGGGGGAGAGGCATCTGCCCTACCCAGGAGCCGGGAGCCTTGTCCCAGGAGGGATCAGCAGGCAGTCTGAAATCTGAGCCCAGGGAATAAGGCTCCCACTGTGGGAGGGCTTTGGTCAGAAGTTGGCCAAAGCTCTTACTATGTGAGCTGTGGCAAGAATGCGCTCTACATCATAAGCCAGTACACAGCTACACGTGCCACAGTAGAGGAAACAAAGATGGAATTTTCACAGGACAATGCCTATTCCTACTGCATGCTTTGTGCACTGATATTTTCTATTCTATACCCCTTCCCCTTCCCTTCCCTTCCCCCCTCTCTCTCTCCCTCCTTTTCCACCTGCCTGGCAGCCTTCTTTTCTTGTATAGTTTCTTTCCTCTTGTGTCATCAGCAAAGTTGATTTCTAGACCCACTAGTAGGGCTTCCTTCACTGTTGTTCAAGTGTGGGGAGAATTAAAGGGCTACATCAGAGGCCAGCTAAGGCCCCGCATACCCCCACTCTCCTGTTTCACTCCCTTCATAATCACAAAGTTCCTTCTCCTGCCTTTCCTTCTCCTCCTTTTTTAAAACAAGCAAACAAACAAACAATTTCATCAGTGTCAAGAATAGCAGGATTTATTTCACAAGCTTTTTGGATGATAATAAAAATCACGTGGGGGCCGGTTGATGTCACTGAGCCTCAGGCTTCTCCTCAGAGAGTCCGTTCAGGTAGGTCTAGGCTGGGCCTGGTGATCAGTGTTTGCAACAGGTACAGCTAAGTAATCATGATGATCAGGCCCATCAGGGATTCCCTAATCAGGTTTAACCCCTGTATTGTGCTGATAAGGAATCTGGGGCCAAGTGAGGGCAGCTGCCTTGTCTGAGATCACACAGTGGGCGCCACCCTTGGGGCCAGACATTGTAGTTAGACTGTCTGTGCCTGCAGGCCCTGTACCTTGTACATTACCAGGAGAGACCTTAGACTGAGAAGATGAAGACTGGCCCCCACCATGCTGTAAGTTAGGGATGCAGCTGGGCTGGAACCTAGGTCATTGTAGAATGCTGCCTTCCTACACGGGCCTGGCTTCCTGTGGGGAGGTTCAGCCCATTTCCAGGGCCAGCTAGTCCCTTAAACAAAGGCAAGCAGAGAGGACTGCTGTCTATGGCTGCCCAGCCCCCATCACTTCTTGCTCTGGTCCTGAGCGAGGCCAGGGGTTTATGGGGTGAAGGGAGAATGAGTCACCTCCCTCCACTCACTGTCACTTGGTCCTCTGGGGGTAGGGTGTAATTTGAAGGTTTGCACCTAGCAATAGCCATAGCAACCACCTCCCTGCTATGCCCACCATCACTGTTGCACCGTCCACCAGACCCTGGCAGTGGTCCCACAGGCTTGGAAGGTGCTTTCTGTAGCCCCTTAAAGCAGGAGGACCCTGGGAGCCCACACTTTGCTGCAAGCCAACTGCCAGGACCTGTTCTGCCCCCACTCAGCTCTTTGCTGCTCCTCTGCTGAGGCCTGCGGTTTGACATTTCCTTCCTCACCCAATTCGAGCCCCGGCAGCCTCCAGCCTGGCTGCTAGAGATACTGGTGAGAGGCAACACCGCAGAGAGCAGGAGGTTCTTTCAAGATCCAAAGCAGCCTTGTGAGCTGGTCAGAGCCCTGTCAAACTCTGTAGGAGGAGGGCGTTGAGGTGAGCCTCAGTCCCACCTCGCTCAAGTCATTACTGAAATGTCACCTCTTCAGTGAGGCCTGATCATTTTAAATGGCAACCGCATCCCACCCCTGCACTCCCATCCCCCCCAGCCCCCCACCCCTGCACTCCCATCCCCCTCACCAGCCCCCCACCCCTGCACTCCCATCCCCCCAGCCCCCCACCCCTGCACTCCCATCCCCCCCGCCCCCAACCCCTGCACTCCCATCCCCCTCGCCAGCCCCCACCCCTGCACTCCCATCCCCCCCAGCCCCCCCCTGCACTCCCATCCCCCTCCCCAGCCCCCCACTCTGCATGTGCATGGTGCATATGCAGCACATTTCACCTCCTTAAAGTTTCCTCTCCACTAGCAGGGATCTTTGTTTTGCTCATTGATGCACCTTGAGCACTTCTAAGTTCCCAGCACTTAGAAGGCCCTCAGTGCACATTGTTGAATAAACAGGTGACAGAATGGGAGTGGCTGCTGCAGCCAGCACCACCTGACACGGCCAGGACACAGGACACTAACGGGGCTCCCTTGCCAGCTCTGTAGGAGTCCTTTTATCCCACATGCCCATCGTCTTCTTGAAACAACCACTTAAGGGAACCAAAAAGAACCATGTCACAAGCATTCTGACGGCATGGTCAGGAGGCAACTAGGAAGCCCCCGCTGCTGCTCTTAAAGCCTCGCTCTCTCTGCCCAGTCACAAAAGCCTGGAGTTGTCAACAATATTATTACAGAGAGTAAACCTTTCCCTCCCCTTCCTCCTTCTCTTTCCTCTTAAGTACCAGTGTGTTTATCAAAATTTGTTTATCCCATTGCTCTAATGAGGTAGGAGGTTTGGATACCATTTCTTTCTTTTTTTTTTTTTTTTTTTTGAGACGAAGTTTTGCTCCTGTCCCCAGGCTGGAGTGCAGTGGCGTGATCTCAGCTCACTGCAACCTCTGACTCCCAGGTTCAAGTGGTTCTCCTGCCTCAGCCTCCTGAGTAGCTGGGATTACAGGCGTGCACCATGCCTGACTAATTTTTGTAGTTTTAGTAGAGACGGGGTTTCACCATGTTGGCCAGGCTGGTCTCGAACTCCTGACCTCAGTGATCTGCTCACCTCAGCCTCCCAAAGTGCTAGGATTATAGGCGTGAGCCACCGCGCCCAGCCTGGAGCCCATATCTTGGGAGAAATGAGGGAGTTGAGGGGCAGGGGAGGTGATGGAGGAATCGAGAAATGGTGGCTGCTAAGGACTTCCTTTGCTAACTTAGCAAGTTTATTTTAGGCTAAACTTGTTACTTCGAGATGGTCATTAAGCAGAAGAAATAGAGATCATGAGCCGTTCTCATAGGCAGGCCAGGGACTCAACAGTATCTGCCTCCAGAGAGCTTGCAGCAGAAAGGGAACTGACACAGGGGTGTGTGCGTTGAAAGGGCACTGGCTTGGAAATTAGAAAGGCTAGCTTGTGGTGCTGGTGTGAGTTGTGGGAAAAGGGGTGGCCTTTACCACTAACTACTATGTGGCTTCAAGCTACTCCCTTTTTTTTTTTTTTTTTTTTTTTAAGATGGAGTCTCCCTCTGTCACCAGGCTGGAGTGCAGTGGTGTGATCTCGGCTCACTGCAACCTCCACCTCCCAGGTTCAAGTGATTCTTCTGCCTCAGTCTCCCAAGTAGCTGGGACCACAGGCACGTGCCACCATGCCCAGCTTTTTTTTGTATTTTTAGTAGAGACGGGGTTTCACCATGTTGGCCAGGATGGTCTCGATCTCTTGACTTCATGATCCGCCATCTGCCATCTCCTCTGTAAAATGAAATTGGACTGATAATCTGAGGTTCCTTCCAGTTGCCCCAAATCTCGAGGAAACACTAAGCCTATTGACTACTAAGGGTCTCGCTGGTCTCATCAGTGGGTACTAAGTGGGGCTGCAGTCTCGAGTTCTGGATATCTGAGAGATTGGAATGGATGCTTGTTGCTAGGGCATGCTGGAGATATGGTTCTGTCGGCAAAGCCCTCCTGCCCCAGCTCCCCCAGCTCCATCCTGGGATTTGGGGATTTGCTAGTTCTGACATGAAGGAACCCAGGGACTAAGAGTATCTTCAAGTGTCTTGGTCAAAGCTGGCCTCAAGGGCATGAGTGATTCAGGGAGTCTCTCATTCTGCAACCCCTGCCTTTATAGAGAATACCTCCCCAAACTTTTATAAGAATCCGCATCACCAAGTGGGAGTCTGGGAGGGGAAGATGGAAGGAGAAGGCAGGCCACAGAACAGCCCACTAGAGGTTGTGATAAGAAATCTCCAAGGAGCAGCTGATTCCTGTGGGTCTAGATGATGGTCTGAAGATTCTTAGGAACAAGACAGCACTGCCAGGTCATGCAAAAGCCAGGGGACCTCAGCCCCAGGAATAGTAAGACAAGAAAATACACAGCTATCGTATCCAGATCCTAAGGCTCCTGATTTTTGGAGGGAAAGCCAGGTGTGAGCTGACAAGTCTTTAAGGGGGAGCTCTGAGCTGGACTTGGAAGGCTCAGCCAGACACAGATCAGCAAGGAGGAGAGAGGGCTTCCTGGGCAGGAGGAAGGTCTGGCCCGGGGAATAAGATGGCAAGTTCTGGGAGGAAGTGAAGAGCAGAGGGTCCCTGCAGAGGTGACAAAGAGGAGCCTGGCCAAAGTTGGCCCTGGTGCCCCAAGTTTCTATAGACCAGGGGATATCAAGGGTCAGGGGGAAGGTTGAGACTGAGTGATGGTTTTATCTCTTCATCTGTCTCTTTATCTTGCAGGATTCTCAGTAAGTTAAGTCAGGAAATCAACAAGAACGAAGAGAGGAGGAGCATCTTCACACGCAAGTGAGTGCGGCTGGTGTAAGGAAACGCAAGATTTTTCAGTCCCGAGTTGAACCTTAAAAGGGAGGCACAGAACTGTTTTTGCCCTACTTTTTGATCTGCATTTGTCCCCTGAATCCCAGGGGTCTGGAAGATGGTGTCCAACGAGGGGAAGGGGTTCCCTCCCCTGCTCTGCATCCTGTCCCTGGGTCTGGGACATCAGGGGAACTTCCTCTACAGCATCAGACAGTCATGAGCTTCCAGTCATGCCACTGATGTGGCTTGGTGATTTCCAGAATTTTCAGGGTATCCTAGCCCCAGTTGCTGAGCAGCAAGGATACAAACCTCTCTTGAGCAGTGAGACATGCCCTCCACTGGGGACTCCCTCTCGCTGGACCAGGTTGAGGAAAGAGGGAGATCCCCTTAAATCGAGAAGACCATTAATGCAGTGCTATTTACCTTTGCAGACCCCAAGTCCCGCGGTTTCCTGAAGAGACAGGTAAAGCTCTCAGGGCTCAGAGGTGATTGCTTTAGGAGGTGATAGGTATTTCAGTTTTCTTGCCTTTCTGGTTCCTGGGGCTCCTTGAGTTCATTCAGGTGACCTTACTGACTTGTCTGTCAGCCAGTTCTTACCCAGAAAAGGGTTTGGGTCTAGATGGAGGGGAGGAGATCTTGCTCTGCAGGCCACCTGGCTTATGGCCCCTGTTCTGCTGGGACCATCTTCAGAGACACACTGAGGAGCTCTGGGAGCTCTGTAGAGGAAAACAGAGGGACCCCACCTCTGAGTGAGCACCTGAGCTTAGCTAGTCCCCCTGCATCTGAGTTTTTTTTTTTTTTTTTTTGAGACAGAGTCTCGCTCTGTCGCCCAGGCTGGAGTGCAGTGGCACGATCTCGGCTCACTGCAAGCTCTGCCTCCCGGGTTCACGCCATTCTCCTGCCTCAGCCTCCCGAGTAGCTGGGACTACAGGCACCCGCCACCATGCCCAGCTACTTTTTTTGTATTTTTAGTAGAGACGGGGTTTCACCATGTCAGCCAGGATGGTCTCGATCTCCTGACCTCATGATCTGCCCGCCTTGGCCTCCCAAAGTGCTAGGATTACAGTAAAGCAGCTTTTCAACTGTTCAGTTGCACATAGTGTTGCAATGCAGATTCCTGGGGCCCAGCCTGTCCCACTGAGTCAGAAGCTGTAGGCATAGGCCCCCAGGTATCTACAGGTCTTAAAGCACTTCCTAAGTCACTGTTACACACGAGAAAGGTTGAGAACCATCGCCACCCCCTGGTTCTCTGGTAGAATGAGCACCTTGGGCAGGGTCGCTGGAGCTGACAGTAAGTGGCTAAACCTGCAGGGGTGTGGGAGGTAGGTGGAGGCCAGGGAAGGGGCATTGGTGAGGGAAGGCATCAGATGGGGAAGCTGCTTTGACTTTCCCTCAAGTGGTGGCTTTTCTTCAGTGCTGATGGTGGTGTCATCTCCTTCCACAGAAAGCCACGAAGAGGACAATGGGGGCTGGTCGTCCTTTGTGAGTATGGTGTGGGCTGTTCTTGCACCTTTACAGCAGTGTCCAGGGCAGCTTTGTGATAAGGAGCCAGGATGGAGCCAAGTGAAGCGGGGCTCTAACATGATGCCAGCACACCCACCCAGGGCCCAGAAAAGGTGCTCTGCACAGGGCCAGACAGGAAATAGTTTTGGCTTTGGGAGCCATGCACTCTCTGTCTCAGCTACTCAACTCTGCTACTGGAGCACAAAAGCAGCCACAGACAATGAGCAAACAAACAGGCTTGGCTTTGCGCCCATAAACCTTCATTTGCAAACACAGAGGGTAGGCTGCACGTGGCCCTAGGCTGTACTTTGCTGACTGCACTTCACCCACTGTTACCAACCCCCACCCACTACCCCCCCGTCTCCAAAAATGGACACTCCTAGAAATCTACTCTCAAGTAGCTTTTCTCATGGACTTAAGTCCCCATCGGTGACACGGAGGGAAAAGAACTTCAGAACCAACTGTTGGCCCTGAAAAGACCTCAAAGAGGGTGCAATCCAGTTGATTTTTACATTGAAAGGTCACAGTTCCCCCTCTGAGAGTCTGACGGATTGTACAACCCCTCCCCAGGAACCTGTATACACAGTCACCACCCATGAAGCAGTCTCAGGCTAAGAACTCTATTATGGACCGTAGCCCAATCTGTTCATTTTACAGATGAGGCAACTGAGTCCACAGGAGAGCAGAACGTGACGTGCGTAGAACACAAAGTTAGTTAGAGGCAGACCTAGGACCCAGGTAACCAGACCCTCAGTCACGTGGGCCTTCTGGTAAGAGGCCACCTCTAGTGCCTTCAGAAGGCAGAAACAAACTGTCCCTTGACCTATTGGGATTCTGGTAAAAGAAAGTATTTAATTGGAAAAAAAACAAAAAAAAGATTTAGCTAAGTTTATGCTTTCTACCTGAAAATGAAGGAATTTGACAGATTTCTCTGGTACAAAGGGAAAATAGCCCAGAGTTTCCGCTGGAATGTTTCTGTTTACTCACAGAGGCAGAATCCTTGCCATGCAGCCTCTCTTGTGCTGTGCCTGAGGCTAGTCTTCGATCCTCTCTGTAAACTGAGGGCTTCCATTCACTAGTGGCTATAGAGCTTGGCAGCTCCGTTATGTGCCCAGCTCTTTGCAAGGGCATACTGGGAAATGAGTGGAGATAAAGGACCCAATCATAAGCATTTTACAGTATGGATACCCCATTTTAAAAAGGTAAACTGAGGCACAATGCAATTTTTTTTTTTTTTTAAGGAGTTTATTTGAGCAAACAGTGATTCATGAATCAGGCAGCACCAAACCAGAAGGAGGCTTTGCTGAAGAAGGATGAGGGACAAGCATTTATAAAGTGAATGTAGATGTAATACAAAGAAAATATTTGAACCGGGTGCGGTGGCTTACACTTGTAATCCCAACACTTTGGGAGGCCAAGGCGGGCAGATCACAAGATCAAGAGATCGAGACCATCCTGGTCAACATGGTGAAACCCCATCTCTACTAAAAAATACAAAAATTAGCTGGGCGTGGTGGTGCGTGCCTGTAGTCCCAGCTACTTGGGCGGCTGAGGCAGGAGAATTGCTTGAACCCGGGAGGTGGAGGTTGCAGTAAGCCGAGATTGCACCATTGCACTACTCCAGCCTGGTGACAGAGAGAGACTCCATCTCAAAAAAAAAAAAAAAAAAAAAAAAAAAAAAAGAAAATATTTGATGGGTTACAGTTATAACCGATCTCATTTAGTCTATCTTGCTGGAAAGCTCCTAGTTATATAATTATGAGTTGGCTGGCTACTTCTGATTGGTTGGGCTTAAGTTCTGTTTTTCTTTAATACAGGCATTTACAAGAAATAGCCCAAGTTAACTTTTGCTTATGCTGCAAATCAAGTAAGGTTTAGGTCACTGATGAGGCCCAACTGGTTTTGTCTGCTCAGGGATTCTTCAGGCCTGGTCTCCATTTTAATTTACTTTAACACACATATGGCAGAATATAATTAGCAACAACATCATGCATACAAATTTAGGAGCCAAATGATTGGGAGAAAATAATTGTTCTAGAAGCAGAGAGGAAAATTCTGTCATTTGAGAAAGGTTGATGGGGTAAAGAGCTGGTGTAAAGTCAGGAATGATGGGCCTAGGGTAGACAGGGTGAGGAAAGGGTCAGCAGCCTGGAGGGAGGCCACGTGCCTGCGGACCTCCATGCTGAGGCTCTTGATCTGAAGCAGCATTCCTCTGGGGCTCTGCCCACCTGCTCCTAAAGTTATAAGAACCCTGACAGGGCAGGACAAAGTCTTTTTTTGGAGTTGGGAAGGCACCCAATGCTCACTTTGCCCCTCTGTTGTTGATGTTTTTAATATTCCTCAAGTCAAAAACAAACACAGGACTCTCTCAACAGAACAACGTAAAGACAGTCTGCCTGAGGCCACCCAAAGCTGTCAGGATTTCTAGGACACTGGAACATTTCTTTCCTCAAAAAGTGGCCACTTCCCATTGCTTTTTCCCACACTGCCCTTGAGTGTTGAGGTCTGGGCTCATTGACTCACCCCCTGGACTTTGGCATGACCATGATGAGCGCTCATCACTGCTGCTGATGGTGCCGCCTTTGCTTGGGAGGTCATTCTGATGCTCATTCACCTTCATGGACTGCTTCAAAGGCAAGCATCCAGCACCTCGGGCTTACTTTCCCTGAGATCCAAGAAGAAGCAAAAATAAAATACAATAAAAAATCTAAAATTTAGAGATTCTTTCCAAGAGAACAGCTTCAAACTCAGTGTCAGATTTCATGAATAATGGATGTGTTGATACACTCAACTTTCAGCAAAAAGAACAGCACAGCCTCTGACGGTCCCCTCCTCGACACAACTTAATCTGCCTTCCACTTAACAGGCTTTGTTTATCTGTTTTTCCCCTTAGCCGGGCCTTCAACGCTGCACCAGGTTATAATGAGAGGACATTTTTTGAGCACAGGCACCCTTGAACAGAAATGGCAATTAACTAGTATCATCACAAATGCTCCAGGCCTTTAGTCTTTCTCATGGTGATGCCTGGAGCAAAAAATGTGTTTACTCAAGACAGAGCCTATTCCGGTACCTTCTATTCCAGCATCCTTCCCCTTTCTTCTCTCTCTGTTGTGCAGAAAGGTGTTGTGTAAAAAGGTGGTCCGAAGACCTTCACCAAGGTCTCAAGTCCATGACTTGCTGCCCCTGTGGTACAGTGCTCCCTGACCTCAGATTCCTCATCTGTAAAATGGGAGTAACCATCTTCAGGCTGCCTGGTCCCGGGTTATACTGTTGTGAGGCTTGGCAGGGAGAGAGTAGGCACAGGCACATCGAGGGCCACAGAGCCTCTACAAACTGCACTGTCCCTATCACTGTGTGGGCAGGAAGAAGACGATTATGAAAGTCCCAATGATGACCAGGATGGGGAGGATGATGGAGACTATGAGTCCCCCAATGAGGAGGAAGAGGCACCCGTGGAAGATGACGCGGATTATGAGCCGCCACCCTCCAATGACGAGGAAGCTCTGCAGAACTCCATCCTGCCTGCCAAGCCTTTCCCCAACTCCAACTCCATGTACATCGGTAAGGGCCCGTTTCCGGATTTTCTGGCCCGAGCAGCCCAAAGGCAAGCTCGCCACTGCTGCATGGAAGGCTGATGCCCCAGCTTGCCCATGTAGCAGAAAGCTCTGGGTCTCGATATCTGCTCGGCTTCTTAACAGCTATGTGGCTTTGTACAAGTAACTCTGTCTCTCTGGGCCTCAATTTCCTCATCTGTGAAATAGGATAATAAATGTACAGACCACATAGGTTTCCTGTGAGGACTACTAAGACTGCAACCAATTCTTGCCTATGGTGGCTGATATCAGCATTGAACTACCACCTAAGGCTATTTGGCAGTTTCAACTCATTCTGCAGTTTACTCAGGTACTCCAAGAGTACTTTCCTGTTCCTCCCCATCTTTTGACCAAATTATAGTTACATGGCATTATTATGCTAGAATAAACATGAAGATATTGAGTAGGGTTTGACTATAACTTTAAAAAATATTAGATGGTGTTTACGATTTTTATTGTCTATCTGTCCTTTTAGCCCACTTCTCTCTCCATTCATTCAACAAACATTGTTGATCTGCTGGGAGCCCAGGCCCCATTCTCAGTGCTTAGAAATGATCAGGAAAGAAGAAATAGCCCCTGCCTCCTGGGGCTTACATTCTAGTAGTGGTGTTGACAGAAAATAAACAAATATATTCTTAAATAATATACTTTCAGAGAGTACGCTGAAAATTGAAGGTCAGTACCACAAAAAACGAATACCATTTAATCCTTTATGCGGTATAACCCATTTCCATTTTAAAGCCCTTTCACAAAATGCTGTCTCAATATCTCATGGTGGTTTTTAAACATCTGTGTAATAAGGACAACCATGATCAAGTCTGTTTCATATACAGGGAAGTGGAGGTCCGGAAAAGCAATGGATGAGTCAGTTGTTGAGTGCCTTGTGTGTGCCAGTCATTAAGATACAGAGTGAATAAGACAGCCCTCGCCAAGGGACTGACAGTCTGGCAGGTGACGCACCCTCCAACAAATGAGCCATGAGGTTACTTGGTGAAACCGTGATACAGAGGCACGAAGACAAGCACAGATGAGGCTGGAGCGTTTGCCTGAGGGTGTATCTTTAAGCTGTGATATTAAACCAAGGTTAAAGGATAAATACAAGTTGGCCAAGTGGAAATGGATGTGGTAAGGGAAGAACATTTGGAGCAGTAGAAATGGCTGTGCAAAGGCCCTGAGGCTCAAAGGAGCATGGCCTATTAGAGAAGCTGAGAGATGGCCAGTGCGGGTGGAGCAGGGTGGAATTAGATCAGGCTGGGCCTTGCTCCTACCCTTTTCCCTGTGGAAGAGCTGCACCTCCCCAAGGCTGGGACTAGAGTCGGGCAAGAGAGGCACCCAGGGCACAAAGCGTAAGGAGGCCCTACCCACTCACCCCTCTTGCTTGATGGTCTTGTCCTGGCCTTTCCCTGTCAAAGGGGTAGGAAATTGCCAGCCTGTCAACCTGGCCTAGGGACACTTCCGTGGAGATGTGGATAATGTGAGTTTCTGCCCAGATAATGTGAGTTTCTGCTCGAGGCAAATCTAGCTTCCACTTAAGAGTCTGTGGTCTGGTAACAGAAGTTGGTGATCAGCTCCTCCCTTTATGGGAAGAGATGAGCAAAATGAGGAAGTGTCAGGGAGGAGATAGCCCAGGACACTGGAGAGGGGAAGGAAGGGCAGACAGAACAAGATCCCTATGGCAGTGAGAGCTGACTTCACCCTGCACAGGCAGCTGGGTGTGCCTGTGAGATTTTTGGCATGTGTGTGTGTCTGTGTGCACTCGTGTCTCTGTGTATGCAGGTGTGTGCATATATATGCATGTGTGTGCATGCATGTGTGCACATGTGTATATCTGTGTGTCTGCATACAGAGGTATGCGTATGTTTACTTCTTACAAAATTGTCTGAAAATCCTCCCTTCCAGTTCTGGCTGAGCTGGTTACAAAGAGGCCTTTCTTGATTGGCAAAATCTCTGATAAATACCTATTCCTGTGAAATGCAAAGAAAGCTGAGCCTGTGTATAAGGAGAGTGACACAAACTAGGACAGAAAAAATGGGCAGGGAGGGGTGGGTGAGATCCAGGCTGGGTCTCCCCGTGGCTGGGGCTCATGTGGGCCTGGGGGTCAAGGATCATGCACCCCCGGTGCCCCGAGCTGCATATCTGTTCCTGGAGACCCCTGAGCTTGGCCGATACTCCCCTTTCACTTTAATAACCTTGTGTTTCCACAGACCGGCCCCCCTCTGGGAAAACCCCCCAGCAGCCTCCTGTGCCCCCCCAGAGACCGATGGCCGCCCTCCCGCCCCCACCAGCCGGCCGGAATCACTCGGTAGGCCTCCTCCCGTTCTTTTACAGTACTTGGTGTCCACTGCAGTTATTTCCTCCGCCAGAGAGAAAAATAAAACTATAAACATCTTTATCTCATTCTAATTTTGTAAGAAAAGATTATAATCTTTTCCCTCGGCTGGGGAAAGGCAAACCCAAGCATTCACACGTGTTTCTTTTTTGGGGTAAAATACTGGTGGTTTTTATTTACTTCCCACTATTTGAGAGAAGTGAAAACTGTAAAATAAACCCAAAGAGAACCGAATTAAGTCCGTGGCACCTACTGGTGTTGCCTGGGTACCGAGCCTTCCTCTCTCCTGCAAAAAGACTTGCGCCACCTTCTGGCCGACACCTGAAATTCCAAGGACAGGAGCCTTCAGACCGGAGGAGACAGAGGTAGCAAACCCCGTTTTCTCCTTCTTCGAGCATACAGCCCGGTCCTTGTGAATCTGATAAGTTCCCAGAGTGACCCTGAGAAGCTCAGACTAAGGACTTGATAGTTAGGAATGTGTTCCCTTCACAAGTTTATCTACAGATGTATATTGCTTTTGAGATTTGAAGACCTTCTTTTGAGATGCAGGATTCACTTATTTAATCAGCAAATATTGTCTGAGCAGCTACTATGTGCCAAGCAGAGTTCTAGGCGTTGGGGATAAAGTGTGAACAAGATAAATAAGGTCCCTGCTTTCATAAAACTCAACTAGGGCTAGTTATCAGACGGTAGACAGATGTCTGAAAGAGATCATTTGAGTAGTTATGTGTGGTTCGGGGGACGGAAGACCAGGTAACATGACGGTATGGGGGGGGGAGGTGACAAGGACCTGGGACAGAATGAGCCAGTTGTGGGAAGAGCCGGGAGAAGAACGTTCTAGGCAGAAGGAAACAAGTGTAGGGATGCCAAAGAGGGCATAACCTTGAGATTTTCCAGGAACTGCAAGAAGATTCTATGGTAGGGACCCCATGAGTACTGAGAAGGGATCACAGGAAAGAGTTGAGAGGGCAGACATGGGCCAGCTCAGGCAGGGCCTCGCAGGACATTAACGAGTTTCAATTTTGTTTCTAATGTGATAGGAGGCTTAGCAGGAAAGTGACATGCTCACTCTGCTGCCTGCAGAAAAGAGCTTGCGTGGCAGAGTCTAGAACAGGGAGCTCAGATAGGAGGCTACTGCGGTAGTTCAGTGAAGAAATGGACATGGATGTTTGTAGGCAGAACATGAAGATGAGGAAAAGTGAGCAGATCCAGACAGGTTTTGGGAGTGCCGGCTCTTGCTGATGTATTGGAAGTGCTTCCTAACGTTTGGATCTTTATGCAGCCACTGCCCCCACCCCAGACCAACCACGAAGAACCCAGCAGAAGCAGAAACCACAAAACGGCAAAGCGTGAGTACAAGGGCTGCTCTCTCTTGCCCTGTTCCCACCAGGCACTCCCCTAGCCCCGCCCAACCCCCAGCCGACTGCTTTCTTCTTTTAATTGATGTCAGCCTTTTCCCCTTCCAGTCCCTGCTCCTTCAATAGACAGAAGCACGAAACCTCCCCTAGATCGTTCATTAGCTCCGTTTGATAGAGAACCCTTCACACTAGGTGGGTATGATTCACATTTAATGCATAGTAATAATGATAAGCTGTTATAAAGTGCTTCCTGCATACGTTTCACATGTACCATCTCATTTAACTATGGCCACAATACTAGGAAGTGGAGACTAGTAGAATCATCCTCATTTTACAGATAAGGAAACGGAGACACAAAGAGGTACCTTCCCAAGATCACACAGCTACCAAGTGTTGGGAGTAGCGACCAAAGCCCATATCAGCCTCATTAGAAAGCTCCTGCTTGCAGCTTCTGGGGGCTGTGCTGCTTCTCTATGTGATGTGGATGATCTGTGTATACAAATCCCATTGTCCTTCAGCCAAGAGGCTTTAGGGTACAGAGAGAGGACCTGAATTGAGACAAAAGGGTTGGGGGAGCTGTTGTCTGCTGCCTTGCCTGCTACTTAATAGCTCACAGACCACAGGGATGTTAGTTTTTCAGAGCTCAGTCTCCTAATCTGTAAGGTGGATGTTCTGTACATAGAAAATGCTTTATAAATCCCTAAGGTGCTATTCAAATGTCAGGGATGTTTTTGTTTTAGGTATGCAATTGACCAAACATTGGGTATACCACAGTGCTTTTTCTTCACAATTTACGCAGAATATTCTTGGATTGCAGTTACCTTCACGTGCAGCTATTTTCAATTCAATTCTTAGCTACCATTTATTGAGCAACTGCTATGGGGCAAGTGCTCTACCTACCACAAATACACCTACAGTATCTCTAATCCTCACAGCAACTCAACAAAGGAGGTGCATTTTTAACCTCACTTCTCAGATGATAAAATTAAGGGTCAAAGAAGTTGAATAATTTGCCTAAATTTGCCTAAATTCGAACACTTGTCTTTCTGACTTCTAAGTGGGGGCTCTTTTCCACCATATCAGGCTGCAGTTGAGGACCCTGGGTTTTAACTTGCTGTGAACTACATGAGTCTGAGGAAGGAACTCTGCAACTGAACGGAAAGGAGCCCAGAATCCCAGCTGCCCCCACCCCTTTCTTGGCTATGCTCTGAGCAAGGCATTTAGCTTTCTGTGGCCTCAATCCCTTTTTGTCTGTCAACAAAATGACTTTCAGTTCTTGGATATGAGGCTGCTGCTCGCTGCTCTTTCCCCGAACTACATCACAGCTCTGCTGTGTCATGCAAAGCTGTGCTGGCTGGTTTGGCTTGGAATTGTCTGCTGTAGAGAGCTGTATAATTACATGGAAATGAAGATAGATTTGACTTCAGATTCCAACCCTGCTCACTACCACGAGCCGAGACATCAGAAAAGTGGAACACTGACATCAAATCCTTCGCAATCACCTCCTGACACAAAAGTTATTCTTTTAAAATATTCTTTTTTTCTATATTTAAAAGCATTTTTAAATGACACACTTTTCTGACAATTTCTGTTTTACCCTTGAATTAGTCCGTTTTCTGTGATGTTTTGGAAGGATTACTGTCTTCTTAAAATGTTTACACCCCACCTGAGACTTTTAACATGCTCAGAGAATATGCAAAAATTGGCAAATTTTGCTGGGCATGGTGGCTCATGCCTGTAATCCCAGCACTTTGGGAGGCTGAGGCGGGCAGATCACAACGTCAGGAGATGGAGACCATCCTGGCTAACACGGTGAAACCCCGTCTCTATTAAAAATACAAAAAATTAACCAGGCATGGTGGTGGGCACCTGCAGTCCCAGCTACTCAAGAGGCTGAGGCAGGAGAATGGCGTGAACCTGGGAGGCAGAGCTTGCAGTGAGCTGAGATCATGCCACTGCACTCCAGCCTGGGCGACAGAGCGAGACTCTGTCTCAAAAAAAAAAAAAAAAAAAAAAAAAAAGGCAAATTTTGAAATACTTATTCAGGCCAAAGAATATAAATTTAAGTTTCCTGGGTGCCCCTCTAAAGTAGAGGTTCCACCCCAAACCAAACTTTTATAAGCATCTTTTATACCGTCAAAACTCTCCCCATTACCAGCAAGCTCCTTTTTATTTTTATTTTTTTATTTTTAGTTTTTTTTGAGTCAGGGTCTCACTCTGTCACCTAGGCTGGAGTGCAGTGACAGCATCATAGCTCGTTACGGCCTCAAACTCCTCGGGTCAAGCAATCCTTCTTCTCCAGCCTCCCAAGGGGCTGAGGTTACAGGTGCATGTCCCCATGCCTGGCTAATTTTTAAATATACTGTAGAGACTGGGATTTCCCTGTGTTCACCAGGCTGATCTTGAACTCCTGGCCTCAAGTGATTCTCCTGTCTTGGCCTCCCAGCAGGCATGAGCCACCACACTCAGTGTCAGTAAGCTCTTCACAGTGAGGCAATATTCTTATCATGGGCCTGGCATGTACTTGGTCCTTAAAGAATAAATCACGTTGTGAAAATACAACTCCAGGGAGATAATATCACCATTCGCCATAGGGCACTAACTGTGCCTGGGTGTGGAAGGAAGGGAAAGAAAGGCGAGTTAACTAACAATTGTCAGCCCACATGGACCATATCAAAGTCAAAATAAAAACGTAGAAGAAAATCTCTAAATTTGTTTTATTTAGGAAGAAAGAATTGCAATTTGGGGCAATTGGTCTTCAGGGTCTTCAGTATGTCTGAAGAACAAAAAGAAGATTGGAGGTTTTATAAAAAGGAGAAGTGTTACAATATCGCTCCTTGAGAAAGTTCATCGGTTCTGGGGGCTGGCAAGTTTTGATTGGTGAGCAATGGCAGAGGGCAAAATTAATCTTCGAGTTGCAGCAGATTATTTCAGCAACTACTAGATGAAACTGGTTTCAGGTTACAACAGCCAACCTCACATAGAATCACATTTCTGGAGCAATGTTATGTGTCCTGAGTGCTTTTCCCTCTGGCTTCTCGACTCTGTTTTCCTTGGAGGTGATAAAATTCCCAATTTGTATGACCAACTTTCACAATCAAGTGCCTGATCCTGCATGCAAATTGTCACCCAATTCTTATGGCAAACCTATAGAGTTTTAGTCTATAATCTTCATTTTGAGATGATAACATTGGGATTCAAAAACCTTAAATAACTTGTTCTTGGTCATGTGGGATTTGCTTCTAGACCTGGTTGAATTTTGTTAGTAATATTTTCATCACATTGAAGACAAAGGGCATATTTATTCTAGGGGACTTTAGATAGAATACAAATTAAATTACTTTGAATAACTTTGTGATGCACAATTATCAAGTACACCTGGCATTTCTTCAGGGAGCCTGAATATCATCCGTTCTAGAAGAAAAGCAAAACAAACAATACTAACTAAAAACAAGCAGACAAAAAAGATTTGCAGCATACCAGGAGAGTCTCCTGAAATGCTCTCCCCAAGTGAAAAGTTTCTTCAGAAACTAAGTGGAGTGCTTCATTTAATATCAAGTGTTTCACAGAATTGGATAAAAGTTACCCTCTCCGTGGCAAGTGGATTTATTTCAGATATAAAAATAAAACTTAGGCTGCAGAAGAAATACTTTGGCCAATTAAAGAGGCATAAAATCCCAAGGAAACATTAATCCTTTTGATCATCAGTTATATAAAAGAAAATGTGATTTTATTTAAAAAAAGCACAGAATCCACAACACTACTTGTATGTACACAAAGCTGTGTGACCTTCAAATTAAATGGTCAAGCCATTTAATTTCTCTGAGCTTATAAAATTTGGTGGTCTCTAACGGACCCTTCCTAGTCTGAAGTTTCTGATTCTTTAATGCTTAAACCCCATCAACCCCCAAGAGGGTTCAGACTCATAGTTTCATCAAACTGTGTTTTTAAACCTCATGCTTATGAAGTTCTGAACTCATGGCCCATCTGCTCTCTGTCATTTACAGGAAAGAAACCACCATTTTCTGACAAGGTAAGCTGTGAACTTGTTTTTTGGTTGTGTTTGTTTGTTTCACATCTTGTCCTTATTCTTTGAAAAGTGCTTGGACACTCATACATTTTTCCTCCTGTCTTGCAGCCCTCGATTCCAGCGGGAAGGTAAGACTGTTGCATCTACATGAGGGTACATGGGACGTTCTGTAGAACTCTGCCTCGGCAAAGTTTGTTTCTTACACATCCTTTTCCTGAACTCCACAGGTCACTCGGGGAGCATTTACCCAAGATTCAAAAGCCTCCTTTACCACCGACCACGGAAAGACATGAAAGGAGCAGCCCCCTGCCAGGGAAGAAGCCACCTGTGCCAAAGTAATTGTCTGGTGTTGCTTGAGCTTGTCACTCACAGTGGCCGGCAGACAGGCTGCCCTGTGCTGACTCTGCAGTGGGAACCGAGGCTCCTCGGTGCTCCCGGGCAGGGTGGGCCTTTTCTTGCTGTGGCTTGAGGGATGTTCAGGCTTCACAGGTTGGCTATGAAGGATCAGGGTCTCTTTGAAGGAAATGGACTCTACTGAGAAATGAGTAGAGTGACATCTAATCAAGAGTAAGGGGTGACTGCTGTTTTTAGAGATTCCAGTCAAATATTTCATTGAGTTTTCCAACCTCGTTATAGCAAAGCCTTCACAGTGCATAGGAACTGTACTCACCATTTTATTTTTCAATACAGGTAGCAGACAGGAAATGGTTGGGGGAGGTTTTTCAGGTCACCGCAAGTGTCTTCCTTACTGCTCAACCACATTTGATAATTGCAGAATACTGAGCTCTGCCTTAGTATTTTTAACTTTGCTGTGAAGTAGTTTTCAGCCTATTTACCAAATGGCGCGCATGTACCTGGGGTTAAGGCCAACCTTGCTACTTGCAAAGAATACAACCAAAGCTTCCATCTCATTTGTGAATCAGGGGTCATAACTATCACCCTTGCTTGGCTGTTGTGAGGATTAAATTAGGACCAGGGCTAAAGTGTGCCAAAAAACCTCCTCAGTAATGGAGTTTGATAACATTTTAGAGTAATGTTTTTAAAAAATCAAAATAAATGCAGCAAACTCATAAGGAACAAAATTCCAAAATTTTAAATAAACACAGAATGAGATGATGATGTGTGAAGCGTCTGACACACAGGAGGTGTTCAACAAATTGTCCAGCTCTTCCCCTTCTCCCCAGAGAGGACATTATACGGCCCAGGCAGTGCAGATGCCTGTCGCAGCCCTAAGGCAGCTGTCCCCAAGTCTGTTTGACTAGCTCATTCATCTGGGCAAAGTGTACCAAGCCCCCTTTGGAATAGTCCCAAAGCAGCAACATTTTCTAATTGTCTTCTCTTTACACCAAGGTGGGCCCTGAGAGGGCTGTTTTAAAGCAAGAGCAAGGGAGAATATTACCTAAAATGTTTTCATTTCTTGGGAAAAACAACAGCTCAGTAAAATTTAATAGCTACTAAAGAGTTAGTTTGCTGACTAAACCACATGTGTGTGTGTGTGTGTGTGTATATACATATAGTGTGTGTGTACATATACATATAGAGTGTGTATATATATATATATACACACACACACACACACATAATTATTTGCTGCATTAGTTATGCAGAACAAAGGTTTGCCTAGCTCAGCTTGCAATGATGGCAGAACATGGAGTAACCAGATCTCCCTTCCACCCCCTCTCCCCTGCTCTGTGGGGGTCTGTTGCTTCCCATCTTCCCTAGGCTCAGTGGGTTCGATTTCTCATTATTCAATGAAGCAAAACTGTATTCTAAGGCTGGCTCTTTGAAACTCTTCATGCTCAGTTCTTTTTATTTGCCCTAATTCATTTCAGGCATGGATGGGGACCAGACAGAAGAGAGAATGTAAGTACAAAATGTCAGTTTGTAAGTGCTTGATACAGGGAAAAGAAGCATAGGCTCTTAGGAGGTTGGGACTCCATCCACCTTGGCCTTGGCCCAGAACCTGGAGCAGGTCCTGCACCCAGGGGTCTCGTCTCTTAAGGGCTGGTGCCTCTGTCTTTGGGCCTTGGTCATTGTCTGGAGCCCATCATGCTGTGTTGTTTAGCTCATGTCCCTCTAAGAGCTCCCAGAGTGGCTGGCTTAATTGCAGCTCCATTACCAGGGGCCGGTAATTACAGGGCACAAGGAGAAAAAGAGGATAAAGTAAGGGAAGGCCAGAAGTTTGGACCATGCCTAAATTTCCAAGGCTACTGTTTTCCTTTTCAATACTTCCACAACCTGAAAAAGAGGGGAAATAGCATTTCTTGAATGCTTACCATATGCACATTGCCATGCCAGTTAAATATGACCAGTTGTCCCTGTTTGCGAGGGATGCTGTCAGTTTTAGCACTGAAAAGTCCCCTGTCCCAAGAACTATCTCCATCCTAGGAAAACCAGGATAGTTGAGTATTTCTCGCTTTACATATGAGTATAATGAACCCATAAGGAAACATCTTTTCTCTTTTACGGAGAGGAAATTGAGGCTCAGAAGGAATAAGATACTCTTTGCAAATTGCATGCTTATAAAGAGCCAGGATCTGAACCCAGATCTGCTGAGTTTCTCTACACCATAAGCCCTCTGAAGGCCATCAGACCCCTGCTGTCATTCAAGGGCTCAGCCCAAAAGCGCCTGCTATTTTTGCAGCTCTGTGCTAGATGCTGTGCTTGTTCCGATGAAGTGCTGAGATCTTATGGAGGCAGGCACACTCACAACCCCTCATGCCAGACAGCATGCAATCACGGGATGCTCTGTGGGGCTGAGGGAAGAAAGTGTGCCATGTGGCTCAAGGAGCCAGCAGTGACTTCCTAGAGGAGGTGAGATTTATGCTGGTCATTCAATGATAGGGAGGACACAGAATAGAGTCATTCTTAAAGAAAGCCCATGGGGATTCCCCTCAGGAGTGTCCTGAGCAGGTGGATACCAGTGCCCACGGAGGCTGCAGGGACAGTGAGAACAGTGGCTTGGCTGCAGAGATAGGAACAAGGCAGAGGTAAGGCTGGACAGTGAGGATAACATCACATTCCAGGTTCCCTGTCTCTGGAAGGATTGACACTTGTGCTCATGAGAATCTGGGAGTTGTGTTTTCTGGAACCAGAGGGAATATACTTGCAAAAGTATTGAAAAGTGATTTTGTTGTGTGGGGTTTATGAGCCCATGTGTGTTTATTTATGCAGCTCTTTGCTGGGACTCCCAGTTGGCCAACTGGGATGAATGATTTTGACTGTGGCCTTTTTCGCCTTCTCTCAGTGTGTGATAGGATTGATGATGGCAAACTTTTATTAAAGAGCACTTAACATAAGCCAGACACAAGTAGTAGCTAATTTAATCCTTCTAACAACACTTTGAGAAAGATGCTGTTTCATCATTACAGATCTGGCCTAACCAAACAAGTTCAAGCTGGCCCTTTTGGTCTACTAGTTGGTGGCAACATCATTTTTTCTCTTTGAACCTCATTTCTTATCTGAGTGGAAGAGAAAATAGCCCCTCCCTTGTCTAATTTCCCAAGGTTGCTCTGAAGATAAAAATGGTGAGGGTTGTAGATGAACCTTGTAAGCCACCGTATAAATATGGTCTTATTGATCTTAAGAAGAGTGGCCATTGCAAAAGAGAGCCAAAAAGAAGACTGAGCTTTGGTCAGACATATTTGGGGTTGAATCCATCTCTGCAACTCCTGGCAAGCTAAGGAAGCTTCCTCAGCATCATGCTTTTGTAAAATGAGGATGTTAAATTTTTGGGGGGTCACTAGGGGAACTGAATGAAATCTTGTGTATGAATCTTTTGGACACATTGTAGATATTGTCAATATTATTACATCTTTGGGCCCTTTTAGGCACCTCAGAATCTATTTCATGCTGAGTATATGAGGAGAGTCTCATACTGGAATGCCCTTAGATGACTGTTTGTATTAAGAAATTGTAAAACACTTAGCAACTTCTATTATTCTCCACAGTATATTTATTATGAAGATGTATAACTGCCAGAGAAAGAAACAGATACCTATTTGATTTATTTGATTGAGAAATGCAGTTTTTATTTTAAGAATTGTATTTTGATGATAGCTTAATATCTTTTTTTTTCTTCCCCTTCCCAGGATGAAGATGATGGTATGTTCGGAAACACATTCTTACAGCCTATAACTCATTCTTTCATTTTCCTGCTCAGGCATTCAAGTGGAATTGTTTAGTACAGGAACCCCATAGAATCAATTATAAGTCTTAAATTAGTATTAAGTAGACTTATGTCAATTGGCATACTGCATAACTATCGTAAAATGGATTACTTGGTTAGATTACCGAAGAAGACTAAATTCATGTGTAACAGTGCAGATTATTTAATTGTATCACAAAATGTAAAATTGCATGCATGGTTTGATGGAAACATTTCTCACATTTATGTCTTCTAACACACGTGGGTAAAGAATCAGTAACTGCCAATGAATGAGATAGCATAAAATTTTGACTTTCATAAAACAAAACTTGTAAATCATTTCTGAAATTTATAAGGTTTCCAGCTGACAATTTTCTGCCAAGTTAACATTTCAAAAATGAAAAACAAAATCAATGTGTATTTTAGAGTATCATCTAGATCTGCGCCCCTTTGTAAATGGATTCTATGGTGGTTAAGTCATCTAGAAACACCCTGGGAGCAAGGTTCCATCCTACTACTTCCTAATTACATCTGATCTGCTTTATTTTTGTGTCCTCTTTATACTAGCTGTTTCTAACTGGGGGGCGGTTATGGAATGTTTCTTAGTGACAGCTGGGGCCTGCCAATCTCATTCATTGTTTTCTACTTCTGCACAGTGCATCAGAGACCTTTGCCCCAGCCAGCACTACTTCCTATGAGCTCCAACACTTTCCCTTCAAGATCTACTAAGCCAAGTCCCATGAACCCTCTCCCATCCTCTCACATGCCTGGAGCATTCTCAGAAAGGTTTGTAGCTCTGTCATGAAATTCTAGCTTAATATAATGTTTAGGTCCATCCAGTACTGAAGTAATGCCAGGCAGATTGAGAAAGAAGGAAATGACGGGTAGATAGTAGGGTCTGAACATTTTGGGTCTTAAGACATAAAACCAAACTGAGCATTAAGAACGATATGTTAATCCACCAGTGTCCTCTGAGTCTCTGCTTGAGGTGAGAGGGGTGAGGAATTGACTTCCTCCTTGATCCCTCCAGATAGAATGGGCCTTTTGGTAGAAAACAAAGAATATTTTCACTTTATGAGTTCAAACAAACAACAATAATTAAGAAACCCAGTTAGTCTAAGTACTTGAAGTTCATCTGCATCTTAGTTGGGGAGACTGAGAAAATGCGCCTCGTGCTTGGCTGATGCTAGGAATTCATTGCAGTCTCTGTCCCCCTGTTTTCTCAGTAGCAGCTGTGTTTCTCAGGGCTGGTATGAGGCCGCCCAGGGGCAGATGCATGAACAGGAGAAAGGCCCAGTCATTGTCCCCAAACAAGCCCACGGGCAGCCTGTGGTGTCCCCCAAGTCCTCCAGCCCTGTAGGCTTACCTTCTCCCTTAATATTCAAGGAGAGAAGCCAAGATCCTTCCCTAATATTGTAGAAAACTCAACCACCCACAAGACTCATCTACCCCCACCAACTCCTAGCAGGATTCTCACAATGTTTCCTCTGCCCTGGGACCCTCTGGCCCTGAGTTTCTGCTGCTCTTCTCCCTCTTCCCGCTGGCATCTGCTGCCCTTGTCTGCTGACCCTCCTGCTGCTTTCCTCCATGCTAGCCCCAACCCCATCCTTCATTTGCACAAAATCCCACTCACACAAGGTTGCTGTGCAGAGCAGACTTTTCCCAAAGGTTTAGACTGATGGGTGCAGGAGTTGCTGCTCAGTGTGGAGGGAACAGACTGCATTTCAGGGCCCTCTGGGCCCGCCTCCCCACCCCAGCCCTGCAAATGCTATCACCGTCTGCTGCAGAGCCCACCTAACATGCACTTCCCTTCTCACCTGGCTTACTCTCTCCTTGCAGACCCTAAGCCCTGGGGATTCACTGCTCACCAAAGACAAGCCCATTAATATAAT
This sequence comes from Homo sapiens, assembly GCF_000001405.40. Taxonomy (NCBI): domain Eukaryota; kingdom Metazoa; phylum Chordata; class Mammalia; order Primates; family Hominidae; genus Homo; species Homo sapiens. The sequence continues at coordinate 170,256,930 of NC_000005.10, read as the reverse complement.
TTCCTAGCAAAAGGGAAGTCTTCTGAGAAGAGGACTTCTGTATTCTCCCAACTCAAAGAGCTCAAGTTGCAGCCAATTTTTAAAGTAACTGTTAAGTGCCCTTTACACAGTTGAATGTTGTTGCTGTTCTGCTTTATAAAGCTTGTTAGACTTTGGCATGGTCCACAGCGGAATGTAGTTCCATTCCCTGTGTGCTGTGTTCTGTCCCTGTGCCCAGCCCCCATGGTTTTGGGGGCAGCAGGGAAAGTGATACCAAATCAAGAAGCATTTGCAGCCTGGCTTCCCTAACCCAGCTCCCCTGTCTGGCCCCATCACCCCAATCCAAATAAATTTTGTTCTTTTTCTGTCTCCTCAGTAACAGCAGTTTTCCACAGAGTGCCTCCCTGCCACCATACTTCTCTCAAGGTTTGTACTCTGGGCTTTTGTGACGTGCTTCAGCCATCAAGCCTTTATGACTGGATCCCTAACCTGTCCCAAAAGCTTTCGACAAAGGTTTTATTGTTTCCTAAAAGCATCTGATTTCCTCATTCAACATTTAATTCCGTGTCTGCAGTGTGCCAAGGGCTGTCGGAATGATAGGATAGTACCTAAAACACAACACATACACACACACGTATACATATACATGCCCATACACACATGCACATATACATGCACACACACACATGCATACACATGTACACATATATACATGTGCACACAGGTATACACATATATACACATACACAATACATGCACACACATGCACATGCATACACACATACATACATGGACACACCTACACACACTTCACCAGGAAGCCAGCCCTCATCCCCAATCTTCCTGTGCAGAACTATTCCTCCAGCTCCGGTTTCCCTACGGAATCCTCAGAATCCTGTTTGCCTTTCTCTGCAGTTTTAGATTTCCATGATCAATCTGTCCATGGTTGTGAGTTGGGGAGCATGTTCAAAATACAAACTAAGAGAACTTAACGTCACAGATTCTGATTCAGTAAGTCCGGAGTGAAGTCAGGGACCTGTGTTTTTAATAATACCACCTCTGGACGTCCATGATTAGTATTCGCTTAGAGTGTTCTGCAACTTGAAAGTGCATATAGATCACCTGGGAATTGTGTTAACATGCAGATTCTAATTCAGGAGGTCTGGGGTGAGGCCTGAGTTTCTGAATTTCTAACATATTCCATGCGATGCTGTGACTGCTGGTTCATGAACCACTTTGAAAGGCACTGGGGCAGGACTAATTTGTGCTTTTTATCCTTAAAGACTTGCAAGTGACAGGCACTTGGTAGGCACTTTAAAAATGCTTGTCGAATGAGCATCAAATGACTAGGGAAAGTTACCCAACTCTAGTAAGTAGCATTCCAGGAAACTGGCTTAGCATTGCCAGATTTTCCAATTTTTTTCTCAAGAAAAGTGAAATTATTTAATTTTTAAATGTTGACTTAAATTTTTAAAAAATGCTGTGAAGAATGACAACAGAAAAGCCACTTTTTTTGCAGTCATGTTCCACATGCAGTGTGTGCACGGGCCAGTGTGTGTTCAGTAGAAAACTATGTTAGTAAATGTGAGTTGATAGCCTGAGAATCAACATTTTTTCCAAGAACACATCTAGGGTATTCAGTTGGATGCATCATTCCATAGAGGGGCGAGATCCCACTGCTGACGCCAGTGGCACCCACTAAGTTTTCAATGTTTTCTAAGCATTTGAGGTTATGGTGGTGTCCACGTTCACCACATGGTTTTCACAGTTTCTCGCCCAACCCCTAATTTTCCACAATCCCCAAAATTCTCTGTGTTTTGCAAACACACATTTGTGTTACCTCCTTGCCTCTGTAGCCATCTGAGTCCCAGACACATCACAGCATTATTTTCCAAAGCAAGTTCCACAGATCTCCAGTTTTATGAGTCTGTGATGGGGCTTATTAATGCAAATAGTTAATTATTTTTGGAACATTAGCTTGATCCAAATTGATCTCTTTTCCCCTAAGACTGCCAGGACACCTGGTCCTCGGTCTTCTCTACTGGTTCTACTGGTTGTTCCAACATCAGAAGGATAAAGTTTGTGCTGTGCATTGCCCAAAAACCTGTCATGACTCCCTTGAGAGTCTAGATATTAAGGGTGGTAGGTGACTGCAATAAAAAAGTGTATGTGCTTCTCTGTTGTAACTTAGAACTCTATGATGCTGGCCTGCAGGTGCAGAGGCAGAAAGAGAATCATTTCTTAACTGTAGAATGGCCATGCAATGCGGGCCTTGGTTCTGTTACTCTCCTGTATTGTTAGGTTTCATTCATTCAACAAGCATTATAAAAGTGCAAGTGTTGGACTGCAAAAAAAATGGGGATGGGGAAGATCTGTCTAGGCACTGGGAACTTGGAGAAGGAAGGCACTGGCAGCTCAGGGCCAGCTTGTTTAGAAACAGGGAAGGAGCATCTTAAACAATCCTGTTGATGTGGCTCAGGAGACTTGTTTAAAAACAGGGAAGGACCATCATAAATAATCTTGATGATGCGGCTCAGGAGGCTTTAGCCCTTACAGGTGACTCTCCTCTCCTCAGTGGTGTAACAAGGTAGACGTAGTGACAATCCGTGGTGTAGAACCACCGGAAGTACTTGCTAACATGCAGATTTCTGAGCCCCAGGTGCTCGCAAGTCGCCCAGGGATTCTGACTCATGCACAGTAGCATTTGGTAACCACAGGTTTAAGTTTTGGCTTTGCCACTGATAGCGCATGATTTGCTTAGCCTCTGAGCCTGTATTTCCCCATATGCAAAATGAAGACAATACCTACCTTGTAATGTTGCTGTGAGGATTAAAAAAAATGTACACACGATACCTTACTCAAGATCTGGACAGAGTTGTGCTGAATAAATATTTGTTGAAGGTATGAATGAATGATGGTTAAATAATTAAGAGAACATTTGACTCACAGAATTTTTCTGTTTTTAACCACAGCCTGGCACATAGAAAATACCCTGGGCAACTGCAATAAACACAACTAAACCTTTCCTGAGATTAGGAAACATTCTCCTAAAGTTTCAAGGAACTGTAAATGAGAAAAAAGAGTTTTAGAGAAGATGAGGCACAAGCACTGGGTAATTAATAGTTGCCCAGTAAAAACTTCCTGATCTGTAGTGCCTTCTATGTGAGTTGAACAGTCTACCTGTTTAGTTAGAACAGCGGGTAGCCAACTTTGATTCTAAAAGCTAGCAATATTCTCAAGGTAATTTTGTCTTCTCTTGGGTCACTTACATTTCTTTTTGTGGAAACATTAAGAACATAATTATCTTCATCATTGCATTGTCCCTACATCAGCTGTTGGGAATCCATTCTGCCTATGATGATATTATAAGAATCTATGAAAAATTTGTCTCTTGAGCATTCATTTTGACGTTCACATTCATTAAAACAATTGCGAATTTTTTTATAAAGGGATCTAGTCACTTTATATTATGTAACATGCACATTTAGAAAAATCACTCAAAGTTGAGGTTCTCTTCTCAAAGTTTTACTGGCATGATTACAGAATAATGCCTGAGCAGCCCCCATGGTTTCAAACAGATGAAAATTATTTTTGAAGCCCTTGTTTCTTAAAATGCGAACTATAGGACCAATCGCAAGGGTATTTTTTTGGGGGAGTGGGGGGAATGTGTTTTGTGTTTTGATAGCAGCAAACAATAGCTTACAGTAAATTAACTGTCAGAATTCTATACTTTTGAAGGCCCTAGCAACAGACCACCTATCAGAGCCGAAGGCAGAAACTTCCCCTTGCCACTTCCAAACAAACCTCGGCCCCCATCCCCCGCGGAGGAAGAGGTAAGAGAGCATGTTTTTATTTTTGTTTGTTTGCCTTTTCCCTGGTAAAAGAATCACCAGAAACTCCCATTGAATGTTCTTCTGTACTTTTATCTTCCCTTTGTTTTATTTTATTTATTTGAAAAAAAAGTTAAAGGAGAAGATCCAGATGAACAATATGTTCTTTTCCCTTGGCGTTCTTTCAGACGCTTTCAATGGCAAACATGTGTTTTGCATTAAACAGCAAGAAAAATAATCCTGTTTTTTATGTTTATGACCTTGATTCGTCACTTAACTGCTCAATAACCCATTTTTTTAATCAAGCAGGTTATTATGCTAAACTGAAGAAATTATTGTATCTGTATCTTTCCTGAAGAGGTTCCATACTGTAAGGAACTCTTATTCACAGGCATTTTTGCAACCAGTGTCATGATAAAAAGCAGTTCGCACAAAATATCTTCTATTTAGCCCCAGCTAAATGACTCTGAATGCAAATTAAGAAAACAAATGTTTCAGACCTCCTGGAATTGAGGTGTTGATTTATGGAAATGATTACTCAGAGGCTTTTCTTTTCACTTACATCTGTAACTGTAAAATTTATTCAGTTTCTAAAAATTTACATTTTCAGAATTCATTAAATGAAGAGTGGTACGTTTCTTATATTACCCGACCAGAGGCAGAAGCTGCTCTTAGAAAGATAAACCAGGTATTGTGCTATAGTTTATTTTAACATAGTTGTAAATATTAATGGCAGAGAAGGGAACTGACCTGTCCTGAGTACCAATTACAGGCTAGGAATTCTGCTAGGTGCTGTTGCTTTCTGTAATACCTAGGAGACCCATTAGTGCCAGCTTCACAACTACCAGCACCCATAGCAGGGATTCCTAGGCTCGGGAATCATTAGGCTGGCAGAAGAATCTCAAGGCAGTCATTTGGTTGGCAGCATCTTAGGAGATTTTATTAATGAAAGAGTCTGTCTTGTCATAGGAATCACATGGTGTCAGAAGGAGACTCTCTTTCAAAGTTCCAACATCGTACCAGTTCTATCTTCCTCTTAACACAGACGTGCCATCCATGTTGATGTGAAAGGACCAATATTAAAGAGATGGCAGCAACTTTTTGCTTTTTGCCCTAGACGTTTCTAGCTAGTCCTTTAATATCATAAAGTCTTAAACATATTTCCCGTAGCCAGTGCCGAAACTTTACCTTAGATTTATTTATCAGAAATGGGAAAGCAAAAATCTTTCATCTTTCACACTTAAACTCCACACCAGTAGTTCTCAGTAGTAGTTGCACATTTAGATCACCCGGAGAACTTTTGAAAAATCCCGATTCCTGGGTCTCACCTTGAGATTCTAATTATTCTGGGGGTGCTGTGTCAGCTCTGGGAGTCTTCAAACTTCCCAGGTAATTCTAATTTGAAGCCAAGACTGTGAATCACTGGTCCAGAAGTATGTTTGTTTAGCAGAGATGTTCTGACAGGCTCAATTAACTTGCAATAAAAGGAACAAAGGAAAGTCATTATTGCCAACTCATGGCTATTTAAAGCTATCCTGATTTGGTATGAGGAGAAGGGAGTAGTTTAAAGGAGTCCTTACCAATTAATTCTATTTTAATATTAGATCTTTACAGTATTAATATTATGTAGCAATAATTTATTGAATGGAAATTTAAAGTACAGGACAATCAAAACAGTAGTTTAGCAAATATCAGAAAAAAGAAAAGAAAAGAGAACATCTGCATTCAATTTTGCTCAAGGGTCTGATGAAGGAAAGACTATCTAGAGATCACAGGGTTTTAAGAAGGGTGAATTTCATGGCATGTGGATGTTTTCTGACTTTGGATGTGGAAAAGAAAGTTTAGGGAATTAACTCACAGGAATACTAGGAAGATATATCTTGAGTTAACCAATAAAGTATTTTATTTCTCCTGGCCTTTTATCCACTCAACCACCCATTATTTATTACTGAACAAAAGATTCCGTTTTTATCAGGAGGCTTTAACGAGATTGACTTGGAAATTTCTTTGATACAATCTCTGTTGCCTTTCTTAATAACAAAATAACTCATGACACATGGGATATGTAGCTGTTTGGAGAACTGAATGTTCGTTGAATGACAGGTTTTGCACTCAAGAAGCTGCAAAGTGCAACTGACATGTTTGTCAGATCCCTAGAGGCTTGTCTACTACTCTTACAAGCAACAAAAATATTGACTTTTACTGCTCCCATAATAACAGGAATTTGTCTTTTTAGGATGGCACATTTCTGGTCAGAGACAGCTCTAAAAAAACAACAACCAATCCATATGTCCTCATGGTGTTGTACAAAGATAAAGTTTACAACATCCAGATCCGTTATCAGAAGGAAAGTCAAGTTTACTTGTTGGGAACTGGACTCCGAGGGAAAGAGGTAAGGATTTCAAATTTCGACATTTTCCCAAAGTCTTTATTTATGCCACTCTGCATGCCTTCATGGAGCGATCTTTGAGAGTCCGTGCTGTATGGCAAATTTAGGATTAAATCACATGAGTGAAGCCCTTCATTTATTGGAAGAGAAATAAAGCAAAATCTTTACAATGGTTACTTCTGCCATAGGATTCTTTCTTGTATATCTTTTCTTTCAAATAATCACATGTATAATTTTCAAAATCAAGAAAAACTATGTTAACTTAAAAAAATCTATTTAGATGGTGTCAAAGGAAAGTTCCCACTATTATTCACCTCTGTGGCATAATTTTAACGTAGGCTGCATTTTAAGTTGACACCACCTGGAAAAGGGGAAAAATTAGAATATTTGCTGGGGTGATTATTCAAATACTTGGCTCATTTCTTAACAAAATGGAGGTTTGGCTCTGTGAGGATGGCCAGATCGCCAAAGAAATTCTCTGTTAGGCCAAGGTTTAGATTCTCATGCCAGTCACTTTTTGAGTGCTAATCAGAACGGATGGAAAGAAACCCTCAGGGCTAGTTTTTCGCAAAGGAAACTAACAACTGAAGGTAACGCCCCAAACATACTCTAAGTTCAAAGTTCCAAGAGGAGGACCAGCTGAATCAAACATGTCCAGAATGAGAAACAGCTTACCCATAACTTCTGCTTCACATACTTCTGTTATGATAATGTTAATGAATAGAAAAAAAATGCATGCTTGTGATCAAATGTTTGAATCGCTGGTTGGCAGTGGATAGAGCTGCACAGACCCTATAGGAGCAGAGGTATTTGCCCTTCAAGATTTATCTTGGTCCAGTGTGGAAACACACAAGTGCAGACCAACCACTCATTGCAGCTCCCATGGAGGGAGGCACCTAGCAGATTAGTCTTAAAGGAAGTGCATTATCCTGTTAGGGTTCCTAGGTGAGTTGTGACCCACATCTAGAAAAATGAGTTAGGCTTTTCCCTCTCTAGCAAGCAATCAAGGCTGGGGCGATCCAGGCTATGGCTGCAAATATTGGTTGCTGAGCCTTTATGAGTGTGAAGGTGGCAGTGAGGACACAGCAGAGAGATCATGAAGGAACTCCTGTGCCATGCTGCAGATCCCACCTCTAGACACCATGAACCGTGTCTGACCTCCTGAGTCCTTATGTTTCCTAACACTATTAATGACTGGGGGTGAAATAGAGATGCAGAAACCAAAACCAAAACCAAAAACAGAGCAACCCGAGGCAAGAATATTGTAATAGTGACTATTTAAATGACCCCTTCATATGAAGTTAAAAATATATGCATTTCAAATTACATATATATATATATAGATATGTAGATATATATATATATATATACACACGCATGCACATATTTTATCTATTTTTTTTTGAGATGGAGTTTCCTTCTTGTTACCCAGGCTGGAGTGCGGCAATGGCGCAATCTCGGCTCACTGCAACCTCTGCCTCCCAGGTTCAAGCAATTCTCCTGCCTCAGCCTCCCAAGCAGCTGGGATTACAGGCGCACACCAGCACGCCCAGCTAATATTTTTCTATTTTCTAGTAGAGACAGGGTTTCACCATGTTGGTCAAGCTGGTCTCAAACTCCTGACCTCAGGTGATCCACCGGCCTTAGCCTCCCAAAGTGCTGGGATTACAGGGGTGAATTACTGCACCCGGCCCATATTTTATCTTTATCTATGGTTTGTTGGATGTTTATGAGGAATTTTTTCAAAGTTCTATAGCAGAAATCATTAAACTAATTGCCACATTTACATTTTTTCCCCCCACAATCCTCATCACTTGAAGAGGCAGCATATATTATGCAGATAAAAAAACTGAAAGTGAAGTTCCTGCTTTTCATTCCAATGTTGACTCATCTCCCTATCTTGACTCTTTCAGGACTTTCTGTCTGTGTCAGATATTATTGACTACTTCAGGAAAATGCCACTTCTGCTCATTGATGGGAAAAACCGAGGTTCCAGATACCAGTGCACATTAACGCATGCTGCAGGGTACCCATAGCAAGTTATAGCCGAGCAAATGAACCGTCCTCCTGCCTCTGTTGCCAACACGAGATCAATCAGCCTTGGTCAATGGACAAACACTTAGGACTGAACTGAACCCCTCCCCATGAACACAAGGGTTTTATCCTTTCCTTTAAAAACAGTGTTTGAAATGAAGACTGTCAACTATCCCATAATTTATTTATTCTTCTTCAATGTTTGTAAAGTGCATGAGTCATGTTCACACTTGAAGTCTAGTAGTGCACTGTAATAATTCATTTTTTAAAAGATTATTTAATGCCCATTTCAAAATACAGTAGTTTACACAGCTACAGAAACAATTTGGGGCAAGTTTTAAAACACTGAAACAGTAATAGTTATTGGTGTCACATAAAACTGATTTGTTTTTTACAGCCAAACCTCTGTCAGTCAGAGGCATTCATTAGTTTTATACATGTAATTTGAAAATCACTAAACCTCGTTTTCTCAGCAGCAATAATTTAAGAGGCTTCAAAAATATAATTTCACTCTTATTTAGTATTTTTTCCTGGGGGCATTTTTACGTAATTTTTTTATGAAAAGACAAATGCATGTTGAGATAACTTCTGGGATTAAAATAGTCTTTTGCTTTACTTTTTTGGTTTCCTAAAACAACTTTATTGACTTTTAGTCCATACTGTTATATTTTTGTCTTAAAGAAAATTTAAACTACAAATACCAAAAGAAAACATTTTAAATTTAGGGATGAGACTTTGGTGTATCGTGGGTCTAGGTTTAATGAACACATCTGGGGTTAAGTTGGCATTTCTTCACATCTCCACACCCACACCAACCATCACAGCCCCCCACCAACCTTCTCCCAACCCCAAAAGCATTGTCCAGGGATATAGATTTTACCAAAGGCTTCCTGGGAAGACGAGGGAGCAACACTTTAGATTAAATGTGATCAGACTTTCCTATTAGATATGGCTCTTCTGTCTCTTGTTATCCCCCTGACAGCTCTGCCATAAAGTCCCTTCTCCTCATCCTTCCCAAACAGGCTGTATAAGTGCTTTGAGGTAATTAAACTCTTTCCTCCAGTTTACAAATATCACTTAACAAAAAATATAGGCATTCAGCCAGATTAAAAAACTGGTATTCAGCCAAATAGTGACAATCAGTTGTTCTTCAAGTTTTTCCCTTTGGGACCTTGGTTGTTATTGCACAACTTTTATTAGCAACAATTTTTGGCGTCTCTGCTTAATCTACAAGTTTTCGAAATGGAAAAGAGTATCTTGCAGCTTCATTTTCATGAGCTAATAAAAGGGGTATTGGAAGGAATCTAAGAAGTCACCATTTTAAAACTGATGATATGTTAAAATAAGGAGTATGCAGAAGGTAGAGACTTTTAACTGATGATAAAAATGGTGTTTCACAAAATCTCATCCTTAACAACCAGAAGTTCTCAGTTTAGGGTCCAAAACTTGGGAGTTTAAGGCTGAAAACCCTGCATTCATTTACACGTCTACACAACGGGCTATTCAGCAAGTATTTACTTAGTGGCTCTTCTGTGTTAAACAAGTGAGCTAGGTACAAGGTAGTAAGGATAGCATACACCATAGGTTCTAGTATCGAGTAAGCTCCACTTGTCTTGCTTTGCCGTATTCTATCTTTACAATTCAAAAATATCTAAAATGAAGGACCTGATAGATTTCAAAGCAACTATTTGGTAGCGAATCATGTTTATAAAACAAACCAAAGCTCATTTTAAGTCTATTAGTGGAAAGTGCCATCAGGATTAAGATGTTCTGTTCCATGGCTATGACTGAAATCAATGTTGGGAAGCTAATGTTTTCATGACTAGCATTCTCTCTCTGTTCAAGCACCGACAACTCCTTTTGGCTGGGCCTTGCCTCTTTTGGCCACAGACCTTCTATATGACCCCAGGTGCATCAGTCACAGTTGCTCAGAACCCTGCTCAGTGATAAACATCTTACTAAAGCTGGGTCAATCAGGGTCACTCTCTGGAATGTTAAACATGAAGCCTGAGACAAGATCTCTCTTTTATCTGGGGTCCCCAAAGGCAATGCTGTACACTTGGAGCTGCCTGCTGCCCTGCAACTACTCCCATTTACCAATTATCTGGAAGAACCAGTCTACAATAGAAGACAACGAGGCCAACACACAAAAACACAGTAAAAGTATGGACAAATTAGTGGGATCCCTGAAATCTATTCCAACTATGTGCTTCCAAGTCACATGACTCAATAAATGCTTCAGCTGGTTGAGTTGTGCTTGGCGTTCACTACCAGGAGAGTTCTGATTAATAAAAACTCATTCCATCAATTAATAATTTAGTAGCTCTCTTTCAACCTGAGCCAAATTCAAGCATAAGCTAAAGGATAAGCAGTGACCCATGGCCAATTTCCTATGTCATACACTTGCCATTAGTGACGTAAGTTAAGCCATTCTTCAAAACATTAAACAGCCTTCAAGAACATGAACTGCTTGTTTACATTATTTTTATTTTGTTTTAAATTATATATATACAAATTAGTAAACTCAACTCTCCCAAATATTTGTTAGTTCAACAATAAAACAGAAACTCATAACAAATAAGAAATCAGATAGAAAAACTGTTAGAAACAAGGGATACATCTGATATTTTAGACTCTTCAAAGAGGGGGTTGTTTCTTTCTGCTTCTGCTAAGTTCTCAGTCTTGATGGGATGATTAAAATGTAGGATAAGGTCACAAAGCAATAACTGGGAGAGCTCTGTGCAAAACAAAACAGGAGATATTATATTGTAGCACATATGTCATAAAAAACTATTATTGCTTTAAGTAGCTATTTCTTCCTAATTCCTAATTTCCAAGTGATTAGTGATCAAACCACAACTTAAGTGTGTCCCATTCTGACTTAAAATAAGATTTATGCTCTCGAGGAGCCAAGATGGCTGAATAGGAACAGCTCCGGTCTACAGCTCCCAGCGTGAGCGACGCAGAAGACAGGTGATTTCTGCATTTCCATCTGAGGTACCGGGTTCATCTCACTAGGGAGTGCCAGACAGTGGGCGCAGGTCAGTGGGTGCGCGCACGGTGTGCGAGCCGAAGCAGGGCGAGGCATTGCCTCACTTGGGAAGTGCAAGGGGTCAGGGAGTTCCCTTTCCGAGTCAAAGAAAGGGGTGACGGACGCACCTGGAAAATCGGGTCACTCCCACCTGAATATTGCGCTTTTCAGACCGGCTTAAAAAACGGCGCACCACGAGATTATATCCCGCACCTGGCTTGGAAGGTCCTACGCCCACGGAGTCTCGCTGATTGCTAGCACAGCAGTCTGAGATCAAACTGCAAGGCAGCAGCGAGGCTGGGGGAGGGGCGCCCACCATTGCCCAGGCTTGATTAGGTAAACAAAGCAGCTGGGAAGCTCGAACTGGGTGGAGCCCACCACAGCTCAAAGAGGCCTGCCTGCCTCTGTAGGCTCCACCTCTGGGGGCAGGGCACAGACAAACAAAAAGACAGCAGTAACCTCTGCAGACTTAAATGTCCCTGTCTGACAGCTTTGAAGAGAGCAGTGGTTCTCCCAGCACGCAGCTGGAGATCTGAGAACGGGCAGACTGCCTCCTCAAGTGGGTCCCTGACCCCTGACCCGGCTAACTGGGAGGCACCCCCCAGCAGGGGCACACTGACACCTCACACGGCAGGGTATTCTAACAGACCTGCAGCTGAGGGTCCTGTGTGTCAGAAGGAAAACTAACAAACAGAAAGGACATCCACACCAAAAACCCATCTGTACATCACCATCATCAAAGACCAAAAGTAGATAAAACCACAAAGATGGGGAAAAAACAGAACAGAAAAACTGGAAACTCTAAAACGCAGAGCGCCTCTCCTCCTCCAAAGGAACACAGTTCCTCACCAGCAACAGAACAAAGCTGGATGGAGAATGACTTTGACGAGCTGAGAGAAGAAGGCTTCAGACGATCAAATTACTCTGAGCTAACGGGAGGACATTCAAACCAAAGGCAAAGAAGTTGAAAACTTTGAAAAAAATTTAGAAGAATGTATAACTAGAATAACCAATACAGAGAAGTGCTTAAAGGAGCTGATGGAGCTGAAAACCAAGGCTCGAGAACTACGTGAAGAATGCAGAAGTCTCAGGAGCCGATGAGATCAACTGGAAGAAAGGGTATCAGCAATGGCAGATGAAATGAATGAAATGAAGCGAGAAGGGAAGTTTAGAGAAAAAAGAATAAAAAGAAATGAGCAAAGCCTCCAAGAAATATGGGACTATGTGAAAAGACCAAATCTACGTCTGATTGGTGTACCTGAAAGTGATGGGGAGAATGGAACCAAGTTGGAAAACACTCTGCAGGATACTATCCAGGAGAACTTCCCCAATCTAGCAAGGCAGGCCAATGTTCAGATTCAGGAAATACAGAGAACGCCACAAAGATACTCCTCGAGAAGAGCAACTCCAAGACACATAATTGTCAGATTCACCAAAGTTGAAATGAAGGAAAAAATGTTAAGGGCAGCCAGAGAGAAAGGTCGGGTTACCCTCAAAGGGAAGCCCATCAGACTAACAGCGGATCTCTTGGCAGAAACCCTACAAGCCAGAAGAGAGTGGGGGCCAATATTCAACATTCTTAAAGAAAAGGATCTTCAACCCAGAATTTCATATCCAGCCAAACTAAGCTTCATAAGTGAAGGAGAAATAAAATACTTTACAGACAAGCAAATGCTGAGAGATTTTGTCACCACCAGGCCTGCCCTAAAAGAGCTCCTGAAGGAAGTGCTAAACATGGAAAGGAACAACTGGTACCAGCCGCTGCAAAATCATGCCAAAATGTAAAGACCATCGAGACTAGGAAGAAACTGCATCAACTAATGAGCAAAATCACCAGCTAACATCATAATGACAGGATCAAATTCACACATAACAATATTAACTTTAAATGTAAATGGACTAAATGCTCCAATTAAAAGACACAGTCTGGCAAATTGGATAAAGAGTCAAGACCCATCAGTGTGCTGTATTCAGGAAACCCATCTCACGTGCAGAGACACACATAGGCTCAAAATAAAAGGATGGAGGAAGATCTACCAAGCAAATGGAAAACAAAAAAAGGCAGGGGTTGCGATCCTAGTCTCTGATAAAACAGACTTTAAACCAACAAAGATCAAAAGAGACAAAGAAGGCCATTACATAATGGTAAAGGGATGTATTCAACAAGAAGAGCTAACTATCCTAAATATATATGCACCCAATACAGGAGCACCCAGATTCATAAAGCAAGTCCTGAGTGACCTACAAAGAGACTTAGACTCCCACACATTAATAATGGGAGACTTTAACACCCCACTGTCAATATTAGACAGATCAATGAGACAGAAAGTCAACAAGGATACCCAGGAATTGAACTCAGCTCTGCACCAAGCGGACCTAATAGACATCTACAGAACTCTCCACCCCAAATCAACAGAATATACATTTTTTTCAGCACCACACCACACCTATTCCAAAATTGACCATATACTTGGAAGTAAAGCTCTCCTCAGCAAATGTAAAAGAACAGAGATTATAACAAACTATCTCTCAGACCACAGTGCAATCAAACTAGAACTCAGGATTAAGAATCTCACTCAAAACCACTCAACTACATGGAAACTGAACAACCTGCTCCTGAATGACTACTGGATACATAACGAAATGAAGGCAGAAATAAAGATGTTCTTTGAAACCAACGAGAACAAAGACACAACATACCAGAATCTCTGGGACGCATTCAAAGCAGTGTGTAGAGGGAAATTTATAGCACTAAATGCCCACAAGAGAAAGCAGGAAAGATCCAAAATTGACACCCTAACATCACAATTAAAAGAACTAGAAAAGCAAGAGCAAACATGTTCAAAAGCTAGCAGAAGGCAAGAAATAACTAAAATCAGAGCAGAACTGAAGGAAATAGAGACACAAAAAACCCTTCAAAAATTAATGAATCCAGGAGCTGGTTTTTTGAAAGGATCAACAAAATTGATAGACCGCTAGCAAGACTAATAAAGAAAAAAAGAGAGAAGAATCCAATAGACACAATAAAAAATGATAAAGGGGATATCACCACCGATCCCACAGAAATACAAACTACCATCAGAGAATACTACAAACACCTCTACGCAAATAAACTAGAAAATCTAGAAGAAATGGATAAATTCCTCGACACATACACTCTCCCAAGACTAAACCAGGAAGAAGTTGAATCTCTGAATAGACCAATAACAGGAGCTGAAATTGGGGCAATAATCAATAGTTTACCAACCAAAAAGAGTCCAGGACCAGATGGATTCACAGCCGAATTCTACCAGAGGTACAAGGAGGAACTGGTACCATTCCTTCTGAAACTATTCCAATCAATAGAAAAAGAGGGAATCCTCCCTAACTCATTTTATGAGGCCAGCATCATTCTGATACCAAAGCCTGGCAGAGACACAACCAAAAAAGAGAATTTTAGACCAATATCCTTGATGAACATTGATGCAAAAATCCTCAATAAAATACTGGCAAAACGAATCCAGCAGCATATCAAAAAGCTTATCCACCATGATCAAGTGGGCTTCATCCCTGGGATGCAAGGCTGGTTCAATATATGCAAATCAATAAATGTAATCCAGCATATAAACAGAGCCAAAGACAAAAACCACATGATTATCTCAATAGATGCAGAAAAAGCCTTTGACAAAATTCAACAACCCTTCATGCTAAAAACTCTCAATAAATTAGGTATTGATGGGATGTAATTCAAAATAATAAGAGCTATCTATGACAAACCCACAGCCAATATCATACTGAATGGGCAAAAACTGGAAGCATTCCCATTGAAAACTGGCACAAGACAGGGATGCCCTCTCTCACCAGTCCTATTCAACATAGTGTTGGAAGTTCTGGCCAGGGCAATTAGGCAGGAGAAGGAAATAAAGGGTATTCAATTAGGAAAAGAGGAAGTCAAATTGTCCCTGTTTGCAGATGACATGATTGTATATCTAGAAAACCCCATCGTCTCAGCCCAAAATCTCCTTAAGCTGATAAGCAACTTCAGCAAAGTCTCAGGATACAAAATCAATGTACGAAAATCACAAGCATTCTTATACACCAATAACAGACAAACAGAGAGCCAAATCATGAGTGAACTCCCATTCACAATTGCTTCAAAGAGAATAAAATACCTAGGGATCCAACTTACAAGGGATGTGAAGGACCTCTTCAAGGAGAACTACAAACCACTGCTCAAGGAAATAAAAGAGGATACAAAGAAATGGAAGAACATTTCATGCTCATGGGTAGGAAGAATCAATATCGTGAAAATGGCCATACTGCCCAAGGTAATTTATAGATTCAATGCCATCCCCATCAAGCTACCAATGACTTTCTTCACAGAATTGGAAAAAACTACTTTAAAGTTCATATGGAACCAAAAAAAGAGCCCGCATCACCAAGGCAATCCTAAGCCAAAAGAACAAAGCTGGAGGCATCACACTACCTGACTTCAAACTATACTACAAGGCTACACTAACCAAAACAGCATGGTACTGGTACCAAAACAGAGATATAGATCAATGGAACAGAACAGAGCCCTCAGAAATAACGCCGCATATCTACAACTATCTGATCTTTGACAAACCTGAGAAAAACAAGCAATGGGGAAAGGATTCCCTATTTAATAAATGGTGCTGGGAAAACTGGCTAGCCATATGTAGAAAGCTGAAACTGGATCCCTTCCTTACACCTTATACAAAAATCAATTCAAGATGGATTAAAGACTTAAGCGTTAGACCTAAAACCATAAAAACCCTAGAAGAAAACCTAGGCATTACCATTCAGGACATAGGCATGGGCAAGGACTTCACGTCCAAAACACCAAAAGCAATGGCAACAAAAGACAAAATTGACAAATGGGATCTAATTAAACTAAAGAGCTTCTGCACAGCAAAAGAAACTACCATCAGAGTGAACAGGCAACCTACAAAATGGGAGAAAATTTTCACAACCTACTCATCTGACAAAGGGCTAATATCCAGAATCTACAGTGAACTCAAACAAATTTACAAGAAAAAAACAAACAACCCCATCAAAAAGTGGGCGAAGGACATGAACAGACACTTCTCAAAAGAAGACATTTATGCAGCCAAAAACACATGAAAAAATGCTCATCATCACTGGCCATCAGAGAAATGCAAATCAAAACCACAATGAGATACCATCTCACACCAGTTAGAAAGGCAATCATTAAAAAGTCAGGAAACAACAGGTGCTGGAGAGGATGTGGAGAAATAGGAACACTTTTACACTGTTGGTGGGACTGTAAACTAGTTCAACCATTGTGGAAGTCAGTGTGGCGATTCCTCAGGGATCTAGAACTAGAAATACCATTTGACCCAGCCATCCCATTACTGGGTATATACCCAAAGGACTATAAATCATGCTGCTATAAAGACACATGCACACGTATGTTTACTGCGGCATTATTCACAATAGCAAAGACTTGGAACCAACCCAAATGTCCAACAGTGATAGACTGGATTAAGAAAATGTGGCACATATACACCATGGAATACTATGCAGCCATAAAAAATGATGAGTTCATGTCCTTTGTAGGGACATGGATGAAATTGGAAATCATCATTCTCAGTAAACTATCGCAAGAACAAAAAACCAAACACCGCATATTCTCACTTATAGGTGGGAATTGAACAATGAGATCACATGGACACAGGAAGGGGAATATCACACTCTGGGAACTGTGGTGGGGTGGGGGGACGGGGGAGGGATAGCATTGGGAGATACACATAATGCTAGATGACGAGTTAGTGGGTGCAGCGCACCAGCATGGCACATGTATACATATGTAACTAACCTGCACAATGTGCACATGTACCCTAAAACTTAAAGTATAATTAAAAAAAAAATAAGATTTATGTTATTACAAAATAAGCATGACATAAAAACTTACTAAAAGGGTGCTCTTTAGCCCAACTTCTCGGCTATATCACTAAACTGCAACTTGATTTATACAAATTTGATTTATATGGTTTTAACTTATTTTTATCTATGTTATACATGCATATAGTACCAAGAATCAGATAAGTCTAAGGCATGTTACAAAAAAACTGCAGTTCCAATCTCCCAGAGGCAACCATTTTAATTTTTTTTTTTTATAGCTCACTTTGTTTTTGTTGCTTTGGTCATTTCAGTGTGTCTGTTTTGAGTATTTTTATTGTGGGGAGTGGTGGGGTGGTGTTTACCTCTGTAACTTTAAATTTTTTGAGATTTGATTTTTTTTTTTTCAATTTTCAGTGTTACCTGCCTCTGACACAGAAGATTAAGATACAGCTCTTTCACACACCCTCTTCTCTCCCAATATACTTCAGGAAAAATTTTTGCTTAGCTCAATTATCTAATGTTTAAATGTTAATTATACAAATATTCTTCATAGCTGAGTCTTGTCATATGACATTTTCCTTCCTGCACGCAACCCACCAGAGGTAATAATTGGGTTTTTGCATTGCTGCATTATCAGAAATATATCCTAAATGTCCCCCAATTGAGTAAATTTGCTCTTGGGTTATTCAACACCTTAGCTATTCTATTGTTAAACGTCTCTCCTCTCCTGGAGCCTTCTGATTTGCTCCAATCTGAACTGATTGCTTACTAGCACTGCTGTACAGCTGGTATCTTGGGAACTCCCTTCACTAATATCCTAGAGACTCCTTTTATCCCTCCATTCTGTGGAGTGCCCTTTTCCCCAGATTCCTGTGTCTCTCTTTTTGATCTGTTCCCTTGTTTGGTGACATATAGGCTCAGTAACTTCCAGAGGGAATAAAATTATATGTCTGAAAATTTATCTACACTAATCCTTAATTAGGTTGACTAGCTATAGAAATCTAGGTTGGAAATCATATTTTTTTCAGATTTCCAAAGGCACTGCTGCATTGTCTTCTAGGTTCCAGTGAAGCTGGAGTCATATGAGAACTTTCATATGATTGTTTTGTTTTCAGAAGCTTTACAGATCTTTTTGTTCTCTCAGTAGACTGAAATTTCACAACATTCTGCCTTGGTATGAGCCTATTTTCATGCACTGTGGTGGACTCTTTCATTGTAGAAACAAATGCCCTTCAACTCTAGGAAGTTTTCTTTATTTCTTTAATGAATTGCCCTTCATTCCTTGTGTATGTTCTCTCTTTCTAACACTCTTATTTGTTGGATGTTGGACTTCCTTCACTTACCTAATCCTTTTCCTCCCCATCACCAACACTTTCCATCTCTTTTGTTTTGTTTACACTCTAGAGGAATTTCTTCATTTTACCTTTCAACCCTTCTATCGAGTTTTTCATGTCTATGGTCACATTTTTAATTTCCAAGAGCTCCTTCTTGTTCTCTGAATATTTTTTATAGTATGTAGTTCCTTTTTCATGGATACAGTATCTTCTCTTCTCTCTGAATATTAATAATTTCTTGAAATTTTCATCTCCCCTCATTATTTGTTTCTTCCTCATTGAATCTGTTGATTTTTTCTCTGCTTTTTAATATTAGATTTGTCCCTCAAGTATCTGTTGTGCCTTAGTTGCCCATATTTAAGACTGTGACACTAAAAAGACAATTGGAAGTTCTGCACCTGTGGTACTCAATAATGTGGGGTGTTCTGGCTGGGTTATTTTGTTGGGAGAACCTCTGCTATTAGTATCTTTAGATCTTTTATCTTAGGCTGGTCAGATTCCTGAGAGAAAAATCTACTTGGTGGGTATAAATCTGGCTGCCAGTATTTTGGTAGCCCAGTGAAGGAAAAAAAACTGGGGGTCTTGTAATTTTGTAAGTAAACTTTGTTTCAGTGTCCTTCTTTACAGTATACTACTTTCCCTCAACCTATGACTAGTGGTTCCAGGGCAAATATCCTTGTTTTAACCTCAAGTCTTTTGTCACAGTGAAGGGATAGCTGCCCAGCTATGCAGAGGGCAGAAGAGACCTCAGGGATCTACAATTCTTATATATTTAACTAGTCTTCCTATTATCCAAATTTCACCCCTACTTCCAGAAGATCCTGGTGCCACCATGAATTGAGTCGTAGGGGCTATTTTTGGCTTTACCCAGCCAGCTTAGGGTTCAGATTTTTGGGCTTTGGGGTTCAGACTTGTCTATTTGCTTCTCCATTTGCCTTTTGTTTTGTTAT
Organism: Homo sapiens; assembly: GCF_000001405.40. Classification (NCBI taxonomy): domain Eukaryota; kingdom Metazoa; phylum Chordata; class Mammalia; order Primates; family Hominidae; genus Homo; species Homo sapiens. The sequence goes on along the minus strand of NC_000005.10, from coordinate 170,237,518 downwards.
CTCTTCTTGGAATCTCTTTACTTGTGGATTTTTGTCTCTTTAAAAATCACTTAAATTTAAATCTCAGGTGTACCACTGACTAGTTGCTTGACCTTGAAAAAGTTAAATCTCTCTATTTACACATCTGTAAATGCCAATGGCAATAGTTCCTACCTCATAGGATTATGATGAAGAGAGTTCATTTATGCAGAGCTCTTAGAAGAGTCCTGGATTATGGTAAATTCTGTAAAGGTTGGCTGCTGACATTACTATTTAGGGGAGGAAGTGAGGGTGCACAGAGTGTTCATTTAATCCTCTACATTTACCAGAAGTCTACCTTCCTAGCGTAGCTCTACAGGTCCCTCAGAGTCTAACTGCCTGACCTACCCATACAATGTCTCAAGAAAACATCTATCACATAGTTATTACATTTTATTTTATGAAAGAATATTCTCCAAACTAGAACAATTAGATAATCAAGTTTGGGGGGAATCTAAAGCTTCTTAACTGTTTTAAATGAGTTCAAGCATCCAGAACCATTTATTCATTTAATAAAAATTTTTTAAGAATCGAATCAATCAAGGCACCGTGTTAAGTACTAGAAATACCCATAAGGAGCTTACAGTTGAGCAGGGATAAGAAAAGTAAGGAAATATGCAATTATAAAATAGTATAACAGGTGATAGCAAAAGGCAGAAAGGATAACATGCTGGCTCAAAAAAAGTTTTCCATTGTAAGAGACCTTGACTACTAGCAGTTAACCTGGTGTGTTGGAGGTAGGGTATAGCAATGGGATTTCAGACAGACAAGTATGTGTTGAAACAGATACAGAAAAGCACTTGTGGAGATATGCAAATAGTTCAGTACAGCTGGAGCATAGAACATGCAGTAAGAACAGAGTAAGAGACTAGAGGGGAAAGGAGGGGAATGATCTGAGCAGGTCATATAGTCCATTCTAAGATGTTTAGACTTTATCCTGAGGACAATGGTGAGCCAATGAGGGTTTTCTGCAGATTCGCATTTTAGAAGGAGAATCTTCACTGTGGTGTTGAAGCTGGTTTTGAGAAATGATGAATTAAAGGTAGTCAGATTTCTTAATATGTACTGTAAATTTGTGAAATATGTAGCATAAAGCACTTTCCAAACTTATTTGGCCATAAGAACATTGACTCTGTTCTACTGTACACCATCTATTAACATTGCTTGAAACAGCAGGGTTCACAGATCAAAGTCCAGGAAATGCTGTCCTAGGGAGAACACATGGAAAAAGCATATTAGGCACTCATTATTTGGTGCCTAACGAACGGCCATGCCCTCTTCTTCTTGGAGTCACAGCTTGATTTTGTTTGAGGTGTTCCTTTCCCCAGCTCCTGTAGTAAGTTCTGAGTGGTCCAAACTGGTCTTGGCAGTCCCAGTCCCCTTAGCTGTGGCTGCTGTAAGCATCAGCATGTGATGCAAATCTGGCCAATGAAAGGGAACTGTGCTGGAGGGATCTGGGAGGAGACTTATAAAAAGAGACTGTCTATATATGAGCACCTCTGAAGGTAATGATCATGAGGGGTAATAAAGAGAGTGAACATGACAGAGCAGAAAGATGGAAAGAGCCTGGTCCCTGACAAAATCTTTAAACCTCTGAATTAACTTTAGGGCTCTGCTACCTTGGATCTTCTTGTTTTTCCTTATTGTATAAGTTAAGTTGGTTTTTTTGTTACTTATAGATGTAGGCCTCATAACTGACACAGGTTATCTTTAAATACCCAAGAGTTGTTTTAAAAAGAATAACTACATATTCAGTGTAGTTTTCATGGTTAGAAATAGGACTCTTAGGTGAAAGCAATAGGGGAACAGATTTCAGCTAGCTGGTGAGAAGGAATTGTTTAAAATAGAATGGATTGACTAGTGAGACAGGAAGTTCCCCAGCATAAGAAATGTTTGGTCAGGGATAGATTATCCCTAGAAATATTCAATCACAGAAATTTTCTTGGGATAAAATAACTGAATATGTCTGTGAGGTGAGCGACTAAACATCATGACCTATAAGGTCTAATCCTACTATATGAATCTGTTTAAAATGAAGAAGCTTTAAGTCACAGAATCTAATTTATACTTTTTAATTTGGAATGGACCTTAGGGGCTTAGTAAGAATTTATAAAGACAATGAATTTTGCTGAATGTGACATAGTCTTGAATGGTGTGTTGAAGGGAAGGAAGGGAAGTAAAATTTACAGAGGTTAGACAACCTGATAAGCTTATTAATGTCAGGGATGGGAATTCAGGTCTGCTAACTCCAAAGTCGAACATAATTCATCTTTAGAGATCTAGTTCACTTACACTGAAAACATTTGTTAAGAAATAGAGAAATCCTAATTAGTGGGCAAAATTTACTTATACCCCAGCAGAAACACAAACTGGCTCTATCATTTATTTTATAACAATGACATGCAAACATTTTAGTGATTCAATACTTACCTTTTATCTTCTTCAACTCCGAAGAAATTGTGTTAATATTTTTAATTACTTTGTCCACATTTAGCTTATGATCAGTAACACGCTTCTTACCCATCTGATTTTAAAAGAAAAACAGAAACAATGTATAAATCAGTATTTATGTGTACTTTTAAAATACTTACATTTTCAGTATTTCTATAAATCTGTTATTTCAGAAATAATTATGAAACAAATCTTTATAAATGGTTAGAATTCTAACATCAAAAGGCATTAATGTGTTATGTAATATTTTTCCAACTAAAAACTCCAACTGGAATTTGTAGGATGAGGTTCCTTCCTCAATCAAACCATATCCACAAGATAGGGCTTACAATGGAAATGAAGATGTCCCCTTTTCAGAAAGCCTCAGCCCTTATAAACTACCTTACAATTTAGCGTTTGTGTTAAGATCTTCTCTAATTTTGTTTATGTAAGTCCATGTCTTTTTCTAACTTATTCTTGAATAACAGGGCCCACATATGATTTAAGTACACAGTGAAACTCAAAAAAGAATTTTATTCTAATTCATTAAGAGGATAATTCAATTATAATCCACTAAGAGTATGGCAAATGGCTGGTTTGGTTTTGGGAGTTAGAGTAACAGACATTTTAATTTTGGTTAACTGAAATGTATAAATCAACGCATTCCTATGTTATACAGTACCTGTATTTAACCAATTGTGTCAGATACAAATATACAGAGAGGTGGTTCACTAGAAACTAGTCTTAAGCTGTTCAGTCTCTCAAAATGACTTGAAAAACTCCATCTCAATTAGCATACACAACTCCAGCAGTGTGAAAGGTGGGCAGTCATGGGTCAAGCTGCTTGTCCAAAATAATGAAAACAAACTAACCTTTAAGTCAATCCTTGCCTCTACCTTTTCCTGAGCAGGGAGAATTTCTGCAATTTCTCTCATTTCAGAGCCACTGTAAAAAAACTAATTTTGTTTCCCAGACATTAATAAAATGCGCTTTGCATCTACCCCCAAGACCCCATTCTCCAGGATGTCAGCTGCCTTCCTTGGGCATGCCAAACCAAGAGTCAAGTTGCAGGGAAAAAGAAAGATGATATTTTAACAAGGGGTGGAGTGGTGGAATTAAAGAACTTCAAAAACAAGGCAAAAGTTTTTTAAAAATAGTAAAGTAGAAACTAAATGATTTTAGAGCCCAAGACAGTGGCCTCTCTCCACTCTGGTTCTCCTAGGCCCTCGAGCACCCAGCGCGTGGGTGGGGTGAGGGCACAGTGGGGTGCTACACAACAATGTAGCTGGGACTGGACTGGAGGCAGGACAGGTCTGGGTCAAGCCCTCCCCGGGGAGCTCGGCCAGGCCACTACCCAGAAAGGAGAGGCTGCTCCAACAGCAATTCACCGGGAGTGGGGAAGCGGAGACCAGACTGTAGGGGCCATAGGAATGGGGGGTCAGAAGCCAGGATGTCGCTGACTCAAGGCCTGATACCACTAGAGCGCCATCTCCGGGCCACAGGACGCCGCCCAGGCCCTCAGCCCGCAGCCCTGCAGAGCCATCGTTAGCACCGCAGGTTCTACTCTGAAAGCCCAGCCTCCTCCTTGGCCCAACTGACACCTGGGAGGAGCCCCAGATCTTTAGGGCCCTCAGCGACCCAACTGCCCATGAAGACCCCCCAGATCTTTGGGGCCATGAGCGGCCCAACCACCCGCTCAACAGCTAAAGATGGAGCCTGAGGCATCTGGAAGTTTCCACAGTCCTCGCCCTCCCAGACAGGATTTGGAATGAACCTTTGGGGCTTACTAAGTTTCTTGCCAAGTGGACAGGATTAGGGTAATGTAAAATGCCCTCAGAGTGACCCCGGCCTACGGACAGCCACCAGCCGCCAGGCCCACCCAGCCAACCGTCCCCTTCTCGGCCCAACCGACACCCAGGGAGAGGCTCCGAGGCCAGCCCGGCCCACCGCCCACCCGTTGGGTGGTGGAAGGTGGAGCCTCGGGCAGCCTGGAAATTTCAGCGGTCTTCACCCTCCCAAACCAGATTAGGATCCTTCAAGACCGAGCAGCCGTCACTACCCACCTGGCCAACCGTCACCGAGGTTCTGACAGGAGCAGGGAGCCGACGGTGAAGGCGAAGCCGCGCCCCCTGATTGGCCAGCTTCTCCGCCTGCGGCATCCTGGGAGTTGTAGTCCCAGGCAAGGCCCCTACGGAGAAGGTTCTGGATGCCGGGTTACAACTGACTCGCGCGGCCACGTTGGCGGAAAAAGCACTGACATTCCTTACCCCCAGTGTGCCAGGCTTTTGCAACCCTTATCTGCATTTGAGTCGCACAGGATAGCGGTAGCGTTAAGTGCAGACTCTGGAATGAAGCCACTTGGGTTTGAATCCTATTCTATCACCTGCTTAGTTGTATAGATGCAGATAAGCGATTAACTATTCAGAGTGCAGATGTCCTCACCTATCGTATGGAACGATAATAACTGCCTTCCAGTGTTAGTTTGAGGGTTAAGTGAGATAATTCATCAGAGGTGCTTGGCAGATACCAAGTGCTCCATAACTGTTAGCTATTATTTTTCCTATAACATTTTATAGGAATGATAATAGTAAAGAGTAGCATGAATAAAGAGATGAGTTGAGACATGGAAAATGGTTTTTTGCCAAGCTGAGAAGCTGGGATTCGAGCCGTCTTTTGCTTGACTCCAGAGGAATCTCTGCCACTGCAACCTTTGAGGCAGGCCCAAAGATTTTTCTTGGTGCCCTGAGAAATTGAGGAGTTTAGGCTTTCAGCACAAGGTGCTATACAACAAGTCTTTGCGTCTATGCCTCCCCTATAGTACACACCAGCCTCTTGAACCATCACCTTCCTGAAAGCCCACATCACAATTGTTGGGTATTTTATATCCAATTTCCTTCACTTTAACACTGCAGAATTTGTTGTCGAATGCAATTACCTAGATGAGGAGGGACAGAGGAGAACAGAGCTTAATGATAACCAGCTGTATGATCTTAGAAAAGAATATCTTCCTTATTCTGAGTCTCTGTTTCCTTATCTGTTTTCTATTGAGAGGGATGGGCTAAACCAGTAGTTCCTAAATTGTACTAATTGCTGGGCCACTGTTAAGATTCTGTGCTTATGGCACTCATATTATTATTATCTTCTCCTAAACACCTTATTGTCTCCTGTGGTTAACTACAGGGAGTTTCTAAAGGTGAAGAAGTTTTTAATGATAACCAGCTTTGTAAAATACGAAGCTATATTATTGCCTTCATATTTTAAATCTACTTATTTTTAAAATTTAAGTCTACTTAAAAATCTTTATATCACCAGTGTTAAATAGAATAAAACGTAAAGTCAGGCCAGGCACGGTGGCTCGCCTGTAATCCCAGCACTTTGGGAGGCTGAGGTGGGTGAATCACGAGGTCAGGAGTTCGAGACCAGCCTGGCCAACATGGTGAAACCTCGTCTCTACTAAAAATACAAAAAATTAGCTGGACGTAGTGGTGGCCACCTGTAACCTCACCTACTCAGGAGGCTGAGGCAGGAGAATCGCTTGAACCCGGGAGGCAGAGGTTGCAGTGAGCCGAGATCGCACCACTGCACTCTAGTCCAGGTGACAGAGTGAGACTCCATCCCAAAACAAACAAACAAAACTCATAAAGTCATTGGAAAAATAAAGACAGTGAAAATAAGGCATATTTTAATCATGTATATACGCTCGCAACCAGTTGCAGTGTTTTCTGCAGCCTGATCTTTTTTGTTAAAATGGGTTCTTATTAAGTGTTAGAGAAGTGTTAAAGACAGTCTAGCACAAACCAAGACTTTCTTCTTGATATAATTAGAATGACTGAAAGAGTTAAAAGAGGAATACAAATACGGGGAGACCAACATAGGGTAAGCAACATTTATTTCTAAATTAGGACATTAATGTATAAAACCAAGCAAAAAGAACTGGCTTCATTGTATTATAAAAGCAAGGATAATTTAAAATCAAAACAGAAGGAAGAAAATAAAAGGAGGAGGGTCTTAACTTCAGAATAAGACTATCTTGACAGAAAGCTTACAGGATGTATCCTTTCTCCTCCTCACTTATTTTGATGATGAAGAAGTAAAAACTTCTTCACTTTTAGAAACTCCCTGTGGATAACTACAGGAGTAAATAAGGTGCTTAGGAGAAGTAGGTGGGTGGAGATAGCATTAAGACTGAGAATCCTGAAAATCAAGTGATGATGGGCACTGGGGTTGGTAGGCTGGAGTGTCCTATTGTCCCAAGCACACTGAACTCATTTTTGGGTTCCTCAATTGTTTGCAGGAGCTATCATAGCTCTACTACCTGTGAATTGCAATCCACAGGATTTTTGGCAGAATCTAAAGGCCTTGGATCCATCCAAAATGCTGACTGCTTCTTATGAATATATCAAAACTACTGCTATTTGGAATAGATCATCATTAAGCCATTAGTTATTCACAAAGAAAAATCAACTTTGTGTTCCTTTTAAATAAGTGTTCTAAGAGGAATAAAAGAGATTAAAAACTCAGAAAAAGATAGGTTTAGTAATGCATTTCTCTCTATAAAACTGTCTTGGAGCAGTGATGACTACTTATTGCACTGTTTTCTCTACTTAAATAACTATAGATTTTGTCTCTTTGTGTTTTTTTTTCCCTAATAAAATGAAAGTTTAAAAGCATGGTTTGCTACTCAGGGTTAGAGACTTACAGCTAAGGCCCTAAAACAAAATCTATCTTCTTTAATAAGTGTGAAAATACAACACTTTACTGGAACCCAACACAGATTGCAGTTGTTGATTCTAATGTTAATCAAACAAAAGGGATTTAAAAACTGGTAAATGCTCCCATAAATAGAAAAAGGTGCTGCAGACCAGCAAGGTGATCAAGCGTTTTATGGAGTTGAGTGTGTGCACCTCGGCTAATTTTATTACAGATTCTTGACATAAAGTCTTCATTTCCAGGAAAACAAATTGAGTAAATTATCTTACTTCTTCCACTAGATCTCAGGGTTCCCATTTTCCTCCTGTCTGTTCATTATCAATTAAGAGTGCTGGCCTCTGTGTCTAGGGACCAGCTCCCTGCTGGAGCATCAACTCCCTCCTGAACCTGACTTTGTACAACCCTGTGTGCACTAATTTGGGAGGCAGCAACATAAGCATGTGTTGGATCATTACCTGGGGAGCATGACCAGCATTTGAAAGATTAAGCAGATTCCTGTGTACCCGAACAACTATTGCGTTCACCAAAGCCAATCACTTAAAGGAAGCAAGAAGCAAGCTGACTTCTGCTACCCTGGTGTGAACTAAAAGCTTCAGTGTCTGCCCACTGTCTTCTTCGAGTAGCTGATGTTACATTATCCAGAGTCATTTTTTTTTCTTTAGGAGAAACACTTCTGAAATATAGAAGGATGTTATTAATGAACATCCATATTGCTCCTACGTTAACTGAAGCATTTTCACTTCTAATTAAGAAATTACAGTTCTGTATCAATATTTCCCTCTGAACAGGGTCATGAGATGTAATATAGGACACCCAGTTAAATTTGAGTTCCAGAGAAACAACAGATTTTTTTTTTAGTATAAGTATGTCCTGAATGTTATATGGCCCCCACTTATACTCAAAATGTATTCGTTGTTGATCTGAGATTCAAATTTAATGGGAAATCCTGTATTTTTATTTGATAATCTGGCAACTCTCTACCCAAAACACTTCAACCCTGAAGAAAGAAAAGCAAACAGTGTGAAACCTTGTAGATTCAGTAGATACGAAAGCCAAGAGAATGTTGAAGTTTTCCACCGTGATGTCCAAAATAATAAAACAGATAAACTTACTGTGCCAGAATCTGGCTCTCCTCCTCCGTCAGCATCCCTGGAATGCAAGAGAGAAGCTAGGTTTTTGAGACAGCAGATGGAAGGAAGCTGACAATATTCAACATGGCACTGTGTTTTGACAGTTGCTTGCTATGCCTTTTTGTCTGAAAACTCTTTGTGCTTGGCTTTTTAGAAGATGCCTTCATCCGGCAAGGCATATTCATGACACAATTTGTGTTAATTTCCAGAGATCCACCAATCAGAGAATACCTGTCTGTTCCAAAATAAAATATGTTTCTAATTCTCTCATGTCAGGCATCCATTCCCCCACAATACCTCCTCTGATTATTAAAGACATAGATCCTGGTGGATGTCATTTCCCTCTGGGCATTGCCCCACACCCCCACACTGTGCCCTCATCAGCATCCAGGCAATGAAGAATGAGCGTCTTTATCAAAAGACGTATTGTGTTCATGAAGTCAATTCCTATAGAATATAAGGGTGTACTCACGTTTTGTTATGAAAAAAAAGAATGCATATGTGCATAAGAGCAAATTTGGAAGCGTATCTACGAAAATGTTTACAAGGATTATTAACATTAATGATAATGAGATTTATTTCTTCGTGATTATTTATTTAGCCTAGTCATAATTTTAACCCCTGTCAGGTGATTTCTCAGCATGATACATCAATCACTTTAAAGCACAGCGTCTCAGACTCTGCAGTGCACAACTTAGGGAGCTTGTGAAAATGCAGATTCTGGGGCCCACCTCAAAGACTCAGCTTTAGTGAATCTAAGGTGAGGCTCCCTGAATCTGCATTTGTAATCCCCTGCCCTCCCGACTCCTTCTATTTTAACCTAGGAAGTCTTTGGATCATGTTTGAGAAACACTGGCTGGCAGCTTACGAGGATACGAAGACTCAATGTCTATATTCTCTAAAGTGAGAAGAAGGAGATGGGCATCCCAGCTTCAAGTTCTTTCTAATTTAGGTCTTTGTTTCTTCTATTTCCTAGTAATTTGTTTTATTTTTATATTTATTTATTTATTTATTTGAGACAGAGTCTTGCTCTGTTGCCCAGGCTGGCGTGCAGTGGTGCAATCTCGGCTCACTGCAACCTCAGCCTCCTGTGTTCAAGCAATTCTGCCTCAGCCTCCTGAGTAGCTGGCATTACAGGCATGCTCCACCACGCCCACCTAAGTTTTGTATTTTTAGTAGAGACAGGGTTTCACCATGTTGGCCAGGCTGGTCTCAAACTCCTGACCTCAGGTGATTCTCCTGCCTCAGCCTCCCAAAGTGCTAGGATTACAGGCGTGAGCCACCACACCTGGCTGTATTTTATTTTTTGATCTCTAGTTTCACTTGCAACCATAATGGAAAGTCTAATGCTAACATCTGAGATGTTAGATGATTTGTAAAATATTTATGTTTTTATATGTAAATTTCCATACTCAAAAACCCCCTGTACTCCTGCCTCTACTCCCACTGCCCTGGTCCTGCCCTGTGTTACAATAATGTCCTTCCTGTCTGCTCCCACCACCTACCATCTTTGTCCCTAAGAGCCACTGTATATGCTCCAGCCTCTAGTGGGATGAGCTTTTTAAAATGTAAATGGAATTGTGTCTTTCCCCTGCTTTAAAGCCTCCCAGGGGTTTCCCTTAATGGAATAAACACTACACTCCTGACCCTGGTCCGTAAGGCCCCACAGCTCCAGTCTCCCTTCCCCTCACTCTCCTCTCAGGCCTGGCACAGGCCAGCGGTTGTTTGGAACCTGTTTCCTTCTGAGCTTGCCATGTTGGCTCCTTGTTTTGCTTTAGGGTTCAGAGAGGCCTTACTCTGATATCGCCCCATCCTCTCTCCCAGCCCCTTCTGTGTTTCCATGCAGTACTTGATATAATTTGTTATGCTTTATTTATGTTTCTGTTTACTTTTTGTTTTGGTTTTGACCTGTCTCTTTCACTGTAATATAGTTCCTGTCAAGGGCAGGAACCAAGGGTCTAGTTCACTGTTATCAACGCTGTGTCTAACACAATTCCTGGCACATGGTAAATGCTCCATACAACCTTGTTCAGTAGCTGAATGAATGCAGTGGTCCCTGCTATAGTGGTATCCTGGACAGTTGGAGACACCCAGATGCAAATTACCCCCAGATGCCCTGATGGACTCAACAAAGCTCTGAGGGCAGAAGTCACACCTGCATGCCTTCTAGGTCCTCTGAGAGAAGGACAGACAGCCCCCATGGTGGCCAGGGAGAATGTGGGGGAGTGACAGCAGTCTAAACTAAAGGCATTCTCCTTTCATTCCATCTGCTTTCTGATTCTGTGGCACAGACCAGAGATCCAATAGAGCAGTGGCAAGCCGATTCAGTACTGTTCCAGAAGGCCATTGCAGGCCTGGAAGCTTCCACACAGCCTCATGTGGGAGGGATTACCCAACCCCGGTTTCTGATAAAAGAACTATCTCAGCTGTGGATCATCATTTGAATAAAAATCAAATGACTTAGGATCTGTCCAAAATGAAGAATGTTTTAATACTTTGTGTGTAAAAACACTGATATTTTGCTTCTTTTTTATTAAACAGATTTTATTATTTTTCAGAATCTTGTCAGCATAATCATTTTATGGGTGGATGAAATATTCAGCCCTGCTGCTGCAGGAGTTCTTTCACAGCAATTACCTTGTGGCACTTTTGCTGTAATTAGGTTTTCGCCTAGGATTTTTCCCTGGGTCTGGGTAATAAATGAAATATGACCAGAATTTAAATTTGTCAATTACAAGCAAGTGTAGTGCGTAAACACACAACAGAGCCATGAATTCCAAACCACAGGCTGTTGCTGGGGGCCAGATGCTCGGAAAATTAAAATGGAAATAAAACTACTGACTGGAAAACGAAAAGTGGCCCCCAAAGAAAGCAAATCTCCCCTAACACTCATGCGTGATTCTACCCAACTGTGCGAGCTCTTGACTACAAATTCTTAAGCGTGAAACTGGCAACTCAAGAAACAAGCAGGGATTTGCATTAAAACCGTCTACGCAGGGCTCTGATCTCCTGCCTTATGAACTCCTGTTTCTTGAGGCCAGATCAAACAGTTTTTGGACATAGTGGGCCAGGGTTCCATGATGGTGATGTTCTCTCCAAGCTGCTCAAGGACTGCCAGAGATTTGGGCACAGGATCGGCTATCTTTCAGCAGCTGCTGTTTTCGCTGACCTGACTTCAGTAATTGCTCCTATGGGGCCCTCTGCTGGCCATCTTTTGCAGAAAGGGAAATCTTAGGGATCTGCACTGTTGGAGACTTTGACAAATAATGTTTCATTAAAACAACCACCAAACAAAAACACACTTTTTTTTAACTTTCATATATAAGAAGCCCTAGACAAGGGAAAAGGAAGTCACAATTTTATAAACTTCCCAAGTGCCATGCATTTAATATTCATACAACAAACCTTTCTTGAGCATCTGTTGTGTATCAGACACCATGCTAAGTTTGAGGCATGTAGGGGTGAGCCATGGAGCTCATGGTCTGGTGAAGGAGACAGACTGGAATCCACACATCACACAAATGCATATTAAGTGAGGATTCAATTAGAAGCTATCAAGGAAGGAAGGATGTCCCAGTGGGGACGGTGACACGGCTGGGGCAGCTTTCAGGGAGGGCTTCCCTGGAAAGGGAACATTTGGGCTGAGATGAGAAGGAGAAACGAGCATGATAGGCAGAGGGAACAGCATATTTCAGGCCCTCATGTCAGGAGGCATCCTGGCAGATGGGAGAGCTTGAAAGAATGTCAGCAAGGCGGGGATGCAGGGAGTGAGGGGGAACCCAGGGTGAGATGAGGCTGGAGAGGGAGCAGGGGCCAACCATGCTATGCAGAGGGTTACATTCTCTCTCCTGATGCCTGTAGGAAGCCACTGAAGGGTGTTAAGCAGGTGACGAATGGGAGGTAGTGGGTGGTATGCTCATAATTGGAGTTTAAAAAGGTGATCCTGGCTTCACAATGGAGAACAGATTGGACAGGAGGAAAGAATAGATATGAGAAGTCCAGTTGGGAGTGTATTGCAGTCATCCATGGGGAAGATGATGGGGCCTTGTTTAACATGTTGGCAGAAGAGATGGAAATGACATTACAGAAATGTTTAGAAGTAGAATCAGCACAGACTCCGTGATAGGTGACACCTGGTGATGGAAGAATGGGATGCTAAGCATGGCCTATATGATCTCATTTAATTGTGAGAGCCTTGGAAACAATTCATATTCCCATTGTATGCCTGAGGAAATTGAGACTCAGAAAGACTCAGGGTTGGACTCCAGATTACTCAGCTGGGAAATGGCTGGGCCTTATGCCTTATAAACCAAAAAGTATCTGAGACAGATCTCAATCAGTTCAGAGGTTTATTTTGCCAAGGTTGAGAACACAATGGGGAAAAAGAGACACAAGCCACAGTCGGATCTGTGGCCCTATTTCTTCCAAAGAGAATTTTGAGGGCTTTGATATTTAAAGGGGAAAATGGGTAGGATGAGAAAGGGGAAAGAGAAAATAAAGGGAGGATATGGTCACATTCCACACGTTGTAGTGAAAAGGAGGGGGTAGAGGAAATAGTCAATTATATGTTTGTCTCATGCTCAGTAAATCTGCACTTTACATAAGATAAAGTAAACATGGAGTAGAGGAAGCAGTCAATCAAATGCACATTTGTCTTGGGATGGGGAGTGGGGACAATTTCTAGTCTCCTCTTGTCCCATACCCATGAAGATAAGCTGTTGATTTACATTGTCAGGGTGAGGAAGGCCTTCTGTGGAGACATGCAACCTTCTATCTGTAGCTATCAGTTTAGAAACAAAAGCAAAGGCAGGTCTTTTTGTTTTTTGTTTTTGCTTTTGTTTTTTGTTTTTGTTTTTGTTTTGTTCATGACTCAGATTCCAGGATGAGCCCTTTCCCTTTGGCACAGTGAATTTGGGGCCCTGAGATCTTATTTTCCTCTCACAGCCTTCTATTCCTCCATATTGTTTCTAGGGTTGCATAGGACATTTGCTTAGAAACTCCTCTCCCTACATCTTGTTATCTATCCCCTCCATTCTTGAGACTACCTCGAATGGTTTGCCATGTTTGTTTTCCAATCTGCCTCTCCCACTAGACCGAGCTTGTTGAGGCCTGCAGTTGTGTCTAGTTTGCCTCTGTTCTGCAAGTGCTTAGTTCCGTGCCTGGCTCACAATGAGATTACTTGCTGAGTGATTGAGAAACTTTCACCAGTCTCCGAAAGAAGACAGACATTTAGAGGGCAGGGTGGTTTAAATTTTTCTCACTGGCCTAATTCTCTCTTGTACCCAGACCACAGTTTTGGGATTTAGGCCGGAATGCCCAAAAAGGACTTTTAAGAAGGAACTGGAAGTTTCTAGAAACCTAGTGTGGCCAAAACAAAACAAACAAACAAACAAACAAAAAACAGGCTTTAGAATCATGAGGCTCTGGATCTAAATCCTAGCTCCTCAATTAATGAGGTGTGCATCCTCGAGTTACTTATCCTCTGTAACTCTTCAGTGTCCTCATGCATAAAATGAGGATAATTTGAGTAGCTGTATTTAGTTAATAGGGCTGTTGGGAGGATTGCATTTGATCTGTGCAAAGGGCTTGGCACATTAATATATAAATTTCCTGTTTTTGTAGAAAAGAAGGATAAGAATGCTTATGGCTAGCCAAGAAAGTGGATGGGGCTGGGAATTTGTCTCCACTTGACCTTAAAGTTTCCCTCACTTACTGACTCCTCTTCTTGTGGTTTATTCTGGAAGGAGGAAAGAGGAAGTTGGCTCTCTGGGGGTCCTCAACAAGCTGACAGATGTCCCCTAAGGCAGCTTTCAACAGAGAGCTCTTTATTATTATTATTATTATTATTATTCTTTGTGATTTACAGTGTGTGTCTACGAGCCTCTGGGCACAATCATGGAGCAGGAATGGAACTAATAAATTGGATCTGTTTCCAGCTTAATTCATGGCTCTGACAAAATTAGAAATGGAGACAGATGGGAGAGCCTAAACACAAAAAGTGTCCCTAAGCCTAGGTTCTCAGGTGCACGAGACAGCAGGCAGAACACTCTCCGGCTAGAACTGCAGTTGGTGCAAGACAGATCACATAGATGGAGGAGAGGAGACTGTGGACACCCCAGAAAGCCACAAATCTTTCCATTCCAAAACTGTTTGACTTAGGGATCCAGGCCTCTGGGATAATATACGCATGGGTTCAAATCCCAGCTGCACTGCCTATTTCTATAAGCTCGAGCAAGTGGCTGAAGATCACACAGCTGGCTATTGCAGTACTGGCTTCAGATGCAAGTCTGATCCCAAACCTGTGGCTTTTAACCATTATATGTACTATGTTGTTTATGAACATAGTTTGTCATATTATGATTGCACAACTGTGAATTAATTCCTTCAAATCAATACATTGTATTCGGAAGGAACTCAAGAAATACATGCTGAAAGTTTTGCTTAGATTATTTTCCCCCTGAAATTCCCTTGCTCCCTCAATTCCCAACCACAAAACAATTATAATGATCACTGGAAAAAGCATTTTAGAGAAATGCGTCTTAAGATCTTCATGAATTACTAAATTCACAATGTAAAGATAGATATCCTGGCTGTCTCTCAACTCTTATTTTCTTCCAAAGCCATGAGCTCTCTGGGCAAACCCTCATGTCATGTATTAACTGCTGCCTGTTCTTTTCCATTATCCTAGGCCCACTTGTCACAAACTAACAGGATGTTGATTTCCCTAGTGGCTCCATAGGTGCTGCAGGGTCAAGTGGGGGTGAAATGGGAGAGTGGGCAGTGGTGGGGCTCCCTCCCTTCCCCCATCCCAAGGGCAGCAGGATTCAAATTCTCACGTCAGCCAGGTGCCAACTGGCCAGGCCACTCATTAACCTTTGGGGTGCTTTCCCATAGTCAAAGCCAGCACAAAGCCAGCAAATGCCAGGAGCCCGCCACAGTATTGCAAGTCCCCCAAGGGCCATTCCTCCACCAAGGCCAGGCCCCATCCTTGTTGGGTCACAAGCACCCTCTTAACATTTCCAGGCTTATATTTTATCATAGTCAATTTATTATTATTATTATTATTATTATTATTATATATTTTTGCGATGGGGTCTCACTCACACCCAGACTGGAGTGCAGTGGAGTCATCATGGCCCACTGAAGTCTCAGCCTCCTGGGTTCAAGTGATCCTCCCACCTCAGCCTCCCGAGTAACTGGGACCACAGGTGCGCACCACCAAGCCCAGCTAATTTTTTTAGTTTTAAAATTTTTATAGAGATGAGGTCTTCCCATGTTGCCCAGGCTGGTCAATTTGTTTCTTTTAATGGAAATTAATCCTAGTTACAAAACCAAAACCATCATGGAAGTCTCAGAAAAGCACTCAAAAAGAAAAACAAAAACATTACTGGTAATCTCTCCACTCAAGGAATGTAACTGCTAACATTTTATTTCAAAACCTTCAGTCATTTCCCCCCTTTTGTTGTACAGCTTTTGAAAAAGGATTTTGCGTCCAAATGTTCTTAGGTTTAAGAAAAGGGGAGAAAAAAGTACTAATGTTATCCTTCCCAGAAAGAACTCGAGTAATCCCTATTATGTAAACTCTTTCAAAGAAACAGTCTGTTCAATACAGTTGCTAAGTCGTTTGTTGCTATAGCAATACTTGGCCCTAGAGCGCCATAAACAACCATCCTGACTCTAGCCTCCAAACACAAGGCCCCATTATCTCCCTCAGAGCTCTTCGAGGAGCTCATTTTGCCAAAGCTATTCATTTAAATTAGTAACTCCCTTCTTAATCACTTGAATTGCTTGTGCTTCACACCAAGTCACACTAGGGGGCTAAAAAAGCAGTTAGGGCAATATATTGGGATGCAGAGAGTTGGGGTCAGTATGCCTTTGATTGCGCAGATCTTTCCTTCTGGTGCTCTTCCTCAGCCGCTCTCACAGTCTGCCGTCTTGGATGCTGGCCACCCAGGGCAAAGCAAGGTTAGGCTAGGTGCTTCTGGGTGCAATGCCATTATAGTGAAAATTCTGGCAACACCATATTTAACCAATCCCAGGTAACTTTGTTGCATTAAAAGAACTAAAAAAATCAGAGAACATTCTGGAAAGCTCTTTGTAATGTTATATTACAGCTGCAGAATATCGTAACTGAAGGAAGATGTTCTAAGTGCTCAATATGTATTATTTAATTTGATTCTGGCAACAACCTTGTGGATTCAGCCAGCATTTCTCCTTGGTTTTACAGATGAAACAGTGGGGGCTTAGAGGTATTAAGTGACTTGCCCAAGGTCCCTGACTAGAAAGTGGTAGAGGCAGTTGGTTTCAAACCCATGCTGTGTACTTCACTCAGAGCCTGTTCTCTTGACCTTTATGTTACATTGCCTTGCAGCAAATGGATAGACATGTGTGGAGCTCTGACTCGTTGCACAAAATACAAGGGATTTAACATGCATTGTCTAAATGCTGTGATTGGTCTGGATAGACGTTATCACTTACATTGGTAGGTAGGGGAGCTAAGACCCAGAGATGTGGTGCTCCCAGGGTTGGCCAGCCAGCTGAGGTATAGAGGATTTGAACTCACCTCCCCCTGCTTCAAAGTGCTTCTTCCTCTACACAGCATAATTTTGTACCTAGAAATCACTAAGCCTAATGCTCTCTTTTTACAGATGAGGAAACTGAGGCCTGAAAATATTAAATGGCTTGCCCAAGGTCATTTCTCAAGGTCTAGAGCATACCTCCCTGCAGCCTGACAAGGAAGATGGAAGAGAATTCATCTGTGCTAAGCTGTTCTGGTATGCAAATGGCCCCTTTGCATTCATCTGAGTCCCAGGGGTGTCTGCAAAAGCAACTGCACTTGAAGAGTGTCTGTTTAATGTGAGATGATAGTGGAATCTTCAACCACTTCTACTGTGAGCTGGGCCATCTCGTCTCCCTAACCTGGCTTTGTCAAGCTGTGTATGCAGAGAAATCCACACTGGAAGTGCAGCATCTGGTGGGTACCCCGGGGGAAGAATGACATCTCTAATGTTTGGTCCCATTTGTTACTCCTACTCCATCCCTGCTGATGGCTGTGGCTCCTGTCGAACAGCCCTCCAATGTCCTCTTGTTACATCTTCTGGGCACTGCTTTCTCCCTGTGCCCCTTTCAGGCCTAGAGAGAGCAATGGTGCCCTACTGTTTTTAGCCTTGGGGTGGGGGGAGGGGCTTCCTCATAACTTTCTCCTTTATCCAGTCTTGCCCACACCATGGTAAATTGTCTCTTTAATAAATTACCCAATTTGAGCGTGCCCTCTCTTTTCTGCTGGGACAGTGACTGAGTCACTCCTCCAGTATTCCCTGATTCATCACCCCATTTATTTTCTTCCTGATACTTACCACAATCAGGAAGTGTTTCATTTATTATATATTTGCTTTTTATTGCCTTTCTGTCCTCCAGAATGTGAGCTTCAAGAGGATCTAGAAGCTCACTGGTTGATTATCTAAAGTCCGGATGACCACATTCACAGCCCAGCTGTGACAATTTACTGCAAAGCCTGTAAAATGACTCATTGCAACTGAGTTGGTGGCTCAGTTGGTGGCTGCCTCAACTGAACAGTCCCTTCCAAAGCTCTTTTCAGGGTGAGAGTAAAGGTTATATTTCAACTCCACACCCTTAGGCCCTGGATGCTATTTCTTTTTCTGGATTTTTCCTGGATAATTTCCACTGCAACAATGATGATGGTCAGGACCACGGTGATCATCTTGCTGAGCTCACATTCATTTCAGCCAAGAATTTGCATCCACCTACTGTGGGGCTGGATGGTGCTGTGGCTTCCAGGAAGGGGAACCCATCGCAGATGGATGCTCTCTACCTGCCTGGGCACTTTTTGAGGAACTGAGTGAAACTTCCATTTGCCTGATAAAAAGAAACAAAAACCCACCCATGGGTTCATCCAAATAATGTGTCAAAGGCTATTCAGGAGGAGCTCTGGGCTCTGTTTATTTGGTGTGCCCTCCCCTCCCATCTCCTCCCACTTTCTTCTCTTCCCTTCCTTTCTCTCTCTTTCTCTTTCTTCTCTCTCTTTTTTCTTTTTTGGAATAGGTGTGCTGAGGTTGGCAATCAGATGGGCAAAACAGAGCAGTTTTTGCAGGTAGAACAGCCCCTGGCTGCTTTCATAACACTCACAAGAGAGCAATGATCCTGGCAGGTACTTTTGACATTTAGGGCCTGCTTGGTACAGTTCTTACTGCTCAGCTCTTCATCATAGCTGAAAAAGCCCTCCAAGACACTGCCTGCTTGCCAGCCTCTCTCTCACACCTCTCCAGCCTACCCAGCCAGCCATCTGCCAGTCCCCAAATACACCAGCTTGCTTCATGTGGCTCTGCTTTTGCCTTCAATGCTTTCCTTGCCTGCTCTTTTCCCCTTGTCTCCTGGCTGAATGCCACTTATTCTTATTCTTCCAGACACAGATACAGTCGGTGTCTCACTGAGGTTCTCAAATACTTGCTCCTCAAAGTGTGGTCCTTGGCAGGTGCCAGTTTGCAAACCCTCTCCACAATGAAAGAAGTACAGTAACAGCAATTTGACAGAGTGATTTTATGACAGTGGAATCTAGTAATCATAAATTTGTGCTATTATTTCGTGTTCTGTTTATTTTTATACTAATTCACATTTTATTTATTTTACAAAACTGTTGGTATGTTTGGGGACAGAGAAACAAAATAAAAATTTTGTATATTATTGTTATACAAAAATCAGTATATCAAAGGGATACTGCACCCCCCTGTTTATCGCAATACTTATTCACAGTAGCAAAGACATGAAATCAACATAAGTGTCCATCAACAGACAATTGGATACAGAAAATATAGTATATTTTTCCAATGGAATACTATTTTGCCATAAAAAAGAATGAAATCATTGCAACAAAATGGATGGAAGTGGAGGTTATTACGTTAAGTGAAATAAGCCAGGCACAAAAAGACAAATATCGCATGTTCTCACTCATATGTAAGAGCTTAAAAAGCTGATCTCAGGGCGGTACAGAATAGAAAAACGGTTATCAGAGAACTATCCCGGGAAGGATTTGGGTGTAAGTCGGGGGTTGGTTACTGGGTAGAAACATACAGTTAGATAGAAGGAATAAGCTATAACATTTGACAGTAGAGTAGGGTGACTATAGTTAACAGCAATGTATTGCACGCTTGAAAGTAGCTGGAAGAGAGGACTTGGATTGTTCCCAACACATAGAAATGATAAATGCTTGTGGTGACAGATATCCTAGACACTCTGGTTTGATCACTGCACATTCTATGCATGTAACAAAATATCACATATCCCATGTCAATATGTACAAATATTATGCATCCATTTTTGAAAAGCAGAGTTTGTGCTCCCCACAGCTCGTTTATGAAATGCTGCTCCAAGGTTAAAGTTCCATATTCTTAGCTTTGCTTGATTGCCCCCAACTACTGCCCAGCTTCACTTTCCTCCCCATGTCTCCTTTGCACAACGTCCCCGCTCCCAACGGCTCCCTGACTTGAACATTCATGCCTGCTACCTCTTCTACTGGGCAGCTCTTCCATCCTTTCTCTGTTTAGAGAGAAAGTGCTCCTTGGTGCTCCCCAGCCTTCTAGGGCAGCTCAAATGCAACTTGCTCGGCCAGGTCCTCCAAACACACCCTCATCTGACTTAAGGCACTGCTTGCACTCCTGTAGCACCCTGCTATACCTTTGTTCTCAGCACTTGGGCCCAATCTGAGAGGTTGCTGGGAGTCCCACTGTCGAATGCTGGACCCCCTTATCCTCCTGATTATAGGCTTCATGAAGACAGGTGTCATTATACTATCTTGGGCATTACCATCTCCCTGGTTTCCATATCTAACTCATAGTACATGCTCAACAAACATGTTTTAGGCTCCTTTGATGACTGAGGAAATGAATAAATGACAAAACCCAAAATCAGCAACTGTTTTAGTGAATTACCTGACTGCCTCTATATCGAGTTGCTTATTTCATCTTCTTGACCCCTCTGGGGCCTCAATAAACCTTTTTTTTTCAATAATTTCTTCCAATATATCTTCTCAAAAAGTGTGGCTTTGCTATCAAGGAGAGCTGAGTTTAAATTCCAGTTGCTCTACCAACCAGCTGTGTCACCTTAGGCAAGTCATTTGAACCCTCTGAGCCTTAGTTTTTCTCACCTGTAAGATGGATATATAAAAACGTACCTCCCAGGATTGTTGGAGAATGAGATGAAATTGCCCAATTATAAACACCAGGCATAGTGCCACAGACTAGATGTCTAATCAACATTAGTTTTTTTCTCCTCTTGTTCTCCCTCCTTTCTCTGTTATGACTTTACAAAGACAAAGGCAATGCCTCATTCATCCTTGTGCCTCTAGAGCCTGATATGCAGCAGGTGCTCAGTACAAGTGTGTTGTGTGAGTAAATATTACCTTATTCAATAAAAGTAATTGTGCCAAGGGATCAATGTTTCCAGTTTCTTAATCCATAAAATGGATATGATAATTTTTATTGTTGAGAGATTTGAATAAAATAATGCATATAAGTGCTTGGCACAATACCTGGTTTGCTAATTGCTAATTGTTATTATCAGTAATAATGATAATGTATCAGATGGTATCCCCAAATTCTAAACACCAATTTCATTTCAAATAAATTGAACAAACAAAACAATGAACAGTGGCCAGGGTGGACTTCTTTCCAGAGGTATAGTGAAGGGGTGTCAATCCAATCTTGACACAGCTCAGATAATATATAAAGCAAATCTGTATGTAGTCAGGAGTGACAGCAGGGGATGCTGTTTCCTTAATAAAGAGGCAGCCAACTTGCAGCAGCTCCCAGCAGCTCTGATGCAGCATTTGAGAGCTCAGTTCACTTGGAAGCTAAAAGGGCAATAAGTTTCTTGTGGCAGGAACTGTGTAAGTACTGAACAGAAATCTATTGACTGACACTCCACAGTTTGGAACCCTGAATATTCTTTTTGTCTTTGGCTGGTTTTTGGACTGTGGGCTAGTCACTTGCGCTCTCTTGCATTACCAGCATAAAGGGAAGTCGTCCATATTTATGGATGAAAGGAGAGAAGCAAAGAAATAGAACCCTAATATCTCAAGGGACCCTTTGACTGCATTTGAATTCGGCTTCTCTCACCAAGCTGTACTGAGGGGGAGGGAGGAAGGAGAGGAGGAGGAGTGCTGAGGCTGCTTCGGGCTGTCTTTTTCTAATTCCTCTGCCCACAGGTGCATTAAAAAATGCACAGTAGTCATTCAGGAGCAGGTTGTTCAGTTTCCATGTAGTTGAGCGGTTTTGAGTGAGTTTCTTAATCCTGAGTTCTAGTTTGATTGCACTGTGGTCTGAGAGACAGTTTGTTATAATTTCTGTTCTTTTACATTTGCTGAGGAGAGCTTTACTTCCAACTATGTGGTCAATTTTGGAATAGGTGTGGTGTGGTACTGAAAAAAATGTATATTCTGTGGATTTGGGGTGGAGAGTTCTGTAGATGTCTATTAGGTCCGCTTGGTGCAGAGCTGAGTTCAATTCCTGGGTATCCTTGTTAACTTTCTGTCTCGTTGATCTGTCTAATGTTGACAGCGGGGTGTTAAAGTCTCCCATTATTATTGTGTGAATGGGCAAAAACTGGAAGCATTCCCTTTGAAAACTGGCACAAGACAGGGATGCCCTCTCTCACCACTCCTATTCAACATAGTGTTGGAAGTTCTGGCCAGGGCAATTAGGCAGGAGAAGGAAATAAAGGGTATTCAATTAGGGAAAGAGGAAGTCAAATTGTCCCTGTTTGCAGACGACATGATTGTATATCTAGAAAGCCCCATTGTCTCAGCCCAAAATCTCCTTAAGCTGATAAGCAACTTCAGCAAAGTCTCAGGATACAAAATCAATGTACAAAAATCACAAGCATTCTTATACACCAATAACAGACAAACAGAGAGCCAAATCATGAGTGAACTCCCATTCACAATTGCTTCAAAGAGAATAAAATACCTAGGAATCCAACTTACAAGGGATGTGAAGGACCTCTTCAAGGAGAACTGCAAACCACTGCTCAATGAAATAAAAGAGGATACAAAGAAATGGAAGAACATTCCATGCTCATGGGTAGGAAGAATCAATATCGTGAAAATGGCCATACTGCCCAAGGTAATTTATAGATTCAATGCCATCCCCATCAAGCTACCAATGACTTTCTTCACAGAATTGGAAAAAACTACTTTAAAGTTCATATGGAACCAAAAAAGAGCCCACATCACCAAGTCAATCCTAAGCCAAAAGAACAAAGCTGGAGGCATCACGCTACCTGACTTCAAACTATACTATAAGGCTACAGTAACCAAAACAGCATGGTACTGGTACCAAAACAGAGATATAGATCAATGGAACAGAACAGAGCCCTCAGAAATAACGCCGCATATCTACAACTATCTGATCTTTGACAAACCTGAGAAAAACAAGCAATGGGGAAAGGATTCCCTATTTAATAAATGGTGCTGGGAAAACTGGCTAGCCATATGTAGAAAGCTGAAACTGGATACCTTCCTTACACCTTAAACAAAAATTAATTCAAGATGGATTAAAGACTTAAATGTTAGACCTAAAACCATAAAAACCCTAGAAGAAAACCTAGGCATCACCATTCAGGACACAGGCATGAGCAAGGACTTCATGTCTAAAACACCAAAAGCAATGGCAACAAAAGTCAGAATTGACAAATGGGATCTAATTAAACTAAAGAGCTTCTGCACAGCAAAAGACACTACCATCAGAGTGAACAGGCAACCTACAAAATGGGAGAACATTTTCACAACCTACTCATCTGACAAAGGGCTAATATCCAGAATCTACAATGAACTCAAACAAATTTACAAGAAAAAAACAACCCCATCCAAAAGTGGGCAAAGGATATGAACAGACACTTCTCAAAAGAAGACATTTATGCAGCCAAAAAACACATGAAAAAATGCTCACCATCACTGGCCATCAGAGAAATGCAAATCAAAACCACAATGACATACCATCTCATAGCAGTTAGAATGGCAATCCTTAAAAAGTCAGGAAACAACAGGTGCTGGAGAGGATATGGAGAAATAGGAATACTTTTACACTGTTGGCGGGACTGTAAACTAGTTCAACCATTGTGGAAGTCAGTGTGGCGATTCCTCAGAGATCTAGAACTAGAAATACCATTTGACACAGCCATCCCATTACTGGACACATACCCAAAGGACTATAAATCATGCTGCTATAAAGACACATGCACATGTATGTTTGTTGCGGCACTGTTCACAATAGCAAAGACTTGGAACCAATCCAAATGTCCAACAACGATAGACTGGATTAAAAAAATGTGGCACATATACACCATGGAATACTATGCAGCCATAAAATATGATGAGTTCATGTCCTTTGTAGGGACATGGATGAAATTGGAAATCATCATTCTCAGTAAACTATCGCAAGGACAAAAAACCAAACACCGCATGTTCTCACTCATAGGTGGGAATTGAACAATGAGAACGCATGGACACAGGAAGGGGAACATCACACTCTGGGGACTGTTGTGGGGTGGGGGGAGGGGGGAGGGATAGCATTAGGAGATATACCTAATGCTAAATGATGAGTTAATGGGTGCAGCACACCAGCATGGCACATGTATACACATGTAACTTACCTGCACATGGTGCACATATACCCTAAAACTTAAAGTATAATAAAAAAAATAGCAGTTGATCTTCCTGTGGAAATTGTTTTCCAATCTGTATGAATTGAATGGCTCAACTAAATAAATGAAGAAAAATGAAAAAAAAATTCACAAAGACCCCCTATAAGCTAGCAGCAGCTTTCTAGAGCACATCTGCTCTTCATCAGGGTGACTTTCTTTCTCAGGTGGGAATGTTTTCCTGGTTGCTACAAGGCTTAGCCTTGGCCCTGTCCCTATGATTATTAATAACTTAGAGACAGACATAGGAGCTCATTTATCAAGTCTAATGATGCACAATATCTGGTCATCCCTCTCTGATGTCAACATCCTTGACACCTCCTCCAGAAGCCCTCCCTGGTCCTCTGGTCTAGTTTAAGTGCCCCTCTATGCCCTCAGTACAGACATTTTTCTCTACACTCAGTCCCTTGTGCAATTGTCAACTGTTTACTGGCCTGTCTCTTACACTGGACCATGCCACAGATCCTCAAGGACAGAGACCAAGTCATTCATTTCTGTACGCTAAGCCTCAGAACAGGTTCTCAGGGAATGGGCATTGATGAATTAATAAATGAATGAAAACGAGGATTAGGAAAATAACTACTATGCTGAATAATCAATAAGGACCTTAAAAAAGATGATACTCAATTTCAGTTATTGTTGAAAGAAACAAGAGAAAGATTAAATATGAAGTCCTGCTCCCAGTCTTAAGGAATCAGCTTGACAGACAGGCCTAAGGTGGAGAGGGGAGTTGCTAGTAAGCTAGAAGTGAAACCCTAGGCAGAATTAACAGGAGTATAGTGTTCAGTGCATGGATGATGGCAGCCCTTCCCATAGTCCACTCTGGTTTGATCACATCTGGAGTACGAGTACAGGAAGATGAAAAAGAGAGATGCCTTACTGGGCAGGGATTAGGGTAAAGCAAGAGAGGTACCCAGGGTGCAAAATATAAGAAGGACCTCACTCTTGGGATCCTGCAAGTGCAGGTTGGGCACCTGAGACCTACTATCCTTTTCACATGCTGCAACCTGGATGTCTCTCTTGCCTCCCCCTAGTTCTAGCCCTGGGTGCCTTGGAGTTAGCTCTGAGAAGTGAGGTATGTTACATGTTCAAGAGCTGTTTACCCTGAAGAAAGAAAACTCTAAGGGGATCAGATAACAACACCTAGTCAACTAATTGATTAAACGTGTATTTATTGGATACCTACTATATAAAAGGCACTATGCTAGATACTGGGGAGGAATCTTCAATATAAAAAGGAGTAACACAATGCCACTGCCTTCAATGGGTGGAATGCCTTTTACCTCCTATTTATGAACAAACCTTGTAGGATTATCAGTCATAATGTTCTTGTCATTGTTTGGCATGGTGGTCTAGAGCTCTGGAGTCTGACTGCCTTGAATCATAGCCTCCTGGCTGGGAGTATAATAACAATATGACCTTGGGCCAGTTCCCTTCTTTGTAAAATGGGGATAGAGTGTCTTCATAAGGAGGTAATGATGCAATACCTGAAAAGCAGTAGAAGAGCATTTTATGCATGCAGGTGCTCAGTAGGTACTAGTTAGTTTGGTGTTATTATTATTATTGCTGTTTTCGTTGTTACCTTGACATCTTAAGTTGTATTTGTCCCATACTGATACACTCTGTATGTTAAACAGATGGAAATAGAGCTGTCTTTACTGCCACAGAGGAATGTGCTCTCTCAAATATTTTATTGAGACACTCAGACTTCTGTGTCTACATTTCATTTTCTCACTGTTGATAGAGTTGCAGGTAAACATTCCTTTACTATGACAAAAAACCCTCCAGCTAAACAATGGTGATTAATAGCCCCATTACTGGACCTGCTGTGGGGCATG
Source organism: Homo sapiens (assembly GCF_000001405.40). Taxonomy (NCBI): domain Eukaryota; kingdom Metazoa; phylum Chordata; class Mammalia; order Primates; family Hominidae; genus Homo; species Homo sapiens. The sequence continues at coordinate 170,211,681 of NC_000005.10, read as the reverse complement.
GGATAGAGGCTGGGAGAGCTGGATGAACTAAAGGAGACCCAGCCCATTTAAAGATGGACACCACCTTTCAGCTTGGGTCAACTGTTGCATGGGAGATGCAGGCTCTATGTTGCTGTATTTTCTAATTTTTCAAGAAATTTAGACATTCAGATTTCAAAGTAAAGTCTCCTGCATTTTTTTTTCTTTTAGTGTTGGGTCAATTAAAACACACACACTAACAGGCCAAAGACTACATCAGCCTATGGACCATCAATTTTCTTGTAATTCTGGCTTACTTGAAAATCCATCCTTAGCATGAGAATCAAAGACTACCTCTAATTTTCATTGCCTAATTGCCTGGACTCCTCTTACACTCAGCTTCTCATTCCTCTCAAATATTGTAACCTTTTCACCTCTCCACAACCTGTAACTAAACCACCCTTCCTCTCCTATCTTGACAAAAACGTATGCTCATCCTTCAAGGCCCATTCAAATGTCACCTGCTTTCCTCTTCCAGAAGAATTCCTCAAACATGCTCACCTACCGTATTCCTTTTATTCAGTGGTGATGTTGGTTGGCTATTGAGAACAATAAACATCAGCTGCCAATACTGTTCTGTAGCTTGTCTCCTCTTGCTTTCATTTGGAAAGATTCTCATTCTTACCAAATAAAATCTTAGCAGTTAATTATGTATTACATTTAAAAAGCTTTATTATCAAAAACTTTCAAATATACTCAAATTAGAAAGATCAGTATGATGACCTACATATACCATCGTATAGCTTCAATAACTATCAACTCATTACCAATCTTCTTTCATTTATACCTTCCCCAATTCCCTCAACAAAATTATTTTGAAACAAATTTCAGACATTATATATTTTCATCTGTAAATATTTCAATTAATCTCTCTAAAATATAAAGCTCTTATTTATAAAGCTCTTATTATTATCATTAATAGGAAAAATTTTAAATGTATAGAGAGCTATACAGACTACTGAAATGATCCTCCATCTACTCATTATCTGACTTCAACAATGATCACTTTATGGGCAATTCTATTTTATCTATATTCAATTCTTCTCTTTCATAGATTATTTTGAAACAAATTCTAGACATTTCAGTTTGTAAATATCCTTATGTTTCCTTAGAATATAAAGACTCTGAAAATTAAATAATTCACTTGCAAAATAATAAAATTGGACCCCAACCTCACACCATATACAAAAAAATTAACTCAAAATGGATTAATGACACAAAAATAAGAGCTAATACTATTAAATGGAAGAAAACATATGGGCAAATCTCCATGACCTTGGCTTTGGCAATGACTTATAGATATGACATCAAAAGTATGAGCAAAAAGGAAAATAAATAAATTGAGAAATTAAAAATGTTTGTGCATCAAATATCTTCAAGAATGTGAAAAGACAACTTATAGAATGGGAGACAATATTGGCAAATCCTATATCTAATGAGTCTTGCATGTAGAATACATAAAGAACTCTTGCAATTCAATAATAAAAAGACAAACAATCCAATTTTAAGAATGGGCAAAGGACTTGAATAAACATTTATCCAAAGAAGATACAAAAATGGCCAACAAATACATGAAAAGATGCTCAACATCATTAGTCATTAGGGAAATGCAAATCAAAACCACAATGAGGTACCACCTCACACACTCCAGGATGGTTACAATAAGAAAAATGAAAATCTTTGTACACTGCTGATGGGAATGGAAAATGGAACAGCTGCGGATGAAAGCAGTTTGGTGGTTTCTTAGTTAAATGTAGAATTACTGAGCAATTCTACATCCAGGTATATATCCGAAACAATGGAAAATAGGTACTCAAGTACATATACACACATACTCATATTCATAACAGCATTATTCACAATAGCTAAAAGATTGGAGCAAGCCATATGTCCATCAACAAATGAACGGATAAACTAATTGTGGCACACACATACAATGGAATGTTCAGTCATGAAGAAAAGTGAAGTACTGATACATGCTACAACATGGATAAATCTCATACACATGCTAAGTGAAAGAAACCAGGCACAAAGGTCATATGTTGTATGATCCACACAGATGAAATATTCAAAATAGGTAAATCCATAGAGATGGAATGCAGATTGGCGCTTGCCAGGGGAAGTAGGGAGGGGAATAGGGATCAACTGCTTAAAGGGTGTGGGGTTTTCTTTTTTAAAAAAATTCAATAGCTTTTGGGGTACAAGCATTTTCTTTGTGACATGGATTAATTATATAGTGGTAAATTCTGAGCTTTTAATGCACCTGTTGCCCAAGTAGTGTACATTGCACTTTAAGGTTTTCTTTTAAGGTGATGAAAATGTTTTAAAACTAGATAGAGGTGGTGGTTGCATGCCATTTTGAATGTACTAAATGCCACAGAATTGTTTATTTTTAAATGGTTAATTTTAAGTTTTGTGAATTTCACCTGAATTAAAAATTTAAAAACCAATACCATTTTCACTTTAAAAAATAAAGAGTAATTTCTTTAATATTAAATATCCAGTCAGCATTCAAATTTCCCTGTCTTTTTTCTCAAAAAAACAAAAACCAGATTGCTTCAACTGGTATCCAAATAAGGTACATATATTTTGAATGTTTGATATATTTTTATCTCTTTTAATCTATAAATTTCTTCCTTTCTTTTTCTCTTTCAATTTTTTGTAATTGAAGAAACTGAGTCAAATGTCTTGTACTAGACAAATGTCTTGTACTAGACAAATGTCTTATAGATTCTTTTTTTTTTTTTTTTTTTTTTTTTTTTGCGACAGGGTCTCACTCTGCTACCCAAGCTGGAGTGCAGTACCACGGTTCATCGCAACCTCAAATTCCTGGGCTCAAGCAATCCTCCCACCTCAGTCTCCTGAGTAACTGGGTCTACAGGTGTGTGTACCATGCCTGGCCACAGATTCCTAATTTTTCTCCCTGTATCTGTGTGGTGGTGTTTGACATAATCCTTTGTTTCTTGCATTTTCTGTAATTTGACAATTAGATCTAGAAGCTTGACAAGAGTCTGTATTTTGTTCTTTTGAAGAGAAAGTCTACTTCATAGGCACCAACTGTCTCTCTATGGTGACATGAACAGACATAGATGATCATTGACTCGATCCATTAATTCATTAGCTGTGTACAAGATGGTGATATTCTACTATTCCCTCTGCATTTATTAGCTGGAATCCTCTCATACAAAGCAACATCTCCTATTTAACTGTTTGATTATGCAGAGGAGCAGTTTATATGGAAAGAGCAGAATAAATGCTTGATTTTTCCCTTTATTTTACTATCATTTATACTCATGGATTTGAGCATAGTTGTTATTTTTCAATTCTTTGCAATTATTATCTTTATTAAGGCTCACATTGTCCTATTTTTGGTCAGTAGGAGTCTCTCCAGGCTGTCTTCTGAGTCCTTTTGTCACAGACCCGGTGGCCTTGATGGTTCCTTTGCTGTCTGGCGTGACAAGATGGCACATTTCCTGCTCTAGACCTGGAATTCGCTATTTTTCCCAGGCAGCCTTGGTTCATTTTAGTGGTTAATGGCATTTAGAGGCTGCAATCTGAAAAGGCCTGTTTTAAAAAGAGAACCTTATTATCATTATCATATGTAAAAATTGAACAATCGTTCCTCAACATGTGAATCCCATTTAAAATAAATTCCTTCAATGTGATATTTTCAAAGCACTTTCATATAACTTAGTTTTCACACTCTAGTCTCATAACCTAATCTTTAGAATCTATCGTGTGAGGCAATAATACTAAAAATATGTGCCACTCGCCATGTGAGGGGCTTTACATAGTTAGCTCACTGAATACTTACAATACACCAGAATGGGGGGGAATACTACCCCTACCTTGTCTGTTCTATAGACAGGGAAACTGAAGCCCGGGAACACGAAATCACTTGCTTATGAATAGAAGCTTGTGCAGAATGATGTAAGTTACCTAATTCTAGGCCACTTGCTTTTTATTCTGCAATACAAGAGGGATGGCACATATGTGGGAGGCAACTAAGATATACACATAAGTTTTGAAATCTTTAAAGCATCATGTAAATGCATGGTACTTGTTGCTGTTACTTTTGAGTGCTGCTACCATATTCTGCATATGAACAACTTCTCATAAAATCAAGTAGCTTTGGCCCAAATGTAACCGGTCTACCTTTGTAAAAAGTATCATTGTTGCTGGAAATAATACAATTTCACCTTCTACCTTAGAGAAAAGCCTGGGTTTATTTTTGTCTTTTTTTATAGAGGAGTTGAAAGTCAAGGAATCTTAGTGGAATCAATTTTTGAGATTTGTCAGAGAGGGTTGCAAACTGTTTATCAAATTCTCATTGATTTCTTCCCCACAGGAATTGCCGACGACACAGGCAGAATAAAAAGGATTTTCTTTCTGCCTCCTTCTTGCCCTTCTGAACAGATACTTTTGAAACAAAAATACAGAAATAAATACATACATCGATGATCCCCAAGGCTCCGAAGTGACAATCGATAATTTTTCTCTCTTGTTTGAGTTGGCCTCACAGTTCCAATATTTACTTTATTTCACAAACACTTAACATAGTTTTCTCTTCTACTCATTTTGCAAACGCTAACTCACTTAATTCTCTTGTAAAACCTCTGAGGTAGATACTCAGAGTATCTACCCTTTAGTCCCATTTTACAGGTGACGAAACGGAGGCATATAGAGGTAAAGTAATTTGCCAAGGTGGTACGACTAGTCAGTTGTGGCTCTGGGGTCTGAAATCTGTGTACCTGACCACTACGCCACATTACCTCTGCATCCCTGGGCCTCTCCCACTGCGACATTGATGCCCACAGTACCAAACGTAACTGGGACCCGCAAAAAGTTAATTTCAAGACCCAAGAATTACCTTGTCTCACTCAATGTTTCCCACCAGACTTAGCAAAACACACCTGTCATATTCTGAATGCTAGGGAACCAGGAATTCGAAATGATATGCTTTATTTTTTTCCCTTATCAGGTTTGATCTTGACAAAGGAAACAAAAATCTTATTTGTAGAGGTAGATTCTGTTTGAGGACCCCCAGATGCTGTGGTACACGCAACATCTGGCTGAAGAGCCAATTACACTTTGTGTGTTTAGCCAGGTTTCTATGGCAGCAGCCCTCTGAACATCTACGTTTCTTTTGCTTTTTAAAATATGGCTTTAATAATTACAATAGCATAACAAATCCTAATCATTATGGTAAACATTTATCCAGTGTTTACCAGGGCCAGTGACAGTGCTAAGAGCTCCATGTGTCTAATGTTGTTTGATCCTCCAAATAACACTATGAAACAGCTTAGGAAATAAATAAAGCTTAGCTGTATTTTACAGACGTGGAAACTGAAGCATAGAGAGGCTAGGTCACTTGCTTAAAGTCACAGAGAGTTGCAGTTCTTGGATTTGAAACTAGGTCTGTTTGACTGGGATCTGAATTAGTTTTCTAAACTGCCTCTCACATTACAGACTCATGAGCTCAGCTCAAAACTCTCATTCGTTGTGCTTTCAAGGGGAAATTCAGTTTAATTTCAGTGTATGTGTTGCAGAAGCCAGCACAGAAATTCAGCTTAAGATTATTCCTTGGTGCTCTTTCCTTTATTCACTCATGAAAAAAGTGGGGAAATAAGATATCATTCCTGCTTGGTGGACTACAAAGAGCTTATAAGGGAGAGCGATGTGCCATTATAAGGAGATTAAGAAAATCCCAGACAAAGCTAACACCTCGGTGACTGGAAAGCCCATTGGCTTTCTAACTTAGCTTAGGACTCAGTGAATGCTTCCTGGAGGAAGTGGCTTAAAATTCAGCGAAGGCATCCTGGAGGAAGTGGCATCTAGGTTGGGACAAAAAGGGATACACCAGAGTTTAGCAGGAAAAACCCAGTTAGAGCAAGGGGCATTCTGGGAATAGGAAAAATTACTTACCCCAAAAGTGAGATAATATGAGACACTTTCAGAGAAATATAAGAAATGTAGTCCACTCTGAATTGCGGGTGGGGTGGGAGCAGCCAGAGCTGAAGCTAGAGAGTTAAAGACGAGATTATTCTGGAGCCTTATACGCTGTGGGAGAGTTTATACAACGCTGGATTTCTGGTGGGGTGGGGGAAGCCTTCCAAAGATCATTCTGTGATTTTTGGAATTATCAGGAGCTGTCAGCCACAGAAGTCAGCCTTTTGGAACCCACTTAGGAGGCACTGTGGTCTGACGGTGGGACAGGCCATTTGTTAAGGAGGTCACCCTGAGAAAGTCAGAATGCTTGATGATGGCAGTGACAGCACTTGCTCTGTTGAAAATGACTTCTAAATTTCCTGTGGTTGCGGAAAAGCCAGCTGATGTCCCAAGGCAGAGAACCATCAGTGATGCCTTTCTAAAGATGCTTCACCAGAAAATAAGGTTACTGCCCTCATACATAAGAACAGTGCGTGGGACATTGAGTAAAGATTAGAAAATTGGGTGGGCATCTTGGGAAAAATGCAAACTGCAATAGACATTTCTATCTGGTTTATTTTTCTGCTGTGAAGAAAAACTGTTTACTTGTTAGAAATATCGTACTTTTATAGAATTGAAGATTTTGGGCTTTGGACTCAGACAAGTCCCAGTTCCAACCTGGGCTTAGTTAACTGTTTGCTGAGGAACTTGGAGCCAATGACAACCCTCTCTGTGTCCAGGGTTCAGAGGGTCTAAAATGGTGACATACCTACTCCTTAGGATGTTCGGGCCCATTAGCTGAGACAGTGTGCATAAAGTACTTACCACGGTGCCTGGCACTTGACTCAGCCAATGATGGTGAGCCTGAGAACTTTTATCACTCTTTAGGCAGTCACTATACCTGACATTCATATCGTGAAAACGGCAAGTCAGGAAACCTGAATTTCCATTTCCTACTATTGTTGTAAGCATATCACTAATACCATTTTGTGTTAAGACTCTTTATTTTCCACCTAACATTTAAGCATAAGAGCATTCTATTAGTCTGCTTGGGCTTCCATAACAATATATCACAGGCTGGGTGGCTTAAACAACAGAAATGTATTTTCTCACAGTTCTGGAGGCTGGGAAGACCTAAATCAATTCAATTTCTTGTGAGGCAGGACATGTGAAAGCTCTTCCCGGCTTTCATATGGCCGCCTGCCTGCTGTGTCCTCACGTGGCGAAGAGAGAAAGAGAGAGTACAAGCTGTCCGGTGTCTCTTCTTATATGGTCATGGATCTTATGGAATCAGGGCTCCACTCCATAGACTCATGTAAACTTAATTACTTCCTTACTCCAGATACAGTCACAGTGAGGATCAGGACTTCCATATATGAATTTTGAGGGGGACATAACTCAGTCCATAACAAGCATATTCACTGTAGTTGTTATTTTAATACCTCATCAACTGTCTATGCCATAATTTACTTTTGTCCTATTTTTGGACATTTAGGCTATTTTCCAGATTTTTAAAGAATGTAAAGAATACTAGCATGCACATTTTCATGTATTTAACTGTTTGCTTTTTTTCGGATGAATTACTTAGGCTAATTCTAGGAAATATTACCAGCATGCTGAATACTGTGAACATTTTTACAGTTCCTAAGACATATCACCAGTTGCCATCCCAGAAGCTCTTATTTATTCACTTGCCATGAGCACTGAAAGAATGCACCTCCACAATGCTATGGGTTATCATTACCTTTAATTTTTGTTATTTCATCTACACAAAATTATTACTTACTTACTTTATTTATTTATTGAGACGGAGTCACTCTCTGTCACCCACGCTGGAGTGTGGTGGCACGCAACCTCCGCCTCCCAGGTTTAAGTGATTCTCCTGCCTCAGACTTCCGAGTAGCTGGGATTACAGGCGCCTGCCATCACGGCTGGCTAACTTTTGTATTTTTAGTACAGATGGAGTTTCACCATGTTGGCCAGGCTGGTCTCGAACTCCTGACCTCAGGTGATCTGCCCACCTCGGCCTCCCAAAGTGCTGAAATTACAGGTGTGAGCCACCACACCCAGCCATTACTCATTTTATTCCATTTCCTCCATAATGAGTACGATAGAAAATTTTCGGTCTGATTCTTAACGTAAAATCATCTTTATCAATATTAGATATTATCCTTATTTATAATTTTTGCTACTATAGAGGTATACATTTATTTCTCATCTATGCTTATTTCTTTTTCCATAACTGCCAAGATTAACCCAAAAGACAAATACAGGGTGATAATGGGTTTAGTAACCATTGGAGCAACATTTGCTATTCATTTGTTATTCATTTTTAAGGCTATGTGTTCATATTTCAGAGACATGATACCTTGTCAGAGGAGACCAAAAAAAAGAAGATATCAAAGATGTGAAACTTCTGCCCATTACGGAGATGTTTGGACCAGCCCTTTGTGACTTGACAGGTGAAGGTTGTTCATAATAATCTGCTATCTCGTTTTTTCTGTTTCCCCTTCCTCCTCTCCACAGCTCTATTATTGACACATTTTAGTACCTAGTGGCTTTCCATGTTGTGCCATGGCCATTAAGCAACTTTCTTAGGGATACCTTGCACTTGGCATCACTTCATACCACAAATACTCTTCTCTCTTCATTAAGCAGATTTGCTGGGCAATAGGGTCTCAGTTAGCAATTAATAAAAACACTTCAAGCTCCGTCTCCTTAAGATCTGCGTGACAAATAACTCTAATGGCACATGCATTTAAAAACTGGACAGGTGACCGGGTACTGTGGCTCACGCCTGTAATCCCAGCACTTTGGGAGGCCAAGGTGGGCAGATCACGAGGTCAGGAGATCAAGACCATCCTGGCTAACACGGTGAAACCCCGTCTCTACTAAAAATACAAAAACATTAGCCAGGTATGCTGGCACGTGTCTGTAATCCCTGCTACTCAGGAGGCTGAGGCAGGAGAATCACTTGAACGTGGGATGTGGAGGTTGCAGTGAGCCAAGATCGCGCCACTGCACTCCAGCCTGGGTGACAGAGTGAGACTCTGTCTCAAAACAAACAAACAAACAAAAACTGGACAGGTAAATGTGAAAGACTGAATGAGTGATAGTGAAATTTCAGACAGAGGGGAAGAATTAGGGCACAGAGTTGAACTAACCTTGAAGTAGGACTCAGGAAATATCCACAAGCTCATTATACAACAGCTGGCAATTCTCTCTCTTTCTCCTTCTCTTTTAAACATTTTTATTTGCAAATAATTTCAAACTTAGGGAAAAGTAAGCATACCCATTAGATTAATCTATTGTTAATGTTAACATTTCACCCCATCTGCTCTTTCTCTCTTGGCACACACACATGTACATACACACAATTTCTTTTTCTGAGACACACGAAGAAGTTGCATACATCATAGTCTTTCATCCCTGAATCCCTATGAGCTTCCTAGAGAGAAAGATATTCTCTCACATAATCACAGTAGGGTTATCAACAGTCTAAATTCAAAACTGATACAACTCCTTTTATCTGATCTATGATTTACGTTCCAATTTTGTCAGTTGACTGAAAAATATCCTTTATAGCATTTTCTCCTTTAGTTCAGTTTCCAGTCTATGATCAGGCTTTGCGTTTAGTAGTCATGCCTCGTTAATCTCCTTTAATATGGAACATTTCCACGGTTCCCTCTCTTGACATCAGCCTCTCTGAAAAAAGAGGGCATCAGACATATGTGGGTTTCAATCCTGACTTTATCACCTTGGAGCTGAACAACCACAGGCAAGCTACTTCACCTCCCTGAACCTCAGTCTTCCCATCTGCTAGATGGGAATAGTAATATAATGAAATGTGGTGAGAAGTCAGTGAAATCATGCACGATCTGAAGGCACCAAGCAAGGTGCCTGGAACCTAGTAAGTAATCACCAAATTCGATTCATGTAATAAACGTAATATAATTAGTTCTGGTTCTGTCACTTATTTGCTGTATAATCTTGTGAAAGTTGCTTTGCCTCTCAGAGACCTAATGTCCTAGGTTGTAAAAGTGGGGCTTTTCATACCTTCTTCCTGGGATTGAAGGAGATAAACCAGGTAAGGCATCCAGCTCAACGCTGGTGCATGGAAGTGTGCAGTCAATGCTAGTTCCCCTTCCTCTTGCAAATGCTGACTAGCTTCTTAGCAATAAGGCCTCCATTTCCCTTATCAGTGTCCCTTTCATACAGAATTCTCAAAAGGGAAATACACACTTTCTGAACATTAACTACAGGGGCAAAACCCTTACAGGAGGTGCTATCATGTGAGAAGCTCTGAACATCCAAAGATGATAGCTCTTTAAAGGGGAAACCAGAAACTTCACCCTCCCCATGGATGTTTTTACCAAGTGTATTTTGGAATAATCTTTTCTCTGTTGGTCAAACAAACGGCCCTTGTAGGTGTGGTGGGTGTGGTGGAGGTTTGGGGAGTGGGGTGCTGGTGTGCCCAGAGTGGCCATGATTCATTGTTGATTGAAATTAGACTGTGGGCATCCATGTGACCTTTGTGTCATCATGGAAACTCTGATGAGAGTGACTGCCCAAAACAGAGCTCTCCAGGGCTCAGCACCCTCCCTCCTGGAATGTGTCCCAAGGTCTTTCCAGGGCAAGTCGGGCCTCAGCTCAGTGTCACCTCTCCAAGGAAGGCTTCTCTGGGCTCTGCATTTGATGTTGACTTCCTTGTTTTAATGTCTGCTTAGCACTCTCTGGTCTGGCCTATCTGTTTATCTGATTCTTTTGTGTTTCCTCCATTATCTGTAAGCCCCAGATGTCAGGGAAGTTGCCTGTGTTACTCTCCACTGAATGCCCAGCCTAGGTCATGGTGGTCATCAATTTCATTGGTCACCAATATCTGTTGCTTCAATAAATGAGTCCTCTTCACCCTGTTTGCTCTGTGATAATGAAGCCCAGTGAAGGTCTTGAGCCCCATCATGACTTGAAGGGTGGATTGTGAGAGCTCAAGAGTATGTCTGTGGAGGATGCATTAGGACTGAGTTGGGGGGTCATGACATTTGATCCCTGAAAGCAAGAAAACAGCTTCCACTCTCGGATATGGTTTCCTCTTTTCTTTGATTGCAACTGGTTGTCATGATCCCTCCAGTCCATCTTGGGTGCAGAAACCCTGGGGATTGCCAAAGGCTCCTTTCTGAACCATCTTTTCAAACATGCGGGACATTCCCTGTCCAAGTGAGCTGCAAGGACAAAATAGAAATTTGTGGATGCAAAATGAGATTACTGATGTGGTTGCTGAAACTTATAAAACTCCCTCAGTGATAGGGGTTGTGGTGGCCTGTAAAGGGGATAATGATGACACCTTCAAGCTCTCCTTTTATACCACACAGCCGGTGGAGTCAGGACTTAGGTTCGAATCCAGTCAAGCTATATACATCTGTGTGACTTGGGCAGACACTTTTCCTCTTTTAAGTATCAGTTTCCTCACCTGTAAAATAGGAGTGATAAAACCTACCAAACCTGTGAGATGTCCCCATGACAGAGCACCCAGCACAGGCCACGTAAGGGCTTTCCTGATGTAAGCTTAAGCAGGACAGGCTCGGGCTCAGGACTGAGGCCTCTGGAGCCACCCTCCTACAGGCTGGGTGGCCATGGATAATGTGCTTCACCTCTCTGAAGTCTCGGTTTTCTCACCTGTAAATTGGCCGTAATAACACCTAGGGTATATTTCCTAGGGCTATTGGGAGAACCAGTTAGAATATATTTTTCACATAAAATGTCATTCAGGTAATTATGGCTGTTTAAAGCCTTATAAACTTAGATCTTGCCCTTGTAGACAGAAATGAAACAATTGCTGTGACTGGGTCTGATATCATAGCCAAACCCCTACACAAAACAACAGACTTATCATTCAAACAAATCAGTGAAAATAATTGGTCTTGTAAGTTGTCAATACCCTGTGCAACAAAAGCATTGGTGGAATGACCTTGAGCATTAAGGGGGAGTTGTAGGGATATCTTCTAGAGAAAAGATGGAGTTGTCACCTCCCATGTGCTCTGCTACATCTTCTCTTTAACTTTTCCCTTTGCCCAAAGCAACATGGACCATCTGTTTAATCAACCTCCACCACAACTCCATTCCCCAGTAAGCCAAGTCAGCAACTACTCAAATGCCTCATTCTAAGATGTGCTGATGGAGTGTGGCCTGCCTCAGAGGGTCTCTCCCTTCAAATAGGTCTATATTGTCTGGTTTGTTTGTGAACAGAGCCAGGTAGGTGCCGTGTGGCTCAGAGAGGTGGCTGGAAGTGACCTTCCATGACTCAATTCCACAGGTTTGTTTGCAAGAACACAGACACACGAGTGGCCACTGACAATATGTGTTCCAACATTATATACGGGGTATATTTTGCTCAGAAACATGCCCTGTTAGTTGTTGAAACCTTTTTTGCATTCCCTGAAACAAACGACACTATGGTGTATTTTCTTTTGGGGGGCAGTAAATAAAAGTCTTTTATGTTGACAATGATAATATTATATTCTACAATCTATTTGCATTTCTCTATCCTGTGGATTTTATTGCTTAGTATAAATCCCCAGGCTGAGGTGCATTAAGCTTCACTCAGAGAGAAACAATGCATTTTATCATAGGGCCGGACAGCTATATGCACAAGATGCTACCTGCAGAGATTGGTTTTTGCCCAGATGTGCAGGAGAGATGCACAGAGAGGAAGAAATGCATACATGTGTGCAGGTTTTGGCGTGTGCACAAGAAGCCTGGAAGGATTTTCTTTGGATCTACAGTCAAAATGGATTTCCGAGAGGAAGCTGTCTGAAAACACACCTCTTCCCTGTGCTACATACGGTCCCATCTCTGCCAGCCAGGTTGTCAGGAAAGTGATCAGCACTGGCTTCAACTCTGGCTAGAGCTCTTTGGCCAATGTGATGGGCAGAAAACTGGAATGAGGACAGAAAAGCACCTCAGAGGTTTGAAGAGTCTAGTCTCTCACCACCTTGCTGTAGGTTTTCTGAATACTTCTGAGTTTAGGAGCATTTTTTCTCAACAGGCAAGTCAGGAGCTGCTAAGATAAACCATGGCAGTAAGCTCGAGCCAGTGTTCGTATTTGCCATTGATCGGCCACCAAGTGCTTGCTATGTGCCATGCATTGTGCTAAGCACTATCTCATTTAATATTTACAGCAATCTTATGAGGTAGATGCTACTGTTATCTCCATTTTACAGATGGGGAAACTGAGGCACAGAGTTCCACAGCTGGTAACTTGAGGAATAGGAATTCAACCACTGGAGAGTCTGGCTGGAGTTTTTTGTGGTAGGAGAAAATATGCTGTCTAAATTTGCCTTGGGAAACCATCATGGTGGTCACAAAACCACTTCTACGGCTTGCCTTGACCTAGCAGGAATGAAGATGTAAAGAAAGAATGAGCGCGTCATGGTTATGATGGGATGATGATGTCTGTTGTGTTGTTTGGTGTCAGTTTCTGTAACGCCTTTCTATTTCAATCAAGGCTATTATCTTTTCCTCTGTTTTAGTGAAGTTTCCTTGAAGTAGAAAATGGGAGTGTATTGGGCATCTCAGAGTTTTCAGCTGAACTGAAGGGTCTGATGGTAACTTTACCCCCAAATCTCTGAGAGAAAAGCAGGGAGTCCCTGCTTCAGCTCTGCTCAGAAGAGCCTCCCTCACATGGTGGTTTCTGTGTCACTAGACTGGTTAACCAAATGGTTCTTCTAAATACCCAACTTTTAATAGAAACTCCTGCGGCTTGGATTATTAAAGTCCTAACATGCTTATTTAATCGTGTTTCAAGTCCATCTATCTTTTTTGAGTCTAAGGAAGACTCACTAGGTCAGAAGGAGTAGAGGGAAGAGGATTAATACATGATTTTCTTTTTCCCCTTTTTCTTTTAACTTAGGCTGAGACTTATTTGAATGCCTGTTTCATATGGAGCTTTTAAGTGTAACAGTTGTGAGTGAAATTGCCCCTTTTCAAGGTAATTGAATTCCATTTTTCACTTTCCATTTCCCTCTAGAAAAATCAAAACGTTTTCAGAGCTTGGCTTCTTAGTGGGTGATTTTCTAAGGTGGGAACTTTAGAACCATAAAACATTCTAGTGTGGCAAAGGCATTCAGGAACCGGATGACCAGGCCCCTTCTCCGCAGGTGAACAGCCTCCACCAGCCGGTCTTGGAGAACATATTGATTTCACTGTGTTTTTATTTGAAACACCAAAGGAATGCCCATATCTTGTCCTTGGGCCAGGGCTGTGGGTTAGGGGAGCTGGGTTTCTGTCCAGAATCTTGTCATCTGTAGGGCAGCTGAGGGGCATTATTACCCAGAGGTCCCTGGAAACCTGTGCTAAATTGGTTTGGATCAGTGTCCGTGAAAATGTTGGACAAAGGAGAGTCGATTTTAGCTGACACCTGGACACGACTTTAAATAACACTGTATCACGGAGCAACACAATGTCCTCCCAACTCTTTTTCGGTCTTTCCGATTATGTTAGGGACAAAGTCTCAGTTTGGTGCTGTTGTGGTCGAACTATCTTCTCATCTCTGTTTTTTAAAGTCAGGCAGATCAAGCCTTACTCCTAGGGCTTTAGAAGGTAATAGTTTCTGATTTGGATTTAATCACATTGTTTTATTTCCTTTTTAACATTTTTATGACAACTTTTGCTTTATAGCAGTTTTAAAGGTAGGAAAAAATTTTCGTTTGAAAACAAGTTGGTTTGAGATGTTTTTCACTCTTACATAAAAGACCCACCTTCACAGCGTATGAGCTTCTAAAGTTGGGGAAGCAGTGGCTTAGGTGGGCAGGCAGGAAATTCAAGCAGGTTGGTTTCTGCCAAAGTCAGAGATGATTGCCACTTACTGGAAGGCTGTGTTGGAACAGAGTGGGCACAGGCATTGGGAGCAGAGCTGATTTCCAATCTTCCTGCTGCCCTCGCTGCCTGTGTGTGCCGTGGCCTTCTTGAGCTTTAGTTTTCTCACCTGTGGAACAGGTTTCATGAGCAGTTGGAAGGAAGCAAATGAGCTTCATTTTCTACAACAGGGTGGGTGGTGTAGTTGATATTCACCCCAAAGGTGCAGGATCCCCACTTCTGTTTATTGCCAGCGCTCCGAGTTTGCTTCTGCATGGAAGGGGAAGATGGACTAGAGCTGATACCTCCTGCACCCTGGTGAAGAAATGCACCCTGAGGCCAGAAAATAGTACAAACCCATCTGGCTGCAACAGTCCAGCAGCATGAAGATCAAAGTCACGTGTGAGTTTTGTGCACGGGCAGCCTTTCCTCTTCTCAGGCTGCAAATCTTTGGCAATCGGAGGCAGGCTCTGAATTAAGCTTAATTAAAATTCACTCTTAATTAGGGCCATTACTTAAAATCAATTCTACATAATAAAGCTGTGTAATCATAATTAAGCCCCAGAAATGGGATTAGGAAGCACAGAATGCAAAAGCCAAACATGGGTGAGCCTGGTGCTGGCAGGGGCAGTGGCAGAGACTTCTCGAGTTAACAGAATTTTTAAATAGCCAAGGCCCCGTGAGTGCTCTGATGAGAACCTGGGTGGCAGGCAGCACAGTGAGCTAATCAGAAAAAGGATTTGAGATGAATGGGCCCCGAGAGGCAAAGCTCCATGGTGTGGTGTTACTGGCAAGAGAAAGGAGCGGCATAAAACAGAGGGGACCAGATGAGTCTCCTCTCCAGGCCCTGTTTCCCCAGCTGTGAAATCAGGGTGGAGGGCAGCTGTTTCCCAAACAAGGATGTCTCTAATGACTGTCTGCAAACTCAGGACCCCTGATGTGGGGCTCTCTTGAGGGGATTTCATGGCAGCAAAGTCAGGATCGATGCCATCTGCTCGTAGCATGACAGGGGTCCTGTGGAGTTGAGTTTTGTAGTTGTTGGCATCATTGAGGTGGTGGTTGTCTATTTTTTAACTAATGAAGGGGGGGGGTGTGAAGTAATATTTGACAATCTCTTACTTCCACACTGATGAGCACATAACAATTAGGAGCTTGGTTTTGGAATGAGCCAATCAATTTTGAATTTTAGATGTGCCAATTATCGGCCAAGTGGTCTAGGGCAATATTTACTTCACTTTTCAGTTTATTCAACTGTTGTATGAGATTATAATAATAGTAGATACCTTGAAGGTTGTTCTGAGAATCATGCATATGTGTATAGCGCAGTGCCTGCCAAATAACAACTAATTTTATATTGTTTCAATGTATTTATAGTGTTAATTATATTTACATTTTGAATTGGCTGTGCATCAAGCACTGTTCTGTTTTATATGTATGAGCTAATTTTATTTTCACAATCGCTCTGAATAAGCATTATTATTTTCTCTGATTTCTAGATAAGGAATCTGAGGCTCAGAGAGGTTTAGTTCCTTGCTTAAGGGCGCAAAGAAAGTAACTAGCAAATAATAAGAGCCGCATAAATAATATTATTATAAGGATACTATCTATCTGTATGTGCTCAGAAGCTACAGTGAAATCCCCGGGGAAGTGGCTTACCTGTACTCATCCCCCAGAACGCAAGCCTGTGCTTCTAACCCTGCCAGAATAAGGCCAGGCATTTGAGTTCAGAGCGAAAGGGTCTACCAGGTGCGGATTCCGGAGCTGTGGAATTGGAGCCGGGAGGGAAAGCCAGAGAGAGCTCCTCCCCATATCTGTTTTTCTTTAATTATTTTATTTTGTTTTATTTTATTTTATTTTATTTTACTTTACGTTACGTTACGTTATGTTATTTTATTTTAGAGATGGAGTCTCTCTATGTTGCCCAGGCTGAACTCAAGCTCCTGGGCTCAAAGGATCCTCCTGCCTCCATCTCCTGAGTAGCTGGGATTGCAGGTGCACGCCACCATGCCCAGCTCCGTATCTGTTTTTTGATTTAGTGTTTTAGTTCAGAGGGTGCCTCACACCTCTCACGTCACATATGTGAGTGCTAACTGTGTGCCTGATGCTGAGTTGGCCTGGACATACACTATCTTATTTAGTTTTTACGACAGCCCAGAACGTCAGGAAGTATCACTCCCATTTTGCAAATGAGGAAACTGAGGCTCAGAAAAGCAAAGCTCGTTGACAAAAGTGAAATATATCATTTGACCCCAAATTGGCACAGAGCTGGAAATTGGGTTTTCAATCCATTTCATCAAACACTATGCAGTTCCAGAAAAGTTGCTCAGGCTGGGGTGCCTCCCAGACTCTGCCTCTGCTCACAGCCAAGTCAGCTCAGCTCAGCAGGAAGGATCTTTTTTTTTTTTTTTTGAGTTGGAGTCTTGCTCTTATTATCCAGGCTGGAGTGCAGTGGTGCAATCTCGGCTCACTGCAACCACCTCCTCCAGGGTTCAAGCAATTCTTCTGCCTCAGCCTCCTGAGTAGCTGGGATTGCAGGCGCACACCACCACGCTCAGCTAATTTTCTCTATTTTTAGTAGAGACAGGGTTCCACCATGTTGGCCAGGCTGGTCTTGAACTCCGGACCTCAGGTGATCCGCCCGTCTCTGCCTCCCAAAGTGCTGGGATTACAGGCATGAGCCATCATGGCCACCCAGGACTTCTCTACAATTAGATTTAGAACAAAATATGCCTTGGTGCTGGAGATGTCCTGCAGTTCACATTTCCCAGACAGCCTCAGGCCTATGCAGTGATTCCCTCAGTGGTATCCATTCTGCTTACATGCCTCCAGTGAGGAGGACATCACCTCTTACTAAGCTAAATTCTCACTTTCTTTGACAGAGTAGAGCCAGAGAGAAATTTGCCCTGGGCCTAATATTCATGAAGCCTTTCCAATTCAGACTCGGTATTATTGCCAAGTCGGTGTGTTTGGGTGAGTATATGTTGAAAGCATTAAATTGTTAAATGCAGAAGTTTCAATTGTATCACAATTTTTGCAAATCTGTATTAGAATTTCCTCATTTGTTAATATGTCAGGAACATTAATTGAGAAAGAAAATAGGATGGGGTCTGGTCCATTGTCCATGCCTGCGGGTCCTGAGAGTTAGCAAAGACATTCCTCGTTGAGCTCAGATTTGTACGTTTGTGACATTTCTGCTCCCTGGCAAGGGTCCAGAGAGGATTGGCTCAGGGAAGGCATCTTGTGCCACTGCCACCTTTGACTCAGCTGTGTGGGAATGAAGGGAAGTCTTACTCGGATAAGGAAGAGTACACCATTACTGCCCAGTGCCAGCCTGATGCAGCCAAGGGCCCTCCAGTGGTTGGGAGGAGGGCAAATGGTGGACAGTAGGGGACCTGGTGGCCAATTCAGGTTTCCTAGGATCCCAGAGGGTCTGCTCTGTAAGCAAATGGTGACCACTTCCTTGTGCTTGCACTAGGCACCCTGCTACACAACTCCAGGGGGCACCATTCCCATGGTATTTTATGTCAGTGCCTCTCTGTGGGGTTGTGCTACACGAAGCCCCTGAGGCAAACCCCAGCTCCAGAGAGCTGAACCCCACATGGAAATGCTGGGCTCCCGGTGCCCACAGACCTTGACTGCTGACCAGAGGAGGCTGCCGGCCCTCTCCCTGCACAACCTCTTTGTCCTTCAGCAAAAGAGTATTTGCCTCTATTTACACTAAATAGAGCCAGCTCCGCTTGCTGGTTCCTGTATTTTGGGCAAGCCGAGCTGGAGGCCCCTGAAGCCGGTCTGAGCAGGCAGCCGCGTGTCCTGGTGGTGGTCATGCAGATGGCTCTCCAGGCCAGGTCCTCCTCCAACAACGTTTACTAAACACCTTATCTCCCTGAAAACACGTGACGTAATGTTTATGAAACATCACCCTGTCCCTTCCACCAGGCGGTGGGGGAGCCGGGGGGCACTCCCTTACCTTCCTCGCTTCCCTCTGCCTTCTTCTGCTCCCCTCATTTGGGTGAAAAAGTACGCTGGGTCTTCCCTCACTGCAGGCCTGAGCAGAGAGCAGCACCCTCCATGGGCCTTTCCAGGCCTTTCCATCGGCGCCATGTCTCCACTTACCAGGGCACATTCACCGCCCCCAGGAGTGTTGTCGGCCTCTTTTTACACAAGAGGAAACAGGCTGAGAGCATCAGTGGGTTGGTGGTGAGCTGGGGACCCAGGCTCCTACCTCCTAAAGCCCCCTCTGAACTGCTGTATTTGGGATAACTACCCATTTAAACATTCCTGATTTTTCTGCAGATGGATGACTGGGTGGATCAACAGCTAGTTATATACACACATAGAAAAAAGATAGCTGAACACACGAATAGGTGGATAGAGATGATTGTGTGAGTGGATAGATAGAGAGGTGTCTGTGCAGACAATTCTGGAAGAAAACAGGAGAAACTGTGGGCAACAGCTGCCTCTAGAAGGGAATAAGTCGTCTGAGGAAGAGAGAGAGAAAGAGAGATGGTTTTTTTCTTTTTTGCTCTCTCTAAACTGTTGGGATGTTTTTTATGTGTATCAATTAGTTTTTAAAAATCTCTTTTTCTATTTTTTGCCCTCTATTCCTGTGTGTCTACCTACAGGAGAAATCAGAAGCCAACACACTAGAAAAGTTGCAAGAGATTCCTAGGGGAACCCACAAATTCAGTTCCTTGCCAGAAACCTGCTCCTCCAGATGAATCTAGTGCATCAGATGGGCTCAGAAGCACAGGTGGCGCAGGCAGACCTCTACTGAGAAGAACAACAGTGGAAGGCAGATGAAACTCACATTTTGGAGTCTGAGAGCCATGCGGGCCCACCCCAGTTACGTCTACCCCTGGTCGGTGACCAGAGAATCCTTTAGCAGCAACAGCAGTGATGTTTATTTCACTGGTATGTATAAAGCGACTGATTGAAAACAAGCTGTATGCCCAACAACTTGGAACTGGTTAAATGATTTTTGGTTCAGCCGCACAGTGGAATATCATGCGGCCATTAAGAATAAATAAAAAATCCTATACTTTCCATGTTCAACTTTAGACTGCAAACAACTGAAAAAACACCTTCATAATTAGGCTTCCTCAGATTAGAACGTGAAGTCAAATCAACGTGTGTCAGAAAGTTAACAACAGCTAACTGTTTGTTGTGGTGTTCTGAGTAACTTGTATTATTTTTCAGTTTTTTTCCCATTCCTAATGTGCAAATGTACTATTTTTATTGTAAAAAAAAATACATGTTTGTAAAGAGCAATAACATAAATCTCTGCATAGGCAAATTGAAAGGAAATCAGACAAAATGATACCTTTTGGTAGTGGAATTCTAAATCATTTTTTTCTTCATTAGAGTTTCTGAATTTTCTGCATTTGATATGTTTACCTTTATAAAGGGTCAATCATATTTAAGATGATTTTTTAAAAGACAAGTGGACAGGGAAAGAGAGGTCTGCTGTTGCAAAACCAAAGCTGGAGGCTCTCCGAAGCCCACTTATGTTAGTCAATTGATATTTCATGAAACTCTAGAATGTGCAAATCACTTTCCACGGGGATTGGGGGGGTGAGAAATACAGAGATGAAGGAGATGCAAACACTTTAATCAAAGAAATCCGTCTGGTTGGGAAGAGAAGGTTCTGCATTATATAAGTTGCAAGGTCTTATCCAAGAGGTTAGTCTGTCAAGAGTAATAGCAATAATTACACAACAATATGTCAGAGAGGCTGGGAGCTCCAGCTTCAAAGCCACCTTGCCTGGGGAGAAACTTAACCATATTGGGCCTGAGCCTCAGTTACCTACCTCTTCTGTAAATGTAAACTACCTCTTGGGGTCCTTGTGAGGATTAAATGAAACTTGAGCCTAAAGGGGCTGAGCTAGGTGCTTTGCAAATAACCCAACCTTAGCATGAGGCACGTTATCATCATTACGGCTGTGGTGTTTGTGGTCACCTATCTGCAAGTCACGCTTTCATAGATATGGCTGAGCTGGGATTTGAACCCACATTGATCTAATTCCAAAGCCAATGATTCCACCCCAACCAGACACTGCATTTACTCTCTATGCCTAACTGAAATTTGTTCTAAACCTCACCCTAAGGTCTTGCCAGAAAGAAAAGCTAAATTTTCATTAAAAGATGAAAGGAGAAATGAATCTGTTTCAAAGGACATGAGAGGAAGAAGGAAATATCCCTTCATGAAGGATTTTGCAACTTTGTCCATGCTTCTGCAGGGTGTAAAAGTAAAAATCCTATACTTCCCATATTCAACGTTAGATTTTAAACAACTGAACAAGCACTTTCACAATTAGCCTTCCTCAGATTGGAATGCGAAGTCAAGCCAACGTGTACCTCTTACTGCAGAAGATTTCTGCACTGTGAATGTGATAGGATTTGCCTCCTTAACCAGAGGGTGCTGGTTTTTCCTGGCTGGAGGGTAGAAGGTCATGAATAGAGGACAAAGCACAGGGAAGGGGCAGCATGTCGGGAAGAGCCCCAAGGATCTCAGTATGAAAATAAAGAGGTGTGAGCCAACTGCCCATAGGTTTGGGCTATGAGTCTGGGGAAACTGTTTCAAAATCAATGGAGGCCCAAAGGCAGAGGGAAAATTCTGTGTATGGACTTCCATGTCATTCAGAAATGTTAACTCCTTGAAAAGAGTTAATATATTTTTTTCTTTTTTAAACATTTCAATAGGTTTTTGGGGAACAGGTGGTGTTTGGTTCCGTGGGTAAGTTCTTTAGTGGTGATTTCTGAGATTTTGGTGCACCCATCACCTGAGCAGTGTACATTCTACCCATTGTGTAGTCTTTTATCTTTCACTCCCCTCCCACTTAGAATAATGTTCTCCAATTCCATCCAGGTTGCTGCGAAGGACATTATTTCATTCCTTTTTATGGCTGAGTTGCATTCCATGGTGTATATATATATACCACAATGTCTGTATCCACTCATTGATTGATGGGTATGCAGGCTGGTTCCATACTTTTCCAATTGCGAATTGTGCTGCTATAAACATCCATGAGCAAGTATCTTTTTGGTATAATGATATGTTTTCCTCTGAGTGGATACCCAGTAGTGGGATTGCTGGATCAAATGGTAGTTCTACTTTTAGCTCCTTAAGTAATCTCCACACTGTTTTTCATAGTGGTGGTACTAGTTTACATTTCCACCGGCAATGTAAAAGTGTTTCTTCCTGTCCCTCTGGTCATCTGTTTTTTTAAGGGATCTACCTAAACTCAACCATAACCCATTCCATCCACCTCATCTTGCCTCAAGCTAAGAAATAGGAGTGCAGAGAAGAAAACAGTACAGATAAGAATGCTAGAAGGTTGTGTGTTTGAATAAGAAGGAACATGGATCAGGTTTCAAGTACAGTACCTGAGGCAGGTATGAGGTAGTAGCTAATGGGGTGAGGTAGGCAGAAAAGGCTTCTAAAGAAGCAGGTACTTGAGTTGGGTCTTCAAGGCCATAGTGAGTGGTTTCCCGGTGGATCTGAGAAAGGAAGGTGAGTTTAGAGAAAGGGAAGAGCCCGCAGTGAGGCATGAAAATGTACACTGTGCCTTCAGCGAGCTTGGTGGGTGGCAATGTCTGGATCCAAGTGCGTGTGGAGGAGACTTTGCACAATAAGGCCACTAGGCAGGTAGGACGGCCCCCAGAGGGTTTTGGCTGACAAGCTGAGGGACATGCTATAAGGGTAGGGGCCAGGGGAAGAGATGGCTCCCTGGCAGTGGGTCCCCTGTGTGCTCGGCAGCTCATGGATAACAGAGGATAACAGGCCTGTACCTCCATATTGCCCAACATGTTATCACATCTTCAGTTTGGAGAGAAGAATTAAATTCGTCTAAGTTTATAATTTACCAGATGACTTTGGATAAGCACATATTTGGAACCTCAGATAATTCATCCATTCATTTGCTCATTCAGAACAGTTCTTGCGCATCACTTTATATTCAGTGCTGCTGAAGTTTCTTTGGGGGCTACACAGGTTAGTAAGGCTTGGTTTTCATCTCAGGAACCTTATAGCCAGAATGAGGGAGAGGTGAGTACTAACTCCACAGTGTTATCCCAGTCGCTACTCATTTCCCTTACCACCACGCCTTCAAACACTTCAGTGTACTTTCAGCTCTCAGGAAAAATGCAAACTTTCATCTGGGCCTAAGAATCTCTATATGAACTACCCCTGCTCACCTCCGGAGAGGCATCCCCTTCCACCACCCTCCCCTCCTTCTTCTCTATCCTCATTGCTCCTTTCAATGGTCCTGACAGGATCCCTTTCAGCCACAGGCCCTTAGCAAATGCTGCTCTCACGGCCCAAGTCATCTTCCCTGGTTCATGCCTACTTCGGATTAAAGTTACCCCTCCGGAGAGTGTTCCCGATCAATCTGAATTGACCAAGTCCTTATTACACACTCTCAAACTCCATGAGATGTCCTTCATAGCTCTCATCCCAGTTATAATTAGTTTGCATTTATTTACACAATGGCTGTATTAATTTCTGTATTCTCCACCAGAATGAGAGCTTCATGAGAGCCAGGATGTGTGTTTTCTCAAAATCTGCTTTATTGTGGTCTAATTTGTGTATAATAAACACACCCATGTTAGGTGTACCCATCAATGAATTTTTAGAAATTTATTAAAAATGTCTATATTTGTGTAACCACCAGCACGGCAATCATATACTGAACATTCCCATCACCTGAAGAGGCTCCGCGGTACCTCTTCTCAGTCTGTCCCCACCCTCAGACAACCACAGATCTGCTTTCTGTCCCTATAGACTAGGTTTGTCTTTTCTGCAGCGTTGTACGAATGGAATCATATGGCAGGCATTCTTTTGTGCCTGGCTTCCACCACTCAACATGGGGTTTTGTGCATCATCTGTGCAGTGTGTATTAGTAGTCTGCTCCTATTTATTGCTGAATGATACTATTTTCTGAGTGGCTCATGGGGGTTACCTCTGTCTCTTCATGCAAGCCATCAGCTTCCTGGGGGCAGGGGCCACATGTGCTGATACTCTGACACTTGTTATGAGTCTGACACATAACCGACCTTTGAGGGTGGCACAGTCCATCTTCTCTGACCCAGGGGGTGGGAGTGACTCTGTCCCCACACTCAACAGTCACACACAGCAGCCCTTCCCCCTTCCCTCCAAACCTCACAAGTTAAACCTCTGGGCCCAGCAAGCCCAAGCACATCTGCCTCCCTTCAGAGTCATACTGATGCTTCCAACAGCCACAGGGAGAAGTTCTGGATCGGCCATGGTGATGAGGGGGCAAGGCCAGGTGATCATGGAGGAGTCCCTCCAGCACTGTGAACTTTGATTTCCTTCTTTGTCAAGTGGAGACACCAATACCCACCTCACAGGATCATTAAGGGGGCCCATGTGTGTGAAGGTGCTGTGCAGAGTAGGAAATACAATGTGGTACATTGATGGTCAATTTGATCACTTAATTTCACCCCGTCCTGAGTTAACTGCCTGTGTTACCCTTTCTCTCCTGGACCTTCAGTTTCTGTTCCTGTCAGGTGAGGGGTTGAACTAGAGTTCTCTAAGCTGCCTTCCATCTTGGACCCTCTTGGATTCTAAGTTGTGGAGCAAGAGAGAAGGGGCCTGTCTAGTTTTCCAGCATTGGAAAAATTGGGGTGATTTTTTCGAGAACAACTGACTGCTTTGAAAATTCTCGTCATGGGTAAAGGAAGTCAGCCCCTAGTTTCCAGATCAAGCCAGTGTTTTGCATCCATAGGCCTAAATCTGTAGCTATTTCCAAGCCCATTAGGGACAATAATAGAGCTCCTTATTTCCGGGTGTGCTGGCTGGTGCGACAAAGCATGTCTTTTGCTGGGAACTGGAGCGTTACGGGGGATAAATGTGTCCCAAGTCACTGGCGGAACAGGAACAGCATTTCATTTTGGAAGCCAGTAGTTAAGTTAAAACCACCTCTATGTGGGCCTATTCAACAGAAGATCCCTGGGTACCTACTGTGTGTTAGATGCCTTCCATATATTGTCATTCTCAAAAGCTCTATGATAAGGACATTGGGCCACATTTCAAGATGGAGAGATGGGCTCAGCGGGGCATGCCTTTGCACATTCCCTCAGTCAGTAAATGGCCAAGTAGGGGCCAGAATACCAGGTCCTTTCCACTGTAATAGGCCCTGGACTGGACACAGAGGCTGTAAAAATAATTCAGAGACACTTGAGTTCTTTGTGGCCAAGAAGAAAAGACAATAGTTTAATATTTACTAAAGAGAAATCCAAGAATGTCAGGACATCCATAACTTAACCATCTAATTTAACTCCCTCATTTTACTGAAGGGCAGATGGAGGTCTAGAGAGGTGATCTGACCTGCCCAGGTGACAGGTGGCTGGCCACAAAGCCAGAGCTGTTACCCAGGGCTCCTGACTTCCAGGTTAGAGCTTTTCACTGCTGCAGTGCCTAACTCCAGGGACAGAGACTGGGGGACTGTTGCCAGAACAAGGAAATGGAGAAGTAGGAACAAGGCTAATTCCAAGTCATCTGCCTCCATATTCAGAGTTCAGAGTAAAGAAAAACAGAGTTCCAGGAAACCGTCGGTGGAGACCATTTCATAACCACACTTTTAAAATAGCAAAATACCATGTTCTTTTCCTGTGACCTCCTGCAGACTCAAGGACAAATTTCAGAACAGCCATTTAGTGAGATTCTGGTTCCTTACTCCCGATCCTTGGACACCCTCACTTATTAAGACCCTAAGAGATCCTCACTCATTAAGACCCAAGTACTTCTGAGCAGAAATTCCCATTTTGGAATTTTCCCATTTTTATTCCCAGTGGCACAAAGGACTTCATTTACTATTTTGCCCCAAACACCCTTTGTTTTGAAAGTGTAATCATTAAGTTGTCTTTATTCATCAGTCACAAATTGTTTTTCTCCATTTTATCTTAAAGACAAATAGAAACTTTGGATCAGTGTGAGATGGTCAGGGAATTGATGGTTCTAATGATAGCGGCCCTTGACTGAGCCCCAACCACCTGTCAGGTGTTCTGCTGAGAAAGCACGTGACTGCACTTAGCTCATTTGACCTTCCCAACAACCCTTGGAGGTTAGTACCATTATCCTCATTCCACAAATGTAGGGACCAATGTTGAGAGAAGGCCATCTCAATAGGAAGTTGCAGGGCTGGGGCATCTGAGCCACTGAGCTATACTATACAATTTTCTTAGTCTCTGCAACTTGTTGAGGCCAAAAGAGCACTTGCAGACACATTTGGAACCTAGGGCCCTTGACTGCCTCTGAGCATCCTGAAAGAGTAGGCCTCCTCTGAGAAGCTGAGGGGGCTTAGTTGCTGTAGAGGATGAAGGTAAGATTCAGGTGGATCTCAGCCATTCTGGGAGCACTTGGCCAGGGCCCACTGGGCCCCATAACATTGTGCACAGTGACTGCTCACTAAACCAGGACCCAAGCATCCCACAAGTGGGAAGGGTGGGTTGCACGACACATGAGGCAAGATAGATGGGTTTGCATGCCAGGCAGACACCCATCTGGTCTGAACCCCAGATTCTTTTACTGAAGAGCTATGTGATCTTGGGCAAGGGTTTTCATCCTTCAAGCCTTGGCTTTCTCACCTGTCCAATGGGATCAGTACAACCTACCTCAGTGTTACTTCAGAGGATTCAATGACAGCCGACACTGTCCGATGCTTGGAAGACAGCAGGTGCATAATAATTGAGAGCTGCCATCCTTGCTACTTTCCAGGTGGTGCTCCAAGAGCCCCCTTGACTCCACACCTGAAATATTCTATGTCTGCCTCACCCAGAGTCTGTACTGCACTGAGACTAAGCTGCGACTTTAGACATCTCTTGCACCAGCATCCAGGGCCAGAGCAGCCCTCTGGGCATCACTGTTCCCCACCTCACAATCTGGGTAGTAGCTTGCCTCCTCATGCAAAGACTTGGGGCTCTGCTGTCCAGGACAGTGGTGCTGGACAGTGACCTGGAGACGCTGACAAGCAAATCAGCTGAAGGCAACAGAGAACAGAGAAAATATGGAAGAGAAGCATGGGAGAGAGATGTGGGGAGTAATCTGAACTCCGGGAGGCAGGACGCTGTGGTCAGTGAGGGACAGGGGTCTGGTGTCCTACAGACCTGGGTTGAAAGTCTGGCTGTCCTCTGCATTAATGTGTCTCTCTGGACAAGTCACCAGCTCTCTCTGAGTTTCAGTGCTCTCATGTGTAAAATGAGGATACTAATAGTTCCTCCTTCAGAAGTTTGTTTTTCGGGAAGATTTAATGAGATAATGTATGCAAAGCACAGTACCTGGCTCATAGGACGTGCTCAGTATGACAGCCATGATCATCACAATGATGATTATCTCCTACTAGTCCAGTGATCAGTCAGTTTTCTCAAAGGCTGTGTGTGGGCGGTATCATCATGCTTCCCATTTTACAGATAGGGAGGCCAAGGGGAGGGGCAGAGCCACTCGAATAGGTAGATCCTTTCGCTTGCACGTGCTGCCACCCAAGTGGGTTCTAGCTGGGCTCTGGGTGCTTGTTGGCCAGAGGTGCCATGTGCAGGAGCAGAGCCATTCCCAGCCTTTTGATCCCCTTCCCTCTGGGACTGTCCCACACTGAGAAGAAAAGCTGCAGGAGCTGACCTCTAGGGGGCAGCATGAGCTCTGGAAACTCCAGGCTGGCTGCAGGGACTGGGCTGAGCCGGCTTCAGGCGGGAAAGCAGGTGCATCCAAAAGGTGATCCAGGGAGCCTGGGTAGGGGCTGGCTGGCTGGGTCCCAGGCTGCTTGTGCTAGGAGCTGAGGCCAGGGCTGGGCTTTGAAAGAGAAGGAACCAGAGGGGCACTGAATTAGGATGCTTGGTCCCCTGCCTTGCAACCCTCTCTCCCCACTATTTCTGTTCGGCGAATAGAGGCTGAACATGGCCAGGCAACATGGGGGATTGAGTGGGACGCATTCCCAGACCTTCAGGGAGTGAGGGAGCCTGGTGCAGCCTGGGAAGTGGCAGGGTGGGGTGTCATGCTAGATGGCATCTGGCTGAAAGAGTATTTCCCAAGCCACTAAGGGCCACGCAGAGCCCAGGACAGGTCTTAGGCCTGCACTTGGGCCCCTCTGGCCTCTGCTCACCTTGGGGCCCACTGAGTGCCCTGTTTCTAGGCCCTTCCCAAGTCCCTGAGTCAGAATTGCTGTCTTTTTGACCAGAAGTCCAGAGGATTTCTGTACAGGTTCCTATCTAATAACTGTGCTGATGACAAAAAAACCTGATAGAAGGGCCAGGAGGGAATATTGGGACTATGTATTGATCAATCCTTGCTAGGCCCTGGGCTAAGTGCTCCACAGATATTGCTCTCTGCATTTTCCCCTTCCTGACAGTCCTTCACCTGCTCCTTATGACGATGGAATGCACTGGCTCAGAGAGGTGAAGTAACATGTACAAGGGCACACAGCTGCCAGACCTGAGGCAGATCAGAACCCAGGGCCATCTGGTTCTAAAGCTTGGGAGCTTTCACTCCCAAGTAACTGGGTATGGGGCTGGAGAGGGCAGCAAGGCTGGCACCTGGCCCACAGCCTAGGAAAGAAGCTCGGATACCCCTGGCCTTCAAGAGTGGTGCCTGTCACAGACCCTGCCCCTTGCATCCTGGCATTTGTTGAACACTGAAACCCGTAAAACTTAAAAAAAAAAAAAAAAACAAAACAAAACAAAACAAAAAAACCCCAAACAACAACAACAAAAAACTGGTTAGACAGAAGAGCTAAGCCTTCTGTTTTCCCCTCCACCCTGGCCTCTTCCAGAGATGGCTCAGCCCCCCTGTTCAGACCAGAGTCCACATGGCTCTTGTACCTTGAACATTTTGGCAGGAAAGGGGCTGAGAGTGGGAGGAGAAGGGCTGGGTTTGAGGATCCCTGGTAATTCTGTTTCAGACTCCTTCAGCCTGTCAGATGCTGGGCCTTCCAGTTCTGCTTCCCTTTGCCCTTGGATTTTCAACCGTAGTCTCCTTATTGGTAAAATGGGTCTCCTGCTTCTGGCTGCAATTTGCAAGGACTCTGTGAAATCATGTGGGAGAAAGGAGCTCCGGGAACCCGAATGTGCGGTATGAACATCAGTAATTACTTGGGACAACTGCTGAGTGCGTCTGGCTTTCAGAAATTGTGATCAGTTCAGGGCAATTCTCTGCACTGTCTCTGGATCCTGCTAGTCAAATTAGGCTCAATTAGTCTATTTAAATGATCCCTGTGCACGCTCTCTCTCTCTCTCTCTCCCCCCCACGCACCCCATTGTGTCTCCCCATCCTATTACCTCTCTAATCTGTCTCACTTCTTCACTATTCAAATTAGTGATTTGAATGACTAGAAGCCAGCAGTTTCTTCCCAGGCCCCGTGGACCAGAACTTGTTGAATTTTCAATCAATAGAGGCCCCTCCTTCGGGCCTCTATTGATTGAGAAAAGCCAAAGTTCTCACCGCCTTTTGTCCAGTGCTTTCACCACCTGAGATTTCAGCCGGTTCATGCAGCTTGTCTACAAGGCATCAGTGTGCTCTCCAGCTTGCAGAGAGAGGAGAGAAGGAAAGAAGCCTTATGAGCTTCCCTCAGAGTTGCAGACAAGCAAATTGTTTCTTTTGGTTAAAGGTGCCATTTAGCCAGAATGTTGATGGATTAGTAACAGGGAGAAAAAAAGACAGCACCATTAATAACACTGACCATTCCTGAGGAGGGGTGGCCCTCCAGTGCTATCTACTTGCCCTGACACCAGACACCTCTCATTTTTAAAACTGCTCTGGTCTTCCCACACAAGATATCATCAGCATATGGCTCAACCCACAGCAGCAGCTGTGAGATGGCGATGGCTTTTCAGTTCCATGGAGTCAGGCTGAGCTCTCAGAATCCCCCAATTTGGGCAAGCGCTTTCCTCTCTCTGAGCCTATATTTCCACTGTATCTGTACAATGGGCACTTCCCATCCCTGTTCCCTAAATTTCAGGGTTAATGGAGGATTTGAAGAGATAATCCTTAGAGGCAGGGTGCTTGGCACTCAGTAGATGTGTGGTCCTCCACCCTCCTGACAAACCTCCAGGCTCCCTAGAATGTTGTTGCATTGTAGGCAACAAGTCTCTGACTCCTCAAATAAGGGTACAAATGGTACTGACATTTTCACTTGAAATGGCACTTTTGGGACTCTAACCAGAAAAAAATGAAAGCTTGTAAGAATGCATGTACATCGATGATGATAATTGCTGCATTGATTGTATTTGTCAAGAGGGAACTGGAAAATCTCCCCAAGACTAATATGCCTCAATAAGGGAGAGACTGAATAAGCTGAATACACTATGGCACTCTACTGTATTGGACTAAGCAGTTATGAAAAATAATGAGGTTTTTAAAATTGATCTGGAGAGATGGGCATGATGCATTCAGTGAAAAAGTATACAAATAAATATATATTTAGTGTGATTTTTTTGGAAAAAGCAAACCACCTTTTGTCCCCTTCTCTCCTATGTGTGGACATACATGTTTCCATGACCCTAAAGAGAAGTACGGAGTGATTCACACCAAGTGTCAACCTTGCATCTCTGAGTGGGCACAAAAGGAAGAGATGAATGGGAGAAAGGAGGTTTAAGAGTCTATTGAGACCGGGCGCGGTGGCTCACACCTGTAATCCTAGCACTTTGGGAGGCTGAGGCGGGCAGATCACGAGGTCAGGAGATCAAGACCATCCTGGCTAACACAGTGAAACCCCGTATCTACTAAAAACACAAAAAATTAGCCGGGCGTGGTGGCGGGCGCCTGTAGTCCCAGCTACTTGGGAGGCTGAAGTAGGAGAATGGCATGAACCCGGGAGGCGGAGCTTGCGGTGAGCCAAGATTGTGCCACCGCACTCCAGGCTGGGCAACAGAGCGAGACTCTGTCTCAAAAAGAAAAAAAAAAGGGTCTATTGAATGTATTTTTTGTCTCTGAATTGTTCACTTTTTTCTAAACACATACATCATTTTTTTTTGTAATGAAATGAAGTTGTTAGAAGGCCACTTCACAAACAAGTCCTCAGTGAATGAAATGAGTAAATGAATGAAATCTGATAATCCTACCATTTGCAATTCACTCTTTTGAGACAGGAGGTGTTTTCCTGTTCCAGATTCTCTACCAATATGCAAATACCCCTGAGTGGAGCTGATAAAGCCGAAATTGTCACTGATCACTAATCTGGGGCTTGTCAGCCTCAGGCCGAGATCAAAATAAGAGTGTGTGAGTGTGTGTGTGTGTGTGTGTGTGTGTGTGTGTGTGTATTTGCGGGGAGGAGGAGAGAAAAGTATCAAGGTAGACATCTCTGTGTGCCTGGCAACATGCTGGGTGTCTTCACACACACCTGTGCACTGAATACAAAAACAGTCCTGCAGGGATCCGATTCACTTCTTTTTATGAACAAGGGCACTAGAGATTAAAGGGTTTATGAACATCTTGCCTAAGGTTCCATAGCCAAAAGCTGAGCTGGATGCGAATATAGGAATCTTGGAGCATCAAGACAGAGTAGAAAGGTTTCAAAGTCCCCTGATATGAGCAGACTTCTGTTTAGTAAAACACTCATGATCATCATAAACGTAGTGATGACAGCTCATATCCATTGAGTCTTAGCTTTGTTCCTTGCTGACCCTCTGCTGAGTACTTCAAATGATTTATTTTAATTAATCCTTACAAGGACCCAAGGATGGGAACCATTATTATTCCCATTTTATAAATGAGGAAATTGAGGCACAAGAAGGTAAGTAATTTGAGGAAAGAAACAAACTCAGAAAGTGAAGAGAAGGATTTTGAACGCACACAGTCTTAACTGTACCACCTGCCCTTTCAACCCCCAGGAGGACAGAGCTGTTCATTACAACAGCCCTGACCCTGGAACTGAGGCCTTGGAACTCTGGTCCAGGGCTCTTTGCACTACACCAGACTGATGTCAGTCCCCAGGTCTTGCTGAGAAACAACAGATCCATGAAGAGGGAGGCTGAGAGACTCACTCTGTGTCCTCGAGTTTGCCCTGACCGACTTTATGGAGATTCCAGGAGTGACTCTGGTCTTGTCTGGGTCATCACAGGGCATTTTGGTTTCACATTCTCCTGGGCTTACTGCTGCTCATTCCTCGTAAATCCAGCCACTGTGCAGTTCAGGCCTGACGCCGCGTGCCTCCAGGGTGGCTGGACAACCTCTTTCAGGGCTTTGTTAAGAAGGCCATCCTCAATACAAAAAATTAGCTGGTCATGGTGGCAGGCGCCTGTGGTCCCAGCTACTCAGGAGGCTGAGGCAGAAGAATGGCGTGAACCCGGGTGGCGGAGCTGGCAGTGAGATGAGATCACGCCACTGCACTCTAGCCTGGGCGACAGAGTGAGACTCGGTCCAAAAAAAAAAAAAAAAAAAAAAAGAAGGCCGTCTCATCTATCTAAGACAGCGTGTGCCAGAATCCAGCCATCTCCTTCCCAACAGAATGATTGTTGTCATTTCTGTCTATCACCTGAAACATTATTTATTTACTATTTTAATTTAAACCGAAAAAACCCTCAAACTTTATTTCTAAGAGGAAATCTCTATCACTGGTTATAAATGGACAACCAGCATGGCCATAAATAGAAGGCTACTGTAAAATGAAGATGATAAAAACAGAACAAAGCCACTCAATTATAGCTAGGCATTGCGGCTTGCAGAAGTGCTATGACTTAGCAGGCCTGCCCTCTGCTTGTTAAAATGAGAGAGCAAGAGTTGCAGAGGCATTGAGACATCCTAGCAGCTCTCAAGACTTTTCAGCTTGATACTACCTGAAGGCCTGAGAAAGAACTAGAGACACCTCCCTCTGCCTGGGGCTGGTGGTTCTGACCTAGCCGCAATGGGAAGCACCGCCTTGGGACTTCTTACTTCCTGATCCTCGGGTGTTATCTACGCAGCTCTCGCAACCTCTTGAAGGCCTTCTATGGTCATTGGCTTCTTGGGAAATGCTCTTGGCCAGAGGGCTTGTCTTGCCCAGTGATGGCCGGCTCAGCCGCCCTGTGTCTCAGACCGGCCCAGGCCCTCAGCCAGCTCCTGGGGCAACTTTGAGAGCTTTCCAAAGGAAGGGTCCATAAGGGCCACTCACGGTGGCTCATGCCTGTAATCCCAGCACTTTGGGGGGCTGAGGTGGGCGGATCACCTGAGGCCAGGAGTTCGAGACCAGCCTGGCCAACATGGTAAAACCCCATCTCTACTAAAAATACCAAAAAAAAAAAAAACAAAAAAAAAAAAACATCAGCCAGGTGTGGTGGTGGAAGCCTCTATAATCCCAGCTACTTTGGAGGCTGAGGCGGGAGCATCGCTTGAACCTGGGAGGTGGAGGCTGCAGTGAGTCAAGATTGTGCCATTGCACTCCAGCCTTGGCAACAAGAGCAGAACTGCAAAAAAAAAAGATGTGGGGGGTCTATAAGGAGGTGGCATTACCACTAATAATAGTATTGCACCTAAGAAGGGAGTGGAATTAGAGACAAACTCTTTATCTTTTCTGTCACTTGATTTTTTTATAATGACAAAATATTTATATATTGCTTAATAATAAAGACTTTTCTAAGAAAGACAGCCCGACACTCTTTCTTGTCTTGCAAGGGTTAAGGTGTCCTCTCTGGGCATTTGGGAGACAGTTCAGGTGAGCAGGCAGGAGCAGTGGCTGCTCTCCATGATGTGGCACAGTGGGTCTCATGACAGCAGTGCCATCCTCACGGGGCAGGAAACAGGTGTGGGTTCCAGTTTTTTCAGTGCTAAGGAGACAGTGTGACTTATCCTGGAATTTGAATCCAGGCTGGGAACTTGCCAATGGGTGACCTTTGGCAAATTGCTCGACCCCTCTGAGTTTTCGTGGGGATTATACAACCTACCTTGAGGAGTTGCTGTGTACATACATGATGCCCTAACCCACAATGCGTGTTTTGGTGTCTTGGCAGTCAGTACTGTGCCAGGTTGGGCAAATCACTTTTCCTTCCTGGTCCTCAGTCTTCTCATTAACGAGCTGAGGATGTGATTAGATCTGTGGTCCACAACTAGGGCCACTGGTCAAACCCAATTGCCAGACTTGTTTTTTATAGGCCACGGGGTGTTTTCTGGTTAGCTGCCAACATTTACAAATCAGGAGATTGTACATAGGAATCTAGGTTTTGTGTGTCTCCAGAGAAATCTACAAATCTGGCAGTGTTAGGCCCACATTATGACATTCACTGGGAACTGGCTAAGACAAGACTCACCTACTTGAGCTGTTTAGCTATTTAAGTTATTGGGTGTTCAATATTCACAGCAGCTGCAATTAGGAATGAGTTTAGATAGCTGGCCCCAGGTCATACAAATGTGAACAGGAGAGCCGGGACTTGAACCCACGCATTCTGGCTTTGTGTGTATTTATCTCCCCATGCTGCCTCCTGGTCAGGAAGCCAAGAACTGTACCAGGCACTGCAGAGACAGAGGTGGAGGCAGCCTGAGGCTCTCGGGGCTTTCTGCAGTCCTTTCTGTGCTGGGGAGGTGAGGGTTAACCTTACCCTGCTATCTCACTCAGGCCAGAGGCTGCCAGGATGAACTGTGCAAGAACTTGCTGGAGGTGGATGAAGCAAAGCCTCCTTTTCTACTGACAACTGGTGTTCACCCTGATAGCAACCGCTGGCCCTCAGCGGCCCCCCAGGGTGTGCGGGAACCCTGCACTGGCTCTGTTTTGCTTTGGCAGTGGAGCACACCTGCCTCCCATTGCTCCAGCCCTCCTGTTTACCCTGCAAACAGCCAAGTGCTCCACACCATCATTTAGAGGCCAGGGGGCGGCTGCCATGGGGCACCAGGCAGTCCAGTCCTGTTTGAGCTGTCCTGGGACCTGAGGGCTGCACGCGCCCAGAGCCCATTTGCCTAGGATTTAATGGGCCCCCACACCCCTGCTAGCTGCCGGCAGGAGGGAGGTAAAAGGGGAGGGTGCTGCTGGGCTCTGGGTGACTTGGCTCCTACTGAGCCCCATGACCTTGAGCCTCTGGGTCTCAATGCCTCAGTTTCCCCAATATAATCTGCCCTTCCAGGGCTCCAGAGAGCAGCAAGCTCCTGGACTCGGAAGATTCTGGTGCAGCATCTCTCGGGAGCATGGCCGTAGGACCCTGACAATTAATAACATTCATTGTTGTTAGCAGAGCTCAACAAGAGGCATCGGACTAAGGCTTTCAAAACTTGTCATTGAAGTATAACATACTTTCAGAAAAGTGTGCATATCATAATTGTGCAGCTCAATGAATGTTCACACCCCAAGCACGCCTGTGAAATTAGCACCCAGATCAAAAAGCAGAATACCGCCAGCACTCCAGAAAAAGCCCTCATACTCACCCTCCAGCCACAGCCACCATTTGACTGGCATCGTCTCTTTAGTGCTCACCACAATTCCGTGAGGTTGATACCAAATCATTCCCATTTTATAAGCGAAGGAAGAGGGCCGCAGAGTGGTCGACCACACCTGCTAGTGATTAGGCCAAGATTTGAACCCAGGCCCTTTATCTCCAGAGTCCACACCTGAACCACTGTGCTGGGAAAAGCGGCAGGCCTGGGTTAAGGTATAGATAGGGCCTTGTCACACACCCACCCTTGCCTTCTAGGAACTTCCAGGTTCAGAGAACTGAGGTAGAAAGTCTTAACCACCCCTCACGTGTGTCAATGTTGTGTTATTTCTCACCTGTCTGTTCACATTAATAGGAGAGGGACCGTGTCTTGTTTGTTTGCCACTCAAAGCCCTGCCAGATGCCTGGAATGCAGCAGGTGCTCACTAAATATTTATCACACAAGTGAATGAATGAATGAATGAATGAGGGAATGAATGAGAAAGAAGGGAAGGAATGATGGTAGAAGGGAGAGAGGAAGTGGGGGAGGAAGACTGAGGGCAAGCTCTTTCTCCAAATTTTAAGCTCTGCCTCTCTTACCTGCCCGATGCTCGTTACCGCAGCTGAAACTTTGTTATAGGCTTCCATTTCTAAAATGTCTTCTCAGCTCAGCCCTATGCCCCCTAAGGCCACAGTGGCTATTATAATGTTTTCTCCACCTACCTGATGGTGGGCATGGGTCAGAGAGGGTAATGGAATCAAGGTCACCTCCAAGGGCCCCCTGAGCACAGTCTCCCCATTGCCGCCCCCACACTTAGGCCTCCCTCTTCCCTAGCTGTACCCCAGGCGTCGCATCCCTCACCTTTGCTCCTGCTCTCCTTCTGCCTGGAGAAAACTTCCCTCTGGTCCTTCCGCTTGGCAGGAAGGGCCACACTTCTTTTTGTTTTTCTTTTCTTTTTTTTTTTTTTTTTTTGAGATGGAGTCTCGCTCTGTAGTCCAGGCTGGAGTGCAGTGGCACGATCTCAGCTCACTGCAACCTCCGCCTCCCAGGTTCAAGCAATTCTCCTGCCTCAGCCTCCCAAATAGCTGGGATTACAGGCATGGGCCACCACGCCCAGCTAATTTTTGTATTTTTAGTAGAGACGGGTTTCTCCATGTTGGGCAGGCTGGTCTCGAACTCCTGACCTCAGGTGATCCACCCGCCTTGGCTTCCCAAAGTGGGGCCACACTTCTGATCATTTGAGATTCCACTTGTGTCATTTCCTATCTCTTTTAAAAATATATATTATTATTATTTTAATTTTGTAGATTTAAGGGGTAGAAGTGCAGTTTTATTACATGGATATTTTGCATAGTGGTAAAATCTGGGCCTTTTGTGTAACCATCACCCAATCAGCATACATTGTACCCATTAGGTAATTTCCCATCCCTCACCCCCCTCCTCAAGACCATCCCACATTTCCTCTCTCCTTGATTCCCTTCTTCTATGATCTCACCTCCCCAGAAGCAGAATGCCTCCCTCCTGCACCACCTTCCTCTGGTGCTGTAAACACACCTCCATAATCATTCACATCTAGTGAGCTCTAGTGATGGATTCCTGAGTCTGTCTCCCTCATTAGATTCTGTGCTATGAGGGCAGGATGTGGGATCAGATTAATTGTCTTTATGCTCTGTGTTTCTCATAGTGCTGGGCATAGAGCAGATCCCAATAGGCATTGACTCCACCAAGTAATTAAAGAGTAGCTATCCAACTCAGATCCTTGATGCATCAACTTCTACCATTCAAGCATATTCTTTGTAATACACAAAATTCAAATGCCCACAATCCCTGCAACTCAAATTTATACTTTTCTAAGAACAAACATTAGAGGGTGTGTAGGGAGAGGATATGGGTCATTTAGGAGAATGGAGAAATTGACACTAAAAGGGCAGGAAGAAGAGAAGCTCATCTTCACGTCTTCCCCAAGGACTGGCCCCCAGTTAGGCTTAGTGTTCTCCACCCGCTCCTTCTGCTTCTCTTCCCAATGTTTTACAGCCAGAAAACCGAATTGTGTCTATTCCTAACTCTTGACGCTTTTGTGTTAGGATTGTATTACCTGGGAAGTTAGGAGATCTGGGCCCCTGTTGTGTGACCTTGGCCAAGGCCAAGCTCTTCTCTCTGACCTTCTGTTTCCCTGTTGGTGAAATGAGGGGGCCAAGGATCAAGATGCTGTTTACAGGGCCCTCTGCTCTGACATACTGACTCCCCTACAGTTTCTTTGGATTGTGGAGATATTCCTTCCTCCGCTACTGGAAGGTATAAGTGTGTCTAACTCTTAAGTTAAAATAAATTGTGTCAGGGGGGTTTTCTGAGGCTTTCATAGAAGATGTTTCAATACGACTGGAGATTCCCTAACAGTGACAAAAACAAAACAAGAATAAAATAGCTATTATTTATTGTTTGCTTGTGCCAAGAGTTCACCATAGCTAAGAGCAGTGAATCCTGATAATGCCCTGTGAGATGGGTGCTGTGTGTTCCCAGTCATACGTGTGAATACTGAGGGCCAGAGAAGTAAAGTCAAATTTGTCCAGATTTACTCTGTAAACAATTGGCAGAGTCAGTATTCCAAACCAAGTCCGCTGGATTCCAGAACACGGGACCTTAAGGATGAAGCTAGACCTCAGCTTAGACCTCCCTCTGTGGTAGCATACTTCTTGAGGGAGGGCTCTTAACACCATGACTGCTTATTGATTCTTAGCCAGAGCCAATGAGGCCATCTGACGAAATTTAACTAGCTGCTGTCTCAGAGAAGGAAACTGGGACACAGAAAGATTTAATGACTTGCGCAAATTGGTGGTTCCCAATATTTCTGCATTCATGGACTACTTTGGAATATTGAAGCCTGAAGGGCATATTCAGAAGGATGACAAAGCAAACACCACATTTTATTAAAATAAGTTTGGGGGATATTGATGTTTTGGGTAAGTGTTAATTAAATACATGAATGAACACATGAGCAGAGACATGCATTTTTAGCTCTGCCTCCTCATCACCTTCTCCAGCGCTGGCCACTCTGTAGGCCCCAGAGTCTACTTCGTTGATGGAAGGAGTGACAAACACACTGAACGACACCCGAGATCTCAGTGACTCACCAGTTTCTGCCTGGAGGCTTGAGATGCTGGGATGTGAGGTGTGGCTCAGACCCAGCAACTTTCCATGACTTCCTAAGATTTGCAGTTACCACCAGGGCCAGAGAAAGGCAGTGGGAGGCTCTAAGAACACCTGTTTTAGAGTCCCAGACCCACAACTTTTCAAAATGTCTTTCTCAAGTTTAGAAATGCTGGAATGCTTTTTGCTTCAAATAACAGAAGGCCTGCCTAGAAGTGGTTTAAGCAGTGAGTTCATTTATCCTCCCACGTTACAAGAACTCTGAGCTACGAAAGTTCCAGAATATCCCTTCCATCTTTCTGGTCCTTTGCACATTGGTGTGGTCTTGGCTCATCCCCTCATGGTTGCAACGTGGCAGCTGCAGCTTCCAGCATCACATTCCCATGTCAGTGTCTGGCATGGGAAGGTTGTTGGGAAAGAAACAAAGAGGTTGTTTGTTTCCATGAATAAATTACATGCCCATGTGTAAGGAAGCCTGGGCAAGACAGCGTCTACCATTTTCAGCTTCTAAGATGGAAAGCGAGCTCTGTCTGCAAGGAAGAAGTGCTTTGAGTTGCGGGAGGGTGGCTGTTGGTTGGGTAATCGGTTGTACCCACCACAACTGACAAAGAGGAGTCTATTACCCACTCCTCCAGTATAGCTCTGCAGCCGCCTCTCACATGGGACAAGGAATGATGGAGGCAAGCGAAGCTCCTCCTGGGGTCACATGCCCCAGCAGTGGCTTGTTCTCTGTTCTCCCCACTTGCCGCTCATTCCAGGCTGCCCACTTCTCCCTTGTCCCTACTCTGTGTGAAGATGGGGAGTGCGCGCAGGGATGATCTCTTACTGCAAAGACAAAACAATCCATAACATGCCAGGTCCTGGGCTGAACATCTAATCTGTTGTCTCATTCATCTTCACAACAATTCCCATTTTACAGATGAGGAAGCTGAGGCTTGGAGAAGTGAAGGGACTGGCTCAAGGTCACACAGAGTAAGGGAAGAAACTGGGGTTGGGACTCAGTTGTTGACTCCAGAGCCTGCCCTCTTAGAAGTTATTATTGAATCACCCTCACTTAAAGGCTCCAGGCTCCAATTCTAGAACCAATGAGCTGGAGCCCTAATTTTCATTCTGCCAGCATCTCCTTGGCTCAAGACCAAGCTGGCAGTGCCCCTTCTTTCCCCACCTGGACTGGCCTCAGCTGGTCCCTAGTCTAGGCTCTGTTGCTGGCCTGGCTCCTTTGCTCCTACCAATTATGTCTTTGTATGTGTCTGTCTGTGGTGGGGAGGGGGGCTAAATGGGAGTCACATCCACCTGCCAACTTCAGGAGAGCTCTCTCCAGACACCTCAGGCCCACAGCCTCCCCAAGGCCCTGCTCTGCTCCCAGGCAGGCCTTAAAAGGTATGCAGGCAATCAGACCCGATCTTGGAACCACCAGTGTGGAAAATCCAGGGGAACAAATCCTGTTGACTCTGGGCAGGTGCAGCTGTCACCGTCCCCAGCCCCAGGTTCTGGCTGGCTGGTCCCCTCCCTCAGGCTCAGGGACAGGCAGGGGAGGGCAAGGGTGCTGCGGGAGGATGAGGAAACAGGGTGCTGTGTGCCCTTAATGGCCATCGCCATGCCAGCCCCAGCAGCCCCTCTGCTGGAATGAACCTGTCCCCCACCCTAGAGGGAAAACCCACTGAACAGAGTGATGTTGCACCTGCCAAGTAAACACAGTGAAACGTCTTGTCACTGTTCCTTTAAATAAAGTCCGTCAGATGCTCCCAGTCTCCAGGGTCTTGTTCTTTGGGAAGTGATCCCCTCCTCTAACTAGTTCCTGTAAGAAAAGTCTGGCTCAGAGGAGAGCTGTCAGGCACATAGCAAATAATCTACTGTATCCTGTCCATCTCACTGTGCACATCCCTGCCTCAGGATGTGAAATGCCCATATAGGAAGGGCATTGATCTTCCTCTTACAGTGGAGAACCCCTTGAAGTTGAGGATAGGAATCTGTCTCCCCACAAATATTTCCGGAGCCCTTGCAGGGGGCTCAGGATGTCCTCCCTAGCTTAGAGCACTGCACAGGCCTGCACCACTCTCCATCCATCTATCCATTTATTCATCTGTCCACCCAGTGAGTGCTTGCTGAGTGCTGGCTGTGTGCATCCCATGCTGCACACTGAGGGTCCAGGGACCAAGACATCCCTGCCTGCACAGGGTGTGCCATGCAGTAGAAGAGACAGACAGGGCAACTCATGATCAGGGAGCTAAGAGCCTGGAGTGAGGCTTATCCCCAGCTCTGCCTGGGCTTAGAGTTTAACTGGGCTTTGCAACATTTCAACGCTTTCAGGAGTGGAGGATGCTCTCAGAAAACACCCAAGGTAGGGAGTGATCAGATTTGTGTTTTGGGAAAACCACCCTGGACTTGAGAGGCGGGGTTGGAGGCAGACATTGTCTGAGAAGCTGATCCAGAGGTGAGACACGGCGGCCTGAACCGAGGTAGGAGAGGAGAGGGAGGGAGAATGGAGGGGATGGATTTGAACAATAATTAGGAGATAGTGCCAATAGGACTGAGTGAGAGATAATAAGGTGAGGGTGGTGAGGAAGAGAGAGGGTCAAGGGTGATGCCCACATTTCTGAGTTGGGCAGTTTGGTGGACATTAGTGCCCTTTGCTGATGAGAAAAGGGATCCTGACAGAGGAGGTTGACTCACCAGGTCATTCTCAAATCAGTGGAACTGGGACAGAGCTCAGGCTTCTTCCCAAGGTACTCCTGTCTCAGGAGACGATGGCCTTGGTATGCCCATGGGAGAGGGCTCCTGTGGGTTTGGGAGAGGGAGAGGGGAAAGGTGGTTTTCAACCCAGGGGATGTTTGTCAGTGTCTGGAGTCATTTTTGGTCATTGTGACTCTGGGGGCATGGGGAGGTCATGGCATCTAGTGGCAGAGGCATGGATGCAGCTACACACCCTACAGTGCATGAGACAGCCTCCCACAGCCAAGAACCATCTGGCCCACAAGGTCAGTTGTGCTCAGGCTGAGAAACTAACAGGCCTTAGGGAAGCTGAACAGTGAAGATCAGTCGTGGCAGCTGTGGAGCCAGATGCTTGCATTCAAATCTCAGCTCTACTGATTAGTAGGTGTCTGATCACGGGCAAGTTACTTGCCACTTAGAGGAGCCCAGGCAGGTCTTGGTGTATAAGAGGTTGGCACTTAGTAAACGGTAGGGAGTCTCCAAGCTCATCCATGAATCAGCTCAGATGGCCACACCCTGGGAGTATGTGGAAGCTTACCTGCAAGCCCTGGACACTGGGTCAGAAGCCTTTATGTAAAGTAGTTATGATCACAGTTGTCATAATGGGGCTCTTACGAAGGCAAGGCACCATGCAAAGTGTTTCACATATGTTGACTCATGTTACCTTCAGAAACCCTGCCAAGTAGGGCTTCTATTTCTAAACAGGGGGAATAAATGGGGGAAACAGGGACTCAGAGAGGTTGAGAGTGTCCTAGGCACTGGGAATACGTGGAAGAATAAGGCTCATCTGTGTTCTCTAGGACCTCAGTCTAGTTAAGGAGACAGGAAAATAAACCACTACTATTAACATTACAACAGTGAGTGTCATTTCCACTCAGCCTTGTCTGACATGTCTTCAACAAATAACTGATGAGCATCTACTACGGGCCAGGCCCTGTCTTGGTCACCCGAGTTCCTGCCCTCGAGTAGTTCACAGTCTAGTGGGCAAGACAGATTATATGATGCCCAAGCGATGCGTGCCCACCAGCAGCTGTGTGACTTTGCATTTCCCAAGCACCAGATACTTACAGGCTTTGGCTCATTTAATCTAAAAATGTATCATGATGAGACATTATTGCTAGGCTCATTTTGTAGTTTGGGAACTGAGGTTGTAAAAGATTAAATAACTTGCCCAAAGTCTTACAACTGGTTTGTGGTGGAGCTAAGTTTGGGCCCCTGAACTTTTATACCCCAGTGTTCAAAGTCTTAACCCCTCCAATGGATGCCTGTCCTGTTCTGCTGGGAGACCCTGCTCATGCTGCACCCAGCGGCTCACCTGCCACCCGAAGTCTGTTTGCTCCAGATGTCCCTTTGAACTCCATCCTTCTGGAAGTGACTGGCAATCAGCCCTGGGTCTGCTTAACACTGGGGAGAGGTGCTGTTGCAAGGTCCAAAGGCTGTGAGATCCTAAGAGATGGCAGCCAGAAGCTTGCTCCTGTGGGGCCCAGACGCACGATAGACATCTCCTGGGGCACTTCCTACCCATCCAGACAGGATGTCCTTGCACTGATGTGATCTTTAATGAGGAAAATAGGGGTTCAATCTGTTCTCTGAGGGAGGCTGTGGGAATGTGTGAACCAAACAAGAGGAAGAGGAAACTCGAAATGACAGTCTCATAAAAGGTGCTCTCTGCAGGAAGCCAGGGAGGCTAATTTGCCTTCCCCAGTTTCCTTTTTCAAATGTCCTTCAATGAAACCCAGTCAAATGGATCCAGGGAACTCATCTTTTCACAAAATACAGACCAGGGGATCCCGCCGTCCTGGAAACAGACCCCAGGGCCACACACAAGTTGTTGCTGGGCACCAGCATCCCCCTGAAGCCCCAGTGTTGCCTGCACACAGAAGAATTAGCAAGTCCTGCACATTTATGTTCAACTCTTTTTGGATTCTATTCATTCCACAAACAGTTATTGAGCATCTCTCGGGTGCGAGGCACCCCACAGCAACCTGAAGACACAGTGGTGAGGCAAGGTGGTGTCTGTCCTCAGG
Source organism: Homo sapiens (assembly GCF_000001405.40). NCBI lineage: Eukaryota > Metazoa > Chordata > Mammalia > Primates > Hominidae > Homo > Homo sapiens. Next base: position 170,168,682 of record NC_000005.10, on the reverse strand, counting down.
GGGCACACTGAATGGAAGCTATTTTCAGGGCTCCTGTTATTCTGGGGGCTTGGTCTTTTGCCTCCAGCAATAGGCAGTGCTTTTAGAGGAGCTAAAGAACGGGTACACCTAGCTAGGACGTGGAACGTTCTGCAATGAGAGTGTCAGGCAGGTCTCTACATTCAGCTGCTGGGTTCCCACAAAGACTCTCAGAGTCGGTGGCCATTGGCCAGACAGGATTTTCACTAGTGGAGTTGGAGAAGTTCTTTCAGTGAAGAAAAATTCTCAGGCTGATATCATGAAGACTGATGGAAACTTGGGAAACTTGGCACACTCTGGTGTCAATATGAGCTCCACAAATCATGGATGAAATACAGTTTTAAATGGGGCTGGAGCTGAGTTGCCTCCCAATCATTCATTCCTTCACTCACTCATTCATTCAAAAAATGTGTTGTATGCCTGGCACCATGCCAAGTGCTTGACGTGGGCTATCTCACTGAAGCTGCAGAGCATCTCATGAGGTGGTATTTTTAGTGCCACATTGCACAGATATAGAAACTGAAGCCCAGAGAGAGGAAGGATGTTACCCAAGGTTGCACAGCCAGAAAGTAGTGAGCAGAATTAGGTCAAACCCTGACTCTGCCACCTTCAGCGGTGTGACCTTGGAATAAGATAACTTTACAGGGTCTTTTTCTTTTGCTTTTTCGGTGCAAATTGGCTATAATGATCTTTATTCCAAGGCCGCTATGTGGCTTAAATAAGATATTGTTCCCAAAGGACCTGGTCCATAGACACACTTACTACGCTTTAATTCTCCTTCCCTCTTCTGTCTCCAAGGGGTTTGAGCTGCAACTCCCTCTAGAATCAGGCAGGGTTTGCTCTGTCTCTGAGAATTGGCCCTCGGACCTCAGCCTACCCATTCCTGGCCTTCTGGGGGAATCTGGGACAGCTGCTCAGAGAGCACTGAACAGGCCCGGTTCCCTGGTGGGTAAGCGCTGGGGGTGCTGCCCTGCAAAGCAGTGTGTGGGAAGGGCGGAGGCTTCCCTCAGCTGAGAATGTAAGGACCCAGCAGCTCTAGTTCCCATATCTCTGTGCCTGGGCACTGCTGCCAGAAACTAGCAAGGTGATACATGTTTTAAATGTAAGATCATCAAGATTTGGGGAAAAAAAATTTGGAAATCCTGCCTAAGTGCTAGCTCCTGAAAGGGCCTGCTTTTCCTACATGGAGCCCCGTGAACTGGTTTTCTTGGAAATGCTGGTGTCTGTCAGAGACTTGGCTGGGCCAGAGAGGGGCCCAATGGACCCCTAACTACTGGGGTCTCAGTGTCCCAATGTCAGTCGGGAGATGGGGTGGGGAAGGACACCTTGGGTGGCGGCAGGAAACCTCCCTGGGCCCTTTTGGGCTAGAAGACTCAGAAACCCAGCTTGCAGGGCAGGAATCAGATAAAGGGGTAAGAGATGAAGTCAGGAGGTAAAAAGTTTCCTGTGAGTTTGCACTGTCTCTTGCCAAGTGTTGCACTGGATGCTTTAATAAAAGCATCATCTCAAATCCTTGCAGCATCCCTGTAAGAGAAGAACGTGAATTATGACATAAACCACACCTGATAAAAGTTATTAGCTCTCTGATGGGACTGGCAGGAGGGTGAGAGAAGGAGGGTACCATGACCACCATTTAATGAGGCCTTTGCTCTCAAGATTGTGTTATTACCAGGCCATTTTACAAATCAGGAAACTGAGGCTTAGAGAGAGAGATCACACAGCTAGTAGGCAGAACTAGGTTTGAAACCAGGCTAGCATGAGGAGTTTAGAGTCAGATAGGGTTGAGATGAGGCCCTTGAATTGAGGCCTGGAGATAAGGTGAAAAGGTAGGACAGCTACAGGGTGGCTTGGACTGGGTTGGCAGCAGCGTTGGAGCATTACTGTCAGCTTCTGGGTCTGTCATGAAGGTATAGTGAATGTCTTTGAGAATGTGATGGAAGCTAGCAACCATCTCCCCAAAAACTGCACCCTCCACACTCACATGACCTGTTGCATACAATCTCAGGGTGGTTATGAACCTCTCTGGAGCCTTCCTTGGTCTCCACATGAAAGACGCTCATGAGTTTAGGAGTTTTATATTGCGTGGGTGCAGTGCAGCGTGAGTCCTGGCCCATCACTTTTTATGCCCAGCTGTGCTCACAATGTATGCCTATTGCCCCCTCTCCCTTCCCTTCCCCTTGCACTGCCCCTTATCTCCCTGCTTGGATGGGACATGCTTGGATGGGAAGGCAGAGCCACTGGAGGTGCCTAGGGTTTCCCAGTTCTCCTTGCTCCCTGCTTGGGACACTGCTTCAGTGAGCCGAAATGGCCCAGTGGAGATTCCCCTGTCATGAGCTGCACCCTGGCAGCTCCTCCTGCTACGGGCACTGCACACACTTGTGGGTCAGCTCAGGTTACAGAAGTGGAAGTGGGTAGCGTAGAACTGGCATGTACCAGGAACCCAATAAAAGTGTGTAGAATCTGCACATACTTTTTTCCATGGTCCTGATAATAGAATGTTGTAGCTATTGGTATATACCCTATGCCTTCCCCATTAGACTGTAAGATCTTTGAGGACAAAAGATAGCAACCTTACCTTATTTACACTGGAATAAGAGGTGGAAAGAGGGACCGAAGGAAAGAGAAAGTGTGTTGTGGACATCACAGTTTCATTTGATTCAGGTAGAACCTTTTTTTAACAGGTTAACTAGGCTGAGAAAATATAAAATTAGAGCTGAAGACTCTTAGATGCAATCTGGTAGGAGATGATGATTACAGCACAGTGGGATGGAGAAAGCAAGCATTGACCATATCATTTGAACCCCTGGATCTAGCCGAACCTGAAGCCCCTTCTTGGTTTTGTAAGCCACTAGTTTTTTGTTTTATTCTTTTTTTTTTTTTTTTTTTTTTTTGAGACAGAATCTCACTCTGTCGCCCAGGCTGGAGTGCAGTGGCACGATCTCGGCTCACTGCAAGTTCACGCCATTCTCCTGCCTCAGCCTCCCAAGTAGCTGGGACTACAGGCACCCGCGACCAGGCCCGGCTAATTTTTTGTATTTTTAGTAGAGATGGGGTTTCACTATGTTAGCCAGGATGGTCTCGATCTCCTGACCTCGTGATCCGCCCACCTCTGCCTCCCAAAGTGCTGGGATTACAGGCGTGAGCCACTGCGCCCAGCCTGTTTTATTCTTTTATATTTCCTCCTAATGCTAGTTTGTGCAGTATATCCGTCACTTGTAACTAAGAGTGTTGACTACTACAGAAAGGTAGAAGAAGTCAAGTGAACAGGAGGGAGGGAGAGCAGGAGGAAGGGATGTCACCAATATGGCACAAGAAAACTTGTGTCAGTTCAGATACAGCAGATCCATCCTAAGACCTCTGCAGCTCCCCTTCTGAGGATCTGGGGCAGCCTCCAGGGTCAGCCCTAGACGAGGGCTTTAGGGAGAGAGGGAGGCTAAAGGTGGCCTCCAGGAGCTTTGGGCCAACAGAAGCCCTGGGAGGTGGAGAGAGGGTTAGTGGAAGCCCGAACAGCAGCTCCTTGTGTTTATAGTAAACAGAGGCGGGTGGCCCAGCCTCCCCTTGGCCCTGAGAGGGGAGGGGAACAGTTGACGGAAAACTCCTCCCTCCCGCCTCCTCTGGGTAATTGAACAGGGGTTGGGTGGTGGGGTGGAGGACACATGGGGCCATGAGGTGGTGCAGATTCTACAGTAGGTAAGAGTCAAGGGGCTGGAGCGTGGGCTAAAGAAGAAAGCACCCACCCAAAGGCAGGCACTAATGACAACCACAGAGTGGCTGGCAAAAGGCTGCCACTCCTCCTTTGGCTTTTTTATGTTCTCTTGCTACTCAAGGTATGGTTCCTGAACAAGTGGCATCACTTGGGAGCTCATAGAAGTGCAGAATCTCAGGCATCATCCCACACCTAGTAAATCAGAATCTGTCTTAACAAACCCCAGGGGGTGATTCTTGTTTGAGATGCGCTGTTATACTCCAACGAATAGCATGAAGTAAGGACGGGTGGTTCTACAGCAACACAAATTGGCCCAGGGTATGTATTTAGATGGGTTATGAAATATTTGGTGCCAAATGCATTTTTTTGCAAATTGGATCTTACTGGAAATCCACCAAAGGAATTAACTTGTTAGAACAACAGCCGCAGGAACGAAGAACAACTTCCTCTAGGAAGTTTATATTTTTACAATTAACTTTACTTAAATCGAAGCATGACTGTCATCTAATGTTCCTCACTTGTCATATAGTTTGCATTTGTGGAGCTCTCGTAGTTACAGGAGCCATGCTACGCATTTTACATGCTTGACCTTAGGAAATCCTCACCCAGCCTTAGGAGGTAGGGATTATTCCCATCCAGCAAATGAGCAAATTAAGGAAGACACAGGTGACGTCACTTGGATTTTTGCATTTCATTTTGCCTTTCACTTTTGTTTTGTAATCCTTTCCCTATCATCTCCCCCTGACTCCCCACCCTCATCACTGCCAGGTCCTGATACTCAAGTCTTAAGGCCTTGCAGGGCTATTGACTTCTGGTGGTTACCAGAGGCGATTGTGCAGTGCCTACCACATGCCTGGTGTCTGCTGGAATAAGAGGCCACTGTGCTCCCTGTTCTAAGGTGCTCCCAGGACCTTGGTTGTCCTGGACTTGGACAAGATGACATATCCAGTTAGGTGATGTGTGCAAGTCTGAGGAATTCTGAGCATTAGGAGACAATTCTCCATGGGTCTCCTGTGTCTCTTACCAGCTGGCTCCCTTTGTCTTTTCAAGGATGTTTATGTAAGGAGCAGCCTTGGAAGACAGAGACAGATACAGTGTCTTTCTCCAGAGCAAAGTACAGATTTGTTTACTATCCAGAATGTCTCCCTCTGGGGTGAAGGTCAGATAGGCTTACTGCTCAGTATAAAATATTTGGTTTCTCTCATCTCGGTATCCTCTCCTGGAACACACTACCCTCTGTCACCTATATGTGCAAAGTCACCTGGCCCTTTTCACTTCATTCTGTGGGAATTGGGGCAAGGGAAACTGACATAAATATGAACTCATGCTACTTGCTGTGCTTTGAATAATTGTCTTTTGTCTCTGACCCAGGAGTCTTGTATTTTCTGACAGCATCCGTGAGACTGAAGTAGATCAAATTATTAGCATGAAAGCAGGTTAAAATCTTAGATCCTTCACAATTCTTGACACTAGAGTCTTTTGGTTTATGGACTTAAATATATAACCCCTACTTGGAAGACCAGACTCAGTCCTCTCACTAAGAAGGCTAAAGAAGCTGTCATGGTAGTAGAGAGTAGAAAAGCAAGGAGTCTGGAGCCAGATGGCCTTGGTCGGAAATCTGGCTCCTGACTTAAGGTGGTGTTTCAGCCTCACTGAGCCTCAGTGTCCTCATAGTAAAACAGGGCTAAAAATTATTCCTGCTTTATAGGACTGTGGTGAAGAGTAAGTGAGATAATAAGATAATATTAAAGAGTAAGTGATCTACAAATGCCAGGTGTTGTTGTTGCTATTGTCATGATCATTTGGAATCCTCTAGCCAGCCATTCCCCTAGAGGCAGTTACTGAGGGTGCATGGAGCTGGGGACAGTGGCCCTTGACCGTCAAGATCCATTCAGACCAGCTGTGAGGCGTCACCTGCTGTGACCCCAGTTGGTGGTTCAAGGTTATAGTAAACCACCTCACCTCTGTGCTAGGTGTTCTCTGTGGGTCCCTTGCCCCCATTTTTACCATACATATTAACCATCTCAGCTGCCAGAACAAAATACCATAGACTGAGCGGCTTAAACAACAGCCATTCATCTTCTCACATTTCTGGAGGCTGGAAGTCTGAGATCAGGGTGCCAGCATGATCAGGTTCCTGGCTCATGGTGCCTTCTCATGGTGCCCTCATATGACAGAGAGAGCACCCACTAGTGTCTCTTCTCATTAGGGCACTAATCCCAGCCTCATAACCTCAACTAAACCCAGTTATCATCCAAAGGCCTCACCTCCAAATACCATCACATTGGAGGTTAGGGCTTCAACCCATGAATCTGGGGGGACACCATTCAGTCCACAACATTCTCTCTGCTTCCCCATCCTGCTCAAGCCCCAGGAGGCTGGCTTCTGGCTGGGTCCAGCCAACTGGTGGCACCAAAAGGAGCTTGAAGGGCCAGAGGAGAGAGAGTTTGGTGCATTTATTATCCGAGGATTTTCTAGGCTACAGGTTGATAGCAGTGGTGCTTCATCATTCAAGGCCACAGTTGCGGCACTGCAGGACTATTCTACAGCTACAGACCTGGCTCGGTTCAGGTGATCACCCCCTCCTTTGCCCATTCAGGTCCTTGGGGGGGTGGCAATGGCATCACACAATTAACAACCTGGGTGCCTTCTTACCTTTCTTGGTGTCTGTCCTTAAGCCTGGTCCAGACTTTAGTACGTAGGCCATTAGATTTTCCTGAGTGAACTCTTCTGAGTCTGCCATCTGTTTTTGGCCGGGACTCTATGCAAAGGAGCCTCCAGGTGTCCCCATCACAGCCTAAGCCCGGAGAGACAGGCATTTACAATCCTGAAAGGGTCTGGGCACAGCTGGACAATACCGGAGCAATGCAAGCCTCCCTTCTTTACCGTTGGCAGTGGTTCTCAAATATTTTGGTTTCAGGACCCCTTTACATTCTTAGAAATTATTGAGGCTCTCAAAGAGTTATTAAGTGAATTATACGAATCCATAGTTACTATATAGAAATAAAATTGATAAATTTTAAAATATGAATATATTCATATGAAACATCATAAACATGATACATGTTAAGACAGTGTTTTATGAAAAATAACTTGATTTTTCCAAAACAAAACAATAACATTGTTTTACATTTTGTGGATCTTTTTAAACATCTGGATTACCGGAGGGTAGCTGGATTCTCATTGGCGTCTGCATTCAATCTATTGTAATATGTGGCTTTGGTTGCAGTATAGAAGAAAATATCAGTGGTGCTGCACTGAGTTTTTTTGAAACACTGCCTTGTATAATATATTTTTTTAAATAGTTAAGAATACCCCTAATGTCATCAGGAGACTTTAAGTACAAGCTTACAGTGGCAGAAAAATTTTTCCAAAATTCTGTATATATATATTGCACAAAAGCTCTAATTTTGTCAATGCAACAAATTCTGTCAGGTTTTTTGAGTTGGCAAATTTATTTTGTTTCATTTTCAAGAATATGTCTGGAATACTCAAGACTGAAAAACCATCGTCATCTGCCAGTTGTTCTTTCAAAGTAAAAATGATGTTCCGCTGAAAGAAGTAGCAAGTTCAGCTTGCAACTCAAGTCCAGCTTGCAACTCAAGTCCAGCTTGCAACTCAAGTCATGGCAAATGTACTTTGCCTACAGCCAAGCCAAGTATGCAACGAAACTTCATATGCAGCACGAGTGCTTTTTGCACACTTCCTGTTTCATTACACAGAATATTAAAAACACATGAACTCTGACTGCTTTGTTAAGGGCATTCTAGAGCGAAACTAGCTTTTTTCCCATTTGCGTGAATGGTGAAGAATACAGTGATCACTAGTGCAGTTTGGTGCCACCACCTTGATTCCTGCTAAGCCTTGGCAGTTTTACCTTTCATTGCTTTTGCACTATTAGTGCAAATGTCAGTACAGCAAAAAAATCTTATTATTATCAAAATAACATTGATCCTGCAGATCCTCTGCAAAGGTCTTGGTGCCCCCAGAGGTCCTAGAACAACGTTTTGAAAACAACTGCTGTACAGTACAGAATATGAAGTAATAGGGAGTGTTGAGCAAACCTTTATTTTGCCCAAAGACCTTTTCTAATCTGGAACTCAATTAAGCCTCTGGAATCTAAGCTCTATGAGAGCAGGAAGTCTTCACTCTCAGAATTTATCGGTGCTTGCATGTGAAATGTCAAAAAAATTTATTGACTTAGAAAGAGGATTTAAATTCAATATAAACCAATAAATAATATGGTGCTTCTGATTTTTTAAAGGCTATGTATCAGCTAAATGGATGTAACAATGCTTAATGAAAACAGTACCTCTGAGCCTCAGTTTTTTTCATCTGCAAAATGGACTTGATTTAATCCACTGCTTATCACAATTTTCCACTGAAGAACTTTAAGGAGCAAAGGGAAATGAATGAATATTTCTTGGGGGAGCCAGGAGTAATCTGTATCCAACCTATTTTCTTTTTTTGTTGGAGTACATGTGATAATCTAATACATTCATATAATTTGTAAAGGACAAATCAGTGTACTTGGGATATCCATCAGCTTGAATATTTGTCTTTTTAAAATGCCAGAAACATCCCCAACCTATTTTTTGAAATCGCTTGTATTTTAATTTCTACAATTTGGGGGACCTTGTAATTCTAATCCATAAAATATCAGTGTTTAATAGAAAGCAATGTTTTTAAATAGCAACAGCAAGTTTAAAAAGATCGATGCTATATTTACCCAGATGCAAGGTTGGGTCTCAAAGGTTATGGTATGTGAATTTAAGTAATAGTCCTGAGTTCTGGTGTTGGTTCTGCCACTTCCTCTTTGTATGACCTTGGGCAAGTTATGTTCTTTTGAGTCTCAGTGTCCTCACTTCAAAAAATGAGAATAATGCTGATCGCAATTACAATAGTAAAACTGTAAGGCAGGGCACGGTGGCTCACACCTGTAATCCCAGCACTTTAAAAGGCCAAGGGGTGGGGGGGCAGATCACCTGAGGTCAGGAGTTCAAGACCAGCCTGGCCAACATGGCGAAACCCCATCTTTACTAAAAATACAAAAACTAGCCAGGCGTGGTGACACATGCCTGTAGTCCCAGCTACTTCGGAGGCTGAGGCAGGAGAATCGCTTCAACCCAGGTGGCAGAGGTTGCAATGAGCTGAGATCACACCACGGCTCTCCAGTCTGGACGACAGAGCAAGACTGTGTCTCAACAACAACAACAACAACAGCAACAGCAACAACAAAAATAGTGCTTTCAACATGGTGAAACCCCGTCTCTACTGAAAACACAAAAATTAGCTGGGCATGGTGGCATGTGCCTGTAGTCCCAGCTACTCCGGAAGCTAAGGCAGGAGAGTCACTTGAACCCAGGAGGCAGAGGTTACATGAGCCAAGATCACACTACTGCACTCTGGCCTGGCGACAGAGAGAGACTCTGTCTCAAAATAAATAAATAAATAAATAAATAAATAAATAAATAAATAAATAATAATAATAATGCTTCCAACTCCACAGGTGGAATTCCTGAGAGAAAAAGATAGCAATGTACCTCTAAGTGTGTACAGAAGTTCTAAGTGCCATGAAGTCATCTCATCCCTGGCTCCCTACCAAAACCCTTGGATTCTCAGAGCAGGAAGCACCCAGAGATTTCGCACAGTGTTGCTGGTAGCCTAGGATTCCTTAGAGATGGGTCAGAGTCCTGGTGAGCTGTGTTAGAGAAGAAAATTATTCTGACACATTAACGTGGTGAGGAAGACTTAAATACAGCAAAGACAGAGGGATTTGTAGCCAATGAGCAGAGTGAGGGGTCATTGAATGGAAAATTACTAAGTGGAGACATCAGGGATAGGGGATTCTTGCTAAACCAACTTAACAGAATTTCTGCTGAAGGCAGGCCAAAGACTTAAACATCAAAGATGGGGAATGAGGAATTTGAACAGATAGTGAAGGTGTCCAAATAGCAAGCATGTGGAGATTCTAGGAAAACTGACTTAGCAGGATTTTTGCTACAGTTGGACCAGGAAGGCCAAAGACAAGACCTAAGGATGAGGCCTGGTTTAAAAGAGGGCACAGAGGAGCCTGTCCGAAGTTTGGTCAAGGACAGAGTTTTAATCAGCTGGGCTTGGACACCTCTTCTCGCCACCTCCCATTCATATGCACCTGATCAGCTCTGTTTGAATCTGTTTTAATTTGAATTCATGGTTCTTCAGGGAAAAACACATTAAGTACATAGAGAGATATTCTATGTTCATTGAAAGAGCATCCCAATATTGTCGAAATACCAGTTATTTCCAATTTGATCTATGGATTCAATGCAATCCCAAACAAAATTTCAGCAAGTTGGCCAGGCACGGTGGCTCATGCCTGTAATCCCAGCACTTTTGGAGGCCGAAGCAGGTGGATCATCTGAAGTCAAGAGTTCGAGACCAGCCTCGCCAATATGGTGAAACCCCATCTCTACTAAAAAAAATACAAAAATACCTGGGTGTGCTGGTGGGCATCTGTAATCTCAGCTACTCGGGAGGCTGAGGCAGGAGAATCGCTTGAACCCAGGAGGCAGAGGTTGCAGTGAGCCGGGATTGTGCCATTGCACTACAGCCTGGGTGACAAGAGCAAAATTCTGTCTTAAAAAAAAGATCAGCAAGTTATTTTGCAGGTATCAGCAAACTGACTTTAAAGTTGATATGGAGGAGCAAAAGGCCCAGAATAGCCAACACAATATTAAAGGAGAAGAGCAAATTCAGAGAACTAACGCTATCCAACTTCAAGACTTACTGGAAAAGGATCATAACATTGTGGTATTGGTGAAAGCACAGACAAATAGATCAACAGAACTGAAATGGGGATCACAGAAATAAACTCACACAAATATAGTCAACTGGTCTTTGACAAAAGGATCACAGGTACTACAAGGGAGAAAAGATAGCCTTGTCAACAAATGGTGCTAGAAAAGTGGATATTCACATGTAAAATAATAATAATAATAATCTAGATGCAAACCTTATACTCTTCACAAAAATTAACTCAACCTTGATCATAAACCTAAATGTAAAATGCAAAACAATAAAACTCTTAGGAAATAACATAGAAGAAAATCTAGATGACATTGGGTTTGGTGATAACTTTTTAGATATAACACCAAGGGCTCATGGTAGGGACTACATGGCTATCTATAGGGAGCAACTGTTATTCAGGGGCTCAAAATGCAGGCCTAGTCTTTCCAGATCTTCTAGATATGTCTAGATCCTTTTCAAGCAGAAGCAGGAAATCTCTTTTGTTATATGAAACCCCTTGATTTTTGAATCATGACAATTCATTAAATATATTTAAAAGACCATATGGGTCAAAGGCAGTGTGGGGGCCGCCATAACGCCTGAATGTGCCTTCTTCTGAAAAGTAGGAAGGATTTATGAATTATGCTGTAGAGATAAATGAAAGCTCTTGAAGATTATGACAGTCCCAGTAAGTGAGGAGTCTTTGGTCCAAAGCAAACTCTGGCTTTTCCTTCTCTAAAACTAATGTTCAAAAACATTTAAACAAATTTAGTAACTGGGTATGCCCAAGGGGATAGATTTCAATATTCAGGCTCCATCAGACTACAAACTAGGCTTTGATCTAGATAGAAATAGGAAGAGCTTGAGAAACTCAAGTGAAAGTTAAAAGGCCTTTAATTTAGGGTTGAATTAAAGCTGAACAGCAAAGGATCCAATGCTGAGGATTTTCCACTCAAACCAAAGCAAATGGCTGAGAAATGGCAAACAAAAGCAAGTCAGTCTCTGGAAGTATTGAGGAAAGTCCATAGAAATAAACCCATCAAAGAAACTTGAACATGAAGAAGAAAAGTTGGGTTGGTGTAGCCCCTAATTTAGCCAAGCAACTCCAGCAAAGCTCTAACCTGCTTCATCCTGGCTTTTAGGGGAGGAAGGTTCAAATCCCAGCTCCTCCATCTAGTAGCTGTTGTGATCTATGGCAGTGTCTGAATCTCACTGACCTCTGGTCTCTAGCAGACAAAACGGGAAAGATAACACCTACTGCAAGGGCTATGATGAGAAAGAAGTGAGATAAACACTGAAACTCTCCATTGCTGCATGCTTACTGTATGTTAGGCACACGATGTCTCACTTAAGCTCATTACATCAAGTCATCGCCATTATCGTTGCCATCAGGATGTGTAGAAGCCCGCACATACAAGAGAAACTAAGTTAATGATAAGTGTGATGGTGTCATTTATGGCATCACTATCATTTCTATTACAGGTGATGTGCACACCTCACAGTCCTGGGGTAGGTGGAAGCTTCTCTGAATCACATTATCAACCATCTCGGGAAGCCTGCCGTGAACAATTCCATGACACAAGAATCATCCTCTAAAACATATATAGGCTTTCTTGTCCTTATTCTCTAACCCTTGAATATATTAAGCAGTTTGAAATGAAAATGGATTGTCCTTGTTTTGTAAGCAGATTTGAATATTTTTCTTCCATATCTATTACCTCTCACACAGTGCTTGCCCAAGTACTGGGCATGTTAATATCTCATAAATAAATTTTGTATAAAATAAGTTTACTGTGTTTTCCCATTCGAAAAGCAATTTAGGCTAGTTATAATGAGCTTGGAACCTATAGGCAGGCAGGAAGTGGAAATAAGCTCTGAAGGGCGGTGGGCAGTGCTAAGTTGTTCAAGGGTCTTTGGAAATCAAAATGCAAATCCCAACCTGCAAACTATATGACTGGAGGGGTGGCTGCTTTCTTCACAAAACCCCAGCAAGCTGGAACACGTGACTTATTTGGTTTTCAGCTACATCTTGCTCTGCTCAGCATGACCTGGGCCTAGCAGAGCAACTGGCAGAAAGGAGATATTTGGTCTGAGCTAACCTCCCCAGCCCAGGCTGAGTCCAGAAATGCTGGGAGCAGGGGAGCTTCTGGTTGCCATAAGAATCTGAATGTGACACTGGCAATTCATGAGTAAGAGGTCACTATGTGAGGGACAGTCCTACACACCCAAATGCCAAGAATGCTGCCCATGGAGAAATACCACGGTTAGTGAAAGTGGCAGTAAAAGGAAACCAGTTGCCCGGGTGCAGCGGCTCACACCTGTAATCTCAGCACTTTGGGAGGCTGAGGTGGGTAGAACCCAAGGTCAAGAGATCATGACCATTCTGGCCAACATGGTGAAACACCATCTCTACTAAAAATACAAAAATTAGCCAGGTGCGGTGGTGCATGCCTGTTAATCCCAGCTACTCAGGAGGCTGAGGCAGGAGAATTGCTTGAACCAGGGAGGCAGAAGTTGCAGTGAGCCGAGATCTCACCACTGCACTCTGACCTAGTAACGGAGTGAGATTCCATCTCAAAAAAAAAAAAAAAAGAAAGAAAGAAACCAGTTAGAAAGCAATGTGCTTGACAGTAAAACAGAGTTCCATGTGTATGAATGCACGGAGTGAGTCTGGAAGATCTTACAGCCCCAAAAGTTAATGGTGGTAACCCTCTGGGCAATGGAATTAGGGGAGCTTCAGAGTGATTTTTTTTCACTTGGCAAATCTCTATTGTAATTATTTTTCCTGCAAAGATGTTTTGTGATGCATATGATGTGATAAACAAGAAAATAAAGATTGTATTTACTTTCAGATTTTTTTTTCCCTAAAGATAGGTATTATTTGTAAAGACAGTTGAACTATTGAAGGAAGAAATGACTGAATGGAGTGCTTAATGATTAATGGAGTAATGGATCCACTGAGGGGAACCCTTTTTAGGGGCAGCAGCACCCTCATCCTTCTCCTCATGCTTGAACTCCCTGGGATCTGGAGGGACATAAAGAGTCCTTTATCTTTCTCCAGGTCCCACCAAGTCTCCGAGTTTCTGCAGGTGGCTTGTTAGTCACAGAAGTGCAGGTGAAATGGAGAAAGCTGCTTATCAGCCTGGGCCAGTGCAGATGCTATCACTGAGGTCCAGAGCCACACAAGAGCCTCAGTCTGACCTGTGTTTCTCTCCTGTTCCCCCTAAGATCCCCCCACGGCCATCTGATAAGACACATTTAGCTGTCTAGTTTGCATGGTCCTGACAATTTTCATTCAAAACATATGCAAATACTGAGGGCAGGTTGCTGAGGACAGAGGTTGTGGTGAAATGCTTCTAAACTTTTAACCAAATCATTCTATTAACCCCAAGAAGAGGAGCCTTTGATTTAGGCCTCAATTTGCATCAAAAGGACAGTTAGGCCTCTGTTCATTTCTACCTCCATCTGGCGGCTTATCTCCTCTCTGGGAAAGGGGAATTAGCAACGAGACACAGTGACTTTCCCAGAAGCACTGGGCTTGTTGACTCCTGGCGAGGTGGCCACTAAAGCCCCCTTCACTCACCAGCTGGGCCCTGTATGAGATGGAGCCTGGGCAGGCTCCAGGCAGGTTCCCAAGCCACAGGCCATTGGTCAGAGTCTGCACTTGCCAGAAGCAGTGGCAGGGTCAGCTGGGCGGGCAAGGCATTAGCAAAAAGTGCTGCACTAATCCAGCTGATGAATGAACGCTCTGAAAACAGCACCTTTGGAGTGGTAACTGGATACCTTACCAAGGGAAGCAGGTGATCTCCAGGAAGGCCACAGGGAATTCTGCAGAGGCATTTCCTGCTTCCTCACCCAGGCCTGGTGGTCTCAGGCTACCTTCTTCTAAATCCCAGACAGAACATCTGTTCAGACCAGTGGTCCTGGTGGCACCTGCTTCATGGGCACACAATTTGTACAGTCACATGGGGACCTATGTTTACAAGAACTCTGTCCCCAGTTTAATGCTCTGCTGTTGCTGTCTTGAAATTCCTAATAATCTTTTTTTAAAAGGAACTCCAGATTTTTAGTTCGCACTGGGCCCCATGAACTATATAGCCAATCCTAGACCTGGGTTACAGCATGGCACTGACACGGTCCTCCGCAGTCCTGGGGAAGGCTGAGGTAGCTGCTGCGCCTGAATTTGGCATTCAAGGCCTTTTCCAGCTTAGTTTTCTGACTGCCTTTCCAGTTATCCCCATATCCCACACTCTTGGGAACATGTCACCTTCTGCCAAAGATTCTGCCCCGCTCCTCCCTGCCTTTGCGCTTCTTATTCCCTGTGAGTGGTTAACCTGTCCCTCTTATATCCGTGCAGACCCTCTCTCAGATTTCTTGACCACAGAGGAGAATCTTTTTCTTCCTGAAGATTTTTTTTGACAACCTGCAGGCAGAGTTAGTGGCTCCATCTTCTTGACACCTCCGGTTGGAGCTCTTAGTGAATTCCAGAATGATCGTGCATCTGTCTCCAACGAGTCTTATTAAAAGTATTTAACAACAGGTATGGTAAAAGCACCAAACAATCAGAGCCAGTGGACGGAGGCCAGGCACAGCCCTGGAGCAGTGTCGCTGCTGGATTTGGGGAATCAGGGTGCCCTCAGGGCCCTGAGTAGGCGCTGTATACCAATCATTAAGGAGTATTTCAACTTTGAAAAGCAGGTCCCACTCTCCGGGTGTGGCCTGGCTGACTGGAGAGCGCCCCACTCCACCATGACCCTCAGCAGGGGTCGTGTGTGGTTCCTCTGTCTGTCCTGGTGTCTAAGACAGGGCTTGGCCAGAGTCAGTGCTCAGAAAAGGAGGATGGATGGGCTGGGGAAAGTCTATGATAATGGGTTTCTTCCTGGCATCCTTCACAGAGGGAGGGAATGATGAGACTGTTTGGAAAATCTGGAGACATTCGTCTCTCCAGTTTTCCCCAAGGGCCCTTCTCAGCTAATGAACCCAGCATATTGCAAAGTGTCCTGCAGTGACTGGGAGAAAACAAAAGGAAAAGGAAGCAGTCCCAGGCCACACGCATCCACACAAGACACATAAACACATGTTCACACACAAGCATGCCCAGTATGCGTGCAAACTTGTGTGTACATACCACTCAAACCCACCACATACTACACACACCACATACTCCCCAATACACCCTCATGCCTCCTAAAGCCAGGAGCAACCCATGGGAGCCAGCATGTGGGCCAGGTGGGCATCTGTGCTGGGTTAGGAGAATGGCCAGGGGGTGGGGGCTGCATGGATGCTCTAGAGGGAGAGAGGCCGTGGTGCTGGGAGGATCTGGAGAGGAAGAGAGGAGGGAGGCCAAGGGCACAAAGGAGAGAATGGGGCAGCAAGGCTTCATCTGGCTGGGGCAGAGAATGGGTCTTAGGAGGCCAGGAAGAAGGAAGGTACAGACAGGCAGGTTCTTGTAGGGGGAGGAAGGAGGAGACTCACGTGTGGAGAACCTTCTGCGTGTCAGGCATACGCTAGAGGTACTGCAGGTATCATCCCTGCTAATTCTTATACCTACCCCATGAGGTAGATGTACATCCCTCACTGCAAGGGGGATGATCCTCCTATTTCACAAATCAGGCTCAGACCGATGAAGTGACCCGCCCAGGGCTCCACAGCTGAGGAATGGAGCCCAGGTGTAGACCCAGGTCTGCAGGATTCCAAATCCCCTGTTATGTCCCCGTTGCTGTCCATCTGGTAAAAAGGTGTGTCTTTTGGCCTTTATTCCCACCTGCGCTGGGCCACACTTCTTGTCTTCCTAAAGGATGCACCTGAGCAGCCCATCCTCCCATCTTACATTTCCATGAACTCTAGCTGGGAAAGCATGGGCACTCGATGCAGGGCAGGGGATCGAGGCCAGCCCCCGGCTTCTCAGCCTCAGCACTACTGACAGTTGCAGCCAGATCATTCTTCATTATGAGGAGCTGCCCTGTGCCTTGTAAGATGTTTAGCATCTGTCTTAGTCCATTCGGCTGCAATACAAAAACATATTCGGCTGCAATACAAAAACCATATAGCTGGTGGCTTCTAAACAACAGAAATGTATTTCTCCCAGTTCTGGAGGCTAGAGGTCTGAGATCAGGGTGCCAGCATGGTCAGGTTCCCACGAGGGCCCTCTTCGGGGTTGCAAACTGCTGACTTCTCTTTGTATCCATACGTGGTGGAGAGAGAAAGAGAACACTCTGGCCCCTTCTTACAAGGGTACTAGTCCCAGTTATGAGGGCTCCTTCTCATGACTTAATCACCTTCCAAAGGCCCCACCTCCTAATACCATCACATGAGGGGTTGTTAGGTTTTCAACACAGGAATTTTGGGGGGACACAAGCATTCAGTCCCTAGCAACAGCATCCTTGGCTTCTACCCACTAGATGCAAGTAGCACCTTCCCTTTTCTAAACACCCAGTTGTGACAACCAAAAATTTCTCTAGACATTGCCAAATGTCCCCTGGAGGGAAATTCACTCTCAGTTGAGAACTGCTGGGCTGGATAGATAGCTGGTTGGGAGGACGCAGAGGGGATTTCCAAGTCTTTGGCTCCTTCTACAAAGATTTGTCAGCTCTCAGATAAGCACCTGTCCTTCTGGCCTAGGTGCTGATGAGTCAGGCCCAGTGGCAGGGGCTGGACAACATGACCTCTGGAGGGCCTTCTGCATGGGCGCAGCAGATCTGGCAGGGGGCCAGTCCCGCCCTCCCCCAGGGGTGACTGGGGCCCCATAGAGATACTTTGTCCAACAGCTCCCTTCCACCAGTATCCCCAGGACATGCAGACCCAAGGGCCAATTATAAAAATGAAAAATCCAGGTCTCGGCCTCAAATGAGTAGTTTCCTTTGGCACTTTGATTCTCTTGTAATAAGCGCCTAGTCACCAAGGAATCCCAGGAATGTGGCCTTGATAATGAAAATAGGCGCCTGGCCCAGAGGGGCCCACTCACTGGACTGGCAGGCAGGCCTCAGCAGGTAGCCTCCAAATCTCAAGCAGCAATTCCCCTGCTGGGCAGGGGCACTTGATGAAATTGGCTGTCCCCACTCGGCCCTGGGACTGTTTCCACATCCCTGTTTCCAGCTGCCTGGCTGCAGCACCCGCCTCCTGAAGAAAGCAAGAATCCTTATGAATGTCTGGCTCCGTATCAGGAAAAACAAAACATAACCCAGCCTCCAACCTAACATTTTTTGATTGTTTACTCTTTCATTTAATATCCCAACAATGATACTATTATTATCCCCATTTTACAGACAAAGGAGTTGAGGCACAGAGAGGTTAAGTCACTTGCACAAAGACTCTACTCTGGAAAGTAGAGTTGCTGAGATCTGAACCTGGGCAGCTGTCTTTGGAGTTGGTGCTCTTAAGAATTGCACTTCTGGGATTACAGGTTTGAGCCACTGAGGCGGGTGGATCACCTGAAGTCAGGAGTTCGAGACCAGCCTGACCAGCACGGTGAAACCCTGTCTCTACTAAAAATACAAAAATTAGCCAGGCGTGGTGGCAGGTGCCTGTAATCCCAGCTACTCGGGAGGCTGAGGCAGGAGAATCGCTTGAACCCAGGAGGAGGAGGTTGCAGTGAGCCAAGATCATGCCATTGCACTCCAGCCTGGGCGATAGAGCAAGATGCCATCTCATAAAAAAACAAAACAACAGACCTCAGTGTGTGACGTTCCCCTTCCTGTGTCCAAGTGTTCTCATTGTTCAATTCCCACCTATGAGTGAGAACATGCGGTGTTTGGCTTTTTGTCCTTGCGATAGTTTGCTGAGAATGATGGTTTCCAGCTTCATCCATGTCCCTACAAAGGACATGAACTCATCCTTTTTTATGGCTGCATAGTATTCCATGGTGTATATGTGTCACATTTTCTTAATCCAGTCTATCATTGTTGGACATTTGGGTTGGTTCCAAGCTTAAAGTATAATAAATATATGTATATTTATTATACTTTATACATTACATAAATATATGTTATATTTTACATTATACATAAATATATATGTCATATATATGTGCATATATATGTATATATGTATATATGTCATATATATGTGCATATATATGTATATATGTATATATATGTCATATATATGTGCATATATATGTATATATGTATATATATGTCATATATATGTGCATATATATGTATATATGTGTATATATATGTATATATGTGTGTATATATGTATATATGTGTGTGTGTGTGTATATATATATATATATATATATATATATATATATATATATATAAAACAAAACTAAACAAAACTGCACTTCTACTGCAAAGTGACCAAGGTATTTGGGCCCCCAGGGCTAAAACCTTACTATATCCTGTGAAAAACAAGGATCTTGGAGGAATTGAGGAAGAAGAAGTGCTACTTGCCTGGCCTGGTCAGGGAAGCCCACCTTCTTTGGGGCTCCTCCTGAGGCCCTGAATCTTTTGTTTTACTACAAAACAGCGTGTCCCAATTTCAGGATGCCAATCCCCAGAAATCAGTAGAATGAGGTGGTTTAGGGCACCGGCTTGAGTCCCGAGGGACTAGAGATGCAGGACCACCTCTGCTAGCCAATGTGTGCCAACAGGCGAGTGACTGAACACATCAGCGTCCTCATCTATAAAGTGGAGAGAACAGTACCGACTTCATAGCATCGTGACACTTAACGAGAGAGTGAACATGAAGCCTGGTGTCCGGGAGATCTGCAGACATCTTGACTACTATTTTGGCGAATGATGTGGGGGATCACCTAATGCCCTTGGAAGTGAGATGCTACCGCGTCACCTAGGGCAGGTTGTCAAACTTCTCTGGTATTCAGTTGGCTCACCTGTAAAATAGAGGCAAGAAGGAGATCCCATTTCAGGGCCCAGGGCTGGAAGTGGAATATGCAGGGAGCGTCAGCGGGTGAGGATGGCAAGAGCAAAGGCTCAGAGGTGAAAACAGCATTGGCTGGCTCAGGATTCCAGGCAGTTCAGGATACTCAGAGAGGGCAGCAGTTGGGCACTCGTGAGAGCTGAGACTACGAGATGGGCAGGCTCCAATTTTGAGGATGAAATCCTCTCCTGGCTTCTGAAGCGCAGGGACGTTGGAGGGACAAGAGGTTCTGACATCAGCTGAAATGATTATTGACTGTGCCCTTTTGTTCCCAGCACGCCTGGGGCTTACAGCTGGGTTTTCAGAGGACTGAAGGTTAGCAGAGGGAAGGAAACAGCTTGACTGGGCTGGGAGGAAGATAATTCGAGGGTGCAAGGCCCCAGGGCAGTACCTCCTCCTCCTCCCCTGTACCCTGGTCCCTTCTCACACACACACACACCATTATGTGGCACTTACAGTGGGCTGATTGTGAGCGCCAAGGTCCCAGGGCAGGGGCTGGGCTGGAGCAAAATTCTCCTAATAATAACCTCTCTCCATTAAGGGCTTGCTACACACCTGCCGCGAGGCTAAGGACTTCCCCAGCTTTATCTCACTTAATCCTTACCAGGGCTCTGCAAGGTATGGATGATGCTCCCTCTTTCATGAGGAACTAAGGTTCAGAGAGGCTGAGCACTCTGCTCAAGGTCACACAGCTGCCAAGTGGCAAACCAGGGTCCAGCCACGGGTGATCCAATCCCAAGGCCTTCACTAGTGTGCTCTCTGTAGCTCTTTCAAAGGGCTGTTCCCCTTAAACAGGCGATGGAAGTAGGGTGGGAACCCCCCAAACCTCCTTTTCGAGCTCCCTTAAGAGTTGATCCCTTTTCAGGTCCAGTTAGTTCAACATTTAAGTGAGTGATTTCCATAAACACTGTTTTTTAAGTTCAGTCCTCTAAGATATGTCACCTATTTGAAGATACACCATTGGTTTAATGATGACTTTCAGAGAGGAAATATAAAGGAAGAGCACATTAGCGTAATGTGCTCTGATTTCTCCCACTTTACATCATGGGAACACGAGCATCTTAGAATGGAGGAGATGTTGGATCAGACTCTGTTAAACACCAGCGACAAAAATACGAAGAATGAGACTCATGGGAAAATTCATGCTCCAGCTGTTCTTTCAAATAGCCAATACATTTGGTATCTACTTTTTATTAAAATGTCATTTACATAGAGTGTAATCCACACATATTAACAGAGTTCTTTCATATGTCTACACCCACACAGTCACCATCTCTTCATTGAATATTTATTAAGCACTATTTTTCAAAGGCCAGAAATACAATTAGGAGCATCATTGGCAAGGTCTCCTCCCTCAATGCAGTGGAAAGTGCCGGGAGGCAGAAGGATGAAGTACACAAAGACCTCCACAAAATTATTGCAATTGTGCTGGTATAATGAGAAAACCAAGCAGTGTGCAGAGATCAAGAAGAAAGAAAAGGAGCCTGCATTTTAAATAGGGTGGTCAGGGATAGTCTCTCTTGTGCAGGAAGCTGGAACCTGAAAAATCAAAGTGTGGTATCCCCAGGAAAAAACATCCCAGGCAGAGAGAACAGAAAGTGTGCAGTTGCTGAGAAGGCAGAGAGCTGACGCTGGAGAAGACTTGTGTAACTGGTGGACATGGGCAATGGTGAGAAGCACCTAGAGAGACGGGCATTGGCCAAGTCAGCCGGATACGTGGGGGCATTGGGATTTGCTTCTCTGCCAGGTGTGTGCCATAGGGGCATTGGTGTTACGGGCAGGAGATCAGAGAAGACTTCATTAGGTGGTCACTTCCCACTGCCAGGTCAGCTGGACATGGGAAGGGCATTCCAGGGAGGGCACCGTGTGTCTGAGGGCACAGTGGTAGAAAGTAAGGATGCTTGTTCAACTGCCTCCCCAGGGCCCTACCTGGCTGGAACCTAGAGGAAAAGGGGACACAGAGGGGAGCCGGGTGGGAAGGGTGACCAGTGACGCAGAAGAGGCACCCACAGACCTGTCCCTCGTGGGTGCTAAGGGAGTTCAGATATTATCCAGAAAGCAGTGCGTCAAAAAGATCCTCCATGCAGTATGTACAGTGAATTGGAGACATCACAGACGTGGCATAGGATTAGGCCCTAGAGGCACCAGGGGGTCTCTGAAAACTGCAGTGGATGGGTCTCCTGTGAGCATCGCAGTGTGTACAAAGAGTCCCATAGCACTTGTGTCTGTTCCTGCTGCCCTATTTGAGGAAAGGTACTGTGTTTTATTTTGAGATCCATGGTGCCTGGACATAGCAGGTGCTCAGGAATAACTGAATGAGTGGATTACCATCTCACATGTGCTGTTACCATCCCCTCTCCCCAGTCCATCCCCAGTCGCAGTGTCTCCTCCCTGAAAGCACTCAACACCCCAGATGCCCAGCCCACCCCCACCTCACCCAGGTGTACAAAAAACCCTTACTGGCCACAGCATTTAGACACACTTCTGCTCAAATCTTGGCTCTGTTGCATACTTGCAAGGTAGTGAACCTCTCTGACGCTCAATTTTCCTATTCTCTTAAGTGGGGGTAATAATAGTGGGAACTCCCAGAGTTGTGGAGAAGATTCGACAAGTGAATGCACACTTCCTGGCCACAGCGAGATCTTGTTAGGAAAGAAAGTTGCCAGGGTGAGCTGTAGGCCTTCCCTGTCCAGTCCTGGCCTCCCACTGCCACCCATAACAGAACAGAATCCACCGGAAAGGCAGAAGCACAGGCTGTGGACATTGGTATATGATATCTCTGTCTCCTGTGTCTAGTACTACAGGCTGGCAGTTTTTCCAAAACTGGTATTAATCTGCAAATCAATCCAAGTGATATAATAAGAATGAGACTATCTATACACCCCAGAAGCCAGGACTCAATCAAATCCTTCTATTTTTGAAAGAAGCCCTCTGAGCAACTTTTCTTAGGACTATATTAAGACTAACAGGCTGGTCACTCCTCACCATCACCTCCCACAAGTCCTTGAAAGCCTCCCTGACCTGAGGTGCGTGATCCAAGATGTGTGGGTCTTCCTTGGGCCAGTAGCGGGGCCCAGGGCTGAGCTGCGGTCACCAGAGATCCAGAGGTGGGAGAGAAGCTGGATCCTCACATGGCTTCTGCATACAAGTCACATGAAGTGTCAAGTGATGGACTGTTGCTAAAACCCTCAAAGCTGAATCCCCAGCTCATCCAAATACATGTGCACATTAGAGAGAGGGACATTTAAGCATCCTTTGGGATGAGAGAGGCAGGGTTTAAATACCAACCTTGTCCCTTATTTGCCACCTGATTTTGGAGTATCAGTTGGGATTAAGGTAATGTGCAAATTAAAAGAGGCACCAAATAATAGTGACTAAGTAAGATAGAAATAAATGTCTGACGGGCAGCAGTCTATGACTGATGTGGCAGTCCTTAGTGCCAGGAACCCGGGCTCTGCCTTGCATAGATCTTTCCAAAGATCTTGCCCTTCACAGAGCACGATAGCTGCTGAAACTCCAGCCCTTATGCTCACATTCTAGCAGGCAGAAAGAAGTAAGGAACAAGAAAGGGGAAATCTTCGCCTCCTAGCTCCTTTTAAGGATACTTCCTGGAACCGTATACATCATCTCAACCCAAACCCCATTGGCCAATCTTAATCACATGACCACACATGGATGCAAGAGAGCTTAGGAAAGGTCATTATTCTGGTTAGCCATGTGTCCAGATAAGAATCAGAGAGTCTAGTCCTAAGGAATAGGGAAGATCATCTATTGAGGGACAGCTGGCAGCCTCTGCCACCATGGGGCAAAATCACATCCTCTCTGATCTCTGCTTTTTTAATCTGTAAAATGGGATTAATAATAGTATTCATAGGGTCATTACGAGAATTAGCTGAGATTCTGTAATGTGCCAAGCACATTGCCTGGACTATGGTGAGTGCTCACTATCTTTCAAGAGATACTCACCTTATTGAGTCATGACTCACACCTTTGAATATCTGCAATAAGAACCAGCAGAATTGCTCTTTCAAAACTCATCTCAGGCTGATTTAATGTTGTGTTATCTTAATGGCAATACCTGGTTTGCAAGAGGGAAAGAGAAGGAACTCACGGAGGCATCACTGCTGGGTTGTCATTATCCCTCTTTTACAGATCAGCACGGTGAGATGCACAAATGTAAAGGACAGATGGAAGGTTACCTAGTTAAAAGAAAAAGCTACACTTTGAGCCTGGTCTTCTCTCAAGCCTGGGCACCTAACACTGCATTATACTGCCACTCTTCTGTGAATACCATGGGCAAGCATCCTTGTGCCCAGGAGATCCCAACGGGAAAGACTTGTCTTGGAAGACCATGTTTCATGCTGCAGGAACTTTCATAGCCAACCCTGTGGGCTCTAACAGGATGCTGCCCAAACACCCTCCACCTGCAGATGAGCTCGGGCGCCACATCCAGCGTTCTCTGTGGAAGCCTGCAGCCCCTAGGCCATGGTGGGAGCTGCGCCTCCCAGTGGGATGGGGGTCTTCTGGTGGTCACCAGCCACCACGCTCCTTGGCACACAGTGCTGCAGTGCAGGTTTGCTCCAGTCCCAGCCTGAATCTTGTGTGGGTAATTGCTCAGCACTAATGTTAGAGTGTGACATCACAGGGCCTTACTTTTTCACAATTGCTACCTGTGGGTGCTGGTGCTGTGGCTGAAGTTCCGGGTTGGCTGAGATACCCAGAAGGAACCACAATTGCTCAGGGGCCTTCCACCTACAGGAGCCAAGGAAGCCAAGCCAAGGAGCTCTGCCAAGCCTGGCACCAACTCTGTCCACGAGGAGGGTTTGGTTGAGCTCTGGACACTCATGCGCCATGAGACCTCAGCCCGAATGCAGAGGGTGCGGGCCCAGACTCTCTTTGCAGTTGTGGCCTAGAAAGCTCTGAAAGACCTGCAGGGTGGTGGGTTAGAGGGACTGCAGGGGTATGGAAGGAAAGGTCTGCTTCTGAGAGTCCTTCCTTGGGCTCTTGTCCTCAACTATCTCCTGGCAGCTCAGCCCGGCTGAAGAATAAGGTGCCAGGAGTGGGAGGGAAGAGGAGTCCCAGGGAACTGGGGAAAGCTGAGGCTGAAGCATCCACCAGGATTCCACTGTGTGTGTGTGTGTGTGTGTGTGTGTGTGTGTGTGTGTGTGTGTGTGTGTGAGAGAGAGAGAGAGAGATGTATTTAGGCAGGATTTGATGCTGCAGGCTTGGGACAGGGAGACATCTTCTATATGCTATGATGTGCACCCACAGTCCCTGGCATCTAGAGCTGGTCATGCTTCTGAGCTGTGGGATAATTTCTATCCAAAGCCAGCCTTGGTCTGGGCTTACCTACTCCTTCTGTGCCCCCCATCCCACCTCCTTTCTGTGTCCTGCACCCACTCTGGCCAGCACTCATCAATGTGTCTTCACTGACCTGGTTATACTGCAAACTCCTTGAAGGCAGAGGCCATGCATTAGTGCAGCACCTGGTGTGCAGTAGCAGCGGCTCAACGATGGCAAAAGAATAAATTCTCATTTGGAGGCTGTCCTGGTGTCATGTGTATCTCTCTTCACCCTCACCCTCTTGACCCTCTGGCAGATCACATACCCCTGCAGGACAGTGGTGTTGACAATCTTTGGTACAACGCAGGCCTGGGGATGAATGGTGGTTCTGACATTTGCATGCAACCTGTTTACAAAAAAAAAAAAAAAAAGTTGTGATTGATTGATAGTGTCATTCACTCATTTTTTTTCTTCACTTGCCCATTCAATGAATTTTCATGAGGTACCAATGTACCCAGGCTCAGGTTCTGGTGCTGGCTTCACACAACAGAGAACAGGCTATGATCTCTGCTTGGAATGAATTCACCATCGGAAAATGACCTCACAGCACATCTCAAGGGCAGCGACTGCAGGCTATGAGACGAGCAGGGCAGGGACATCTAACCCAACAGGAAGAGGAGCATGTGGCTTCTTGCTAGACATGGCAGCTGAGCTGAGCCTGGACGATGTGTGAGAATCATCCAGGTCACGTCCAGGGAGCTGAATGGGGCTGGCAGGGAGAAGACAATATGGGAAAGCGGTCTGTTCAGTCCTGTCAGGGCAGCCCTGGAGTCCAGTGTATGGCAGGGGAGAGATGTCCCAGTGGAACAATTCTTTGACGTTCTGGCTGGGAATTGGGTATTTTTCCTCCATGACTTTTCAGCATCCAGGCCCCCTGCTCATCTGGTTCTTGCCATAAATAGTTCACCTTGTGCCAGGTTGAAATGAGGCCTCCCTCCTCAACTCCCCCCATTCCTTCCCTCTTTCCCCCTGGTTTGGCACATACCTCCTTCAGGGAGCCTGAGCCGAGTAGGGAGGGGACTGAGGGAGGCAGGAATAATGGTGTGGACAACCACAGCAACCTGGGAGATGCCAGGCTCTCCTCGTCCACAGAAATCCATGCCTGTCAAATGCAAGCTTAGGTGTTCTGCCTTGCTGTTCCCATCTGTAAAATTGGGGTTAGATAACCACACTTCAATTAAATGCAATCTAACACCTATTTATTGAGCTCCTTTTACATTCTAGGCACTAGGTTAGTTTCTGGGGGTACAGAAGTGAACACAGACGTAGTTTCTACCCCACCGAGGTCTCAGTGTATCTTCTCCTAGCTCACTGCTTGGCCAAATCCTATCATCTTTCAGCTTAAATGTTTCTTCCTCAAAGGGGCTTCCTGACCCCTAATCTACAGTAGAGCCTTGCTTCTCTTTGGCGGCACTCCTTCTTCCCATCAGAGTTTGTAGTTATATCTTGATTTTGGTTGAATATCTTTACAATCCTGTCCCCTTCAGTAGGCCATGTCCCATGGGACATTGGTTTAACATTTCATTTCTTGAGCTTGGCACATAACTGATCCAGCTAAAAAATATTTGTTGAATAAAAGAAAGAATTGGGGAAGACAGATGTTAAATATGTGATTTCAAGTGGGAAGAATGTTCTCTCTGCAAAGAAAACTTCCCTCAGGCTGCTTGCCTTTAGGATCTCCTGAGGTTATGTTCTCACCAGTGGTGTGGCTAGCTTCTTCTTTAGGGCAGGGACTGTCTTATGGGACCCAGCAAGGTGCCTAGAAGAGCCAGTATTCAGAATACTGACTGAATGCCAACATGTGCCAGACACCATGTTATGCCCTTTTTGAAACATTCTGTCTTTTAGTTTTCACTCAATGGCCCCTTGCACAGTTGAGATATTGAGGATTTTCCATAACTGGCACTCCATAGAAGTTTACAGTTTGATGAAATCACTAGGGTTGATCTAGTCTCGAGATTATAAAAAGTTTGGTCGGCAAAGCCTGAGTGCTGTCCTCTCAATCTCCTTCCCAGACAGCACGAGATTCACCACTCGCTTCACCTTCTCCACCAACTACCAGTCCCTAGGCTCCGTTCAGCCTCCCAGCTATGGTGTCCAGCTGGTCAGCAGCGCAGCCAGCGTCTATGCAGGCGCTGGGGGCTCGGGCTCCCGGATCTCTATGTCCCGCTCCACCAACTTCCAAGGCTGCTTGGGGTCTGGGGGCCTGGCTGCGGGGCTGGCCGGGGGTCTGGAGAGAATGGGAGGCATCCACAAGGAGAAGGAGACCATGCAAAGCCTGAACGACTGCCTGGCCTCCTACCTGGACAGAGTGAGGAGCCAGGAGACCGAGAACCAGAAGCTGGAAAACAAAATCTGGGAGCACCTGGAGAAGAAGGGACCCCAGGTCAGAGACTGGGGCCATTACTTCAAGACCATCGAGGAACTGAGGACTCAGATCTTTGCAAATACTGTGGACAATGCCCGCATTGTTCTGCAGATCAACAATGCCCGTCTTGCTGCTGATGACTTTAGAGTCAAGTATGAGACAGGGCTGGCCATGCGCCAGTCTGTGGAGAGCGAAATCCATGGGCTCTGCAAAGTCACTGATGACACAAATGTCACTCGGCTGCAGCTGGAGACAGAGATCGAAGCTCTCAAGGAGGAGCTGCTCTTCATGAAGAAAAACCACAAAGAGGAAGTAAAAGGCCTACAAGCCCAGATTGCCAGCTCTGGGTTGACCATGGAGGTAGATGCCCCCAAATCTCAGAACCTCACCAAGATCATGGCAGACATCCGGGCCCAATACAAGGAGCTGGCTCGGAAGAACCAAGAGGAGCTGGACAAGTACTAGTCTCAGTAGATTGAGGAGAGCACCACAGTGGTCACCACACAGTCCGCCGAGGTTGAAGCTGCTGAGGTGACACTCAATGGAGCCGAGACATACAATCCAGTCTTTAGAGATCGACCTGAACTCTTTGAGAGATCTGAAAGCCAGCTTGGAGAACAGCCTGAGTGGAGGCCCACTACATCCTTCAGATGTAGCTCAACGGGATCCTGCTTCACCTGGAGTCAGAGCTGGCATAGACCTGGGCAGAGGGGCAGCTCCAGGCCCAGGAGTGCCAGGCCCTGCTGAACATCAAAGTCAAGCAGGAGGCTGAGATCACCACCTAACGCTGCCTGCTGGAAGACGGTGAGGAATTCAGTCTTGGTGATGCCCTGAACAGCAGCAACTCCATGCAAACCACCCAAAAGACCACCACCCACCATATAGTGGACGGCAAAGTGGTGTCTGAGACCAATGACTCCAAAGTTCTGAGACATTAAGCCAGGAGAAGCAGGGTCCACTCTGGGGAGCAGGAGGCCAATAAAAAGTTCAGAGAGCAAAAATAAATAAATAAATAAAAGGCCTGCATTTCATGGGCCATCATCTTTTTGTGTGTGTGCATCAACTAATTTGAGAACTGTGCTGAGAAAGATTCTGTGGTTGCAGTGGGCTGGAGGTGGCCCCCAGGACATATGTCCATGCCCTAACCCTGGAAGCCTGTGAATGGGACCTTATTTTAGTTTAAGAATTGGAAAATGTGAACACTCGCATTTGCAGATCTAACTAAGTTAAAGATCTTGGGATGTGCTTATCTGGGTTACCCAGGTGGACCCTAAAATCAATGACAAACGTCCTTTTAGGAAACAGAAGAGGAGAAGACACGGACACAGAGAAGGGGAGAAGGCCACGTGATGACAGGAACAGAGATGGGAGTTATCAGCCATGAGCCAGAATGCTGTGAGCCACCAGAAGCTGGAAGAGGCCAGGAACAACTCCCCGTGGAGCCTCAGGAGGGAGCTTGGCTCTGTTGACACATTGGCCTTCAGAACTATGACAGAATAAACTTCTGTGTTTCAAGCCACCCAGTTTATGACAGTTTGTTAAGGCAGATCTAAGAAACTAATCCAGTGGCCTCTCAGCTCGATGGGAAGAAGCGCCCTGGTAGATCCTATGCCTGAGTGGGCAAGGGAGGCCACATGACAGGGCACGTGCTAAGGATCGAATGTGTTTGACTTGGATTGACCAGGTCTTCAGGCTGGGGCTTCCTCTGTGTAAACAGACACCAGATCACTCCATCACCGAGTGATTCAGCATAAAATGGTGCATAGATGGAGCAGGATAGAGTTCCTTTGTGGGAGTGGGAGGAGGGGTGTGGGGAGCAGTGGCAACACCAGTAGCTTTGTCATCATTGGCTGAATAATAATGAAGGGGGACAACATTTGGGGAACTTGGGGAAAGTAAAGATGGTGGCTGGTCATCTTTTTCATCCCCCTGCCTGCTGCCTGTAGGTAGGACCACAGTGAATTGTGACTCATCCAGGAAGATGATGGGGAAGTCGTCCTGGCTAGGGCTTCTGCTTCTGTTGGAGTCGCCCATTCCAAGGTTTAACGACCCTTCCCATCAGGGCTTTCCTATCACATTTGAGCCATTCACTGCCCCATTTGAACCTTAGTTTTCCTGCCCAATCTACAACCAAATATCAACCAAATCCCATCCATCATGTAACAAGAGGGAGCCCAGGGTGGAGACAAGCAGCCCAGGACGCTGGCTCACATCCTTTCTTGCTGTGTGATTTTGGAGAACTTCCTATCACTGGTCCTTAGTTTTCTCATGCGCAAGATGAGAAGAAATTAACAATGCCTGCTCCAAGAAGTTGCTTTGAGGATTCAACTAGATCACAGGTATAAACAAGACCAGTGCACACATTTAATAACTGTGCAAAATGTTCAATTTAAAAGCAAAATTTTGAGACAAACAAACAAAAAAAGCAAGCAAAATTAGCTGTCCCATTGAATTCCAGACCCTTTAGCCTTTCCTCATGGGTTTTCTTTAGTAATCACCATTTATTGAGCACTGACTGTGAGCCAGATACCTTCCATGTCATCTCATTCAGTCCTCGCAACAGCCCAGTGAAGTCAGTACTATTGTTATGCCCACTTAGCAGGTGAGGAAACTGAGGAGAGTGACTTGCCCAAGGCAAAGTATTAAATGGAAGGTCCACCTCTTAGCTATCATATAACTGAATCTCTGCACAGAATACTTCTCTCCTAGTGTTCCTTTGCTGTCTTGGTTTGGAAAGTGGACCCCATTGAATCCCCTTAGACCACAGACTCTTCGAGAAAAGGGAACACAATCCTTGGGGTGTTCTTACACCCAAAGCACTGGTGTGAGAGTCTCGTGCAGGATAAGTATCACTGTGCAGAAAACATGAATAAGTGAGTCAATAAATTAATAAATAATGGAGAGTTTTTAAGGACAACTTTATACTAAGATGAGGGATATTGACATTATCGTCTACCTTCCTGTGTGACACTGTGTCTGACAGCTCTTTCCTTTGTAAAATGGGGATAATAATATGCCCTCTGCCCTGTCATGGGCCCTGGGTCAAGGGACTGTTCAGCTTGAACACAGCCAGATGACGTGGCTTTTGCCTGTCTATATCTCCATCAGTGACTGGGTCAAGGGAATGTTCAGCTTGAACACAACCAGATGACGCGGCTTTTGCCCAAGTCTATATCTCCATCAGTGACCAGTGTAGAGTAGGTATTCCCTGGTTATTTGCTGAATGAGTAAATGATTCAGTACTTCCTCCCCCCCACCCCCAGCCATTTCTAAGTTATTAAAAGCTGCCAACCCAACTTTACATTGGATACACAATGAAGAGGTGGAGTTGTCCTGGTTTGGAGCAGGGTTCTCCCCCATCCTATAGGAATCAGCTGAAAATTGTGGTTTGGTTAGGGCTGGCCCTTCAGTTGGAGCCATGTTTATGCATTCACTTGCTGGAGCCTGGAGCCTAGAGAGGGTTAAACATAGGGCAGCATGGCCTGAGTGTTCTCCAACCCTGCCTTGCCCCATTACCTTGCCTCCAGCTGAGATTAGGCCATTAGTTTACTCATAAACATGTGGCACACTTCACCTGTGCATCTGGAGATAAGGGCCACTTTGAAGCTGTAGCTCTGAAAGCCACACTCTGCACCCCCAGGCCTACCCACCGCCTTGGCCTCAGCAGTCTGGGAGGTTGTTCTCTGCAGGCAGCTCTGCCCTGTCCTTTGGAAACCCCTGTGCTTGTATCAAGATCTTAGGGGCCCAGAATGGCCACACAGACAGAAATGGAATCCATGACGGGGCTTAAAGAATATAAAGAGTCTTGGACCAAGAGGGCACTGGTCAAGTCCTGCAAACCCCAGTCAGGGGGAGGCTGGAGAACCCTCATTCTAGGACTCAGGCTGGAGTCTTCCAAAGGTGAAACTTAAGTAACACCCTATTTCTAGTCCCATCTAAACTCTTTGGCCTTCCTCCTAGGTACTTCTTCCTCGCCAGGCAGATATTAGGAATAACCAAACAACACCAGATTTCCTTTGACAATCCTGATTATGAATGGCTTAACTTGACTCACTAAGACACACTAAGCCCATGGGACAAATCTGGTTTGCTCCTTGTTTTTGGATGGCCCATGGGCTAAGAATGGTTTTCACATTTTTAAATGACAGAAAAAAAAAAGACCATTTTTGACTTGTGAAAATTATGTGAAAGTCAAGTTTCATGTCCATAAATAAAATTCTGTTGGAATAAGCAAGGCTCATTCACTTACATATGGTCTATGTACGTAAACGATACATACATAAATGTATGAGTAGATCTCATTGCTTAGCACTGCTTCCTGGTGCACTGAAAATCACAATGATGCCACAACTATCAGCTATCAGTATGAAAGACATTTTCAGACACAAAATATGGTAAATCCATTACAGATCAGCACTAACAGATAAATATTTACAATTGATTTTGATGTGACAAAATACTAACTTTGAAATCCAATTAAATGAAGTATTATTCCCCCGCCAAAAAGAATTCCATCTTCTCATTAGCAGACCTTTATTTCAAAAAAAAAATGGACTCAGTTGTTATTAATTATTTTTAAATTTTCATCAATAAGAATTTTGTGGACTTTTTTTTCTCTCTTGCATCTTCATAATATCCTAGATTTTGCCTCTTGGTCTACAAAGCCTAAAATGTTTACTATCTGGACTTTTACAGAAAAAGTTTGCTGGTTTCTGACCTAGGCCGTTGAACTATGTCAGAAATTTCATTATTTCAGTCTCCCAACTCCATGTCCTCGATGATCCTATATCCATGGAGAGGCTAGAAATCCTTTAAAGACCATGATCAAAATTTTTGGATTTCCTGCCTCATCATTCTTAGGAAACCATGAAAAATTAACAGGAAGACCCATTCAAATGCATTTCTTGTCCTGGTTTCCTGGTCCACTAATCTCCCTTCCTGGCATAACCAGTGCCCCCTTGATACTCTCAGAGAAGTCTCTCTGATCCATCTAGGGCTCATTAATTTTCCTCTCCTCCGCTCTAACTTCCCATAGGAGAAATTTAATTAATCCTGGCCCCTTGATGGATCAACTGATACCAGACCAATGGAAAATTAACTCTCTTATTCAAATATTTATCAAGCATGGTGCTAGGAGCCAAATCAGTGACAGATCCTACTTGGCATACACCCCAACCCCCAAGAGCAGGATGGCTTGGGGGCACTGGACTGGAATCAGGAATCTTAAGCCTACATTGAGCTTGAACTCCACACTTACTGTCTGTGTGACCTTCTTAAGTGGCTTGATCTTTCAGCCTGCACTTCCTCATCTGCAAAAGACAAAGCTCAGGCACAGTTACCTCCGGGCTAGCTTGAAGATTTATTTTAAACTGGGTAAGTTGGCAATGAGGCACTCATCAGCAGGAAAGGCACTGAGGGTTGCCAATGGCGTCTTCCCTACCAAGCACTGAAACCCAGTCCTCTAGATTTCCCCATCACCAGTCTGGGACAAAATGTCTCTTTAAGCCTTTGCAGACACCATCCCCCCTCCTTCCTGCTGGCCCTTCAACCACATGCCCCCAAGGAGTTCTGGAGCAGGACTTACCTCCCACAGCCCTGGGCTCAGCCAAGCCCCATTTCTTCATCCAGGATCAATTATTTTTTTTCTCCTTACCTTAAAGAATAATAATGAATCATACTGCCAACCCCATAGTCCTTTCTATTATTCTCTCTGTCTGACTTTGGATTTCCTCTTGGGTTGTGTAATTCGGCCTTTACAATATCCTTTCCATGCTAACAAAAACGAAGCACTTGGAAGGAGGTGTTAGAGGAAGGTTTGGTCTCCAAAGCCAGGAGTTTGGTGATTTCTTGCCTCCTACTCAGCCACTTCAGTCACCAAATCCTGCTGCCTTTTCCTCTCTAAATTTCTCAAGTCTACCCACTCCTTCCAAGGCCCTTAACCATTGTCTAGATTGATTGAACCAACATCTGTCTCTTAGTTTCTTGGGACTCCAGTTTCTTCTCTGCTCCTCTCAGCAGCCACAGATATCTTTCTCAGTGCAGGTCTGGTCACATGTCTCTTCCCTACTGCTTAAATCCTTCATGGCTCCCAATTACCTAAAGAATAAAATCTAAGTGTCTCAAGTATTGGTAGCTTACAGCTGAATCTCACATTGTTCGTCCAAAGGAGTACTTTTTTTAGTAGGACTCATGCTCAGCTGGCCCTGAATCTGAGTTTAGAGTCCCTGTAGATTGTTACTCTGCTCACCTCTTGAAATGGACATTTGTCATGTGTTTGCCAGCCATTCAAGCCCCATTTTCTTTATTTCTTTTTTTTCTTTTTTTTTTTTTTTTGGTAAGAATTCTATGTGAATCTTAAAAAGAGTCAGGGCTCAGATACCATCTCTCCTTACCCAGGCAGAGTGGAGGTGTAGGACCTCCACCAAATCAGTTGGATGTTGTGCCTTGGGCTTTGAGTCTTGAGGGCAACATGCAGGCACAGGTAGAGAAATTTCTGCTGAAGGAGTGAGAAGGAGCCAACACTGGGGTTCTAACCACAGTGTCCCAGTGGTGTGGCGCAAAATATAATTCCTGCACCTAGTCTTCCTTGGCCCTCACCTTTTTCTGAACACTGTTTTACAGCCTTACCTTGAACCCACGAGACTCAAGAGCCTTCCCTTCTGTCATTTTCCACTTATGGTTACCTAGAGTGACTTTCTGCTGTTGCAAATAGATGCTGCCATCTCTGTCTCCTCTGTTCCTTGAGCTCAAAGCTCTGACCATCCTTCTTTGCATTGCTATAGACTTCTACCCACTGTTGTTGGTAGGAGAGCAGCCAGCCCCAACATAGAAATGTTTTGTTACATGAGTCAATTAAATTCTCTTGGGTGGAAGTTTCTATCATTTGCTACCAAGAGTCCTGAACTAATACAGTCATTAAATAATAACTGTTGTTAAATTTAGCAAACATCTGCTGAGTACCTACCATAATTTAGGCTCAAGGAGAGGCCAACACTGAACCTCATTGGCCATGAGTAATTTGCTCACTCTGGAGCTGTTTCCCAAGGGAAAAGTCAGGGTGCTGTTACCAGAAAGAGGAGGTGGGCTCTAGACGCTGAGCAGACAAACACAACAATCTCAAAAGCATGTTATCGTCATTGTTATTTTATTAATTTTGAAATGAAGAAAATGTGCTTTCATCCAGAGATAAGGAACCCTGGAGTGGTAGCAGATAGAAGCCAAGCTGTGGATGAGTTTTAGGCGTGTGCCTTCCCCAGGGGAGGTTAATGCCAAATTCTCGGTGCTGGGAAGAGAGGACATGCTTGGTAATTCACTGTGAGGTCTGCCATCAGCCGACTTTCTGCTCACATCTACTTGGATTGCCCCACTGTAGGAATATTATCAGGGAGGTTCGGGAAAAGAGAACATAGGATTGCTTTTAATATCCACTTCCTTATACACCTTCCCACACTCCATTTATTCATTGATAGATTCAGGTTGCTCTCAAGGCTGAAATGCAGAGTTAAAGACCTTGCCCTGTCTGGCCAAGTGGCTTTTATCAAGCCTTCCCTGTGTCCCTGTGCCTCAGTTTTCTCATCTGTTGCCTGAGGGAGAGTTTGAACTGCACTATTGACCTTGCAAGATTGCGTGAAGATCAAATCTGAGATTTCAGTTTTGAACACACTGAAAAATATAAGAGCCTCATAGAAACATCAGCCAAAGTGATGTCTAAGGATAAATGTACTCCTGTCTCCACTGGCTGAAACCATCTGGATGGTATCACATTGTCTGTAGAATAAATATGAGTACTTCCTACGGTCCACAAAGCCCTGCCTGACCTCTCCCCTGCCAAGCCTCCAATATTGTTGTATGTCTCTTTCTCCTTCATCAGCCTCCTTTCTAATCTTCAAGAAATGCAACTTTCCTAGGGCTGGGTCTTGTGCTGGCTGCTCCCTCTGCCTGGCTCAGAGCTTTTCTCTGTTCTCATCTCTCAGGCTCAGCTCAAACCTTGTTCCCTCACAGAAACCTTCCCTGACACCTGAACCAAGTCAGATGCCCTGATGGACATACTCGTAGCATTTGTACTTGTCCTTCTTAGCTTTGATTTCCATTGCAGTTAATTATTTGTATGATGAGTACAGGTTCACAGTCAAATGTGCACATTCAGAGAGAAACTGACACGGAAATAACCATCCCCTACTCACCTTCACACAGACAAATCGTGCAGTAGCCATTTGGGCCTGACAGAGAAAATTCCTTTCTGGTAACATTCAGAAACTAAAAGTTCCTGAAGCCATATCCAACATTCTATCTGCAGATGGTTAATAATCAGATGCTCTTTATTAATTCAGCAAGTAATTATTGAGCACATCTACTGGGTGCCAGGATCTGTGTTCTGTCCTGAGGTGGCTGCAATGAACCAGATGGACAGGACTCTGGTCTCACGGAGTCTACAGGATGGTTGGGAAAACAGAAAACAAACAAGTAAATACATTAACTGGTCCTGAGCAAAATGTTTTCAAACAACCTGATCTTGATTAATTATCATGGGCCTCCCTGTAAATTAGGCCTGGGTAGCCCCCTTGTACAGAGAAGGGTCTGAGGCACAGAGAGGAGAAGGGATTCATGCAAGGGAATGGGTGAATGGCAGGGCTGGAATTTGTCCACTTTGTCACTCAGGGACATTGTTTCCCTCTTTGTCCAGCACATCCTACAGCCTGAGATTCAGATAGAATGAGTCAGAGGCTTTGGTGACTGAAATGGAGCTGAAATTTTGCATAAGCAGGATTTATTGAAAGCAGACCAGATGTCATCACCATCCTGCTGGAAACCAGGCTACTGCCATCTGTATTTTGGAAAAAACAACCACAATTAGAGCACTGCTGCCTGCACTTTAATTGACACACTATTCGGAAGGGTTGCCGGCTGCTCCTGGGGTTGAGTGCTGAGCCCTTTGGTTGCCCTTCAGAGAGCCCTAAGCTTATTGTCTCCCATCTCTCCTGTGCAAATTCTCATTCCCCAACCATTATCCCCATTAGATGGAATAAAATCAATCTCCTTCCCAAGGACTGTGAGGTCCTACCAGCTTCTTCTCCTTCATCCTCCTGACCAGAATAGTCTTTTGGTCGTTCCTCAAATGCGCCCAGCTCATTTCCTCTCCAGGGCCTTTGTACTTTGCTGTTCCCATGGCCTCCAGGAATGCCTTTGTTTCAGATATTTCCATGGATGGCTCCTTCACATGTCTGGCTTCACATGGCTGGCTGCTCAGATGTCACTTTTTCAGAGTGACTTCTTGGACCTCCCTATCTTAAATAGTGTCCCCAGTCACTGTCTGAGTCTTTACCCTGCTTTGGTTTAATTCATAGTAATAATCATCACCTGGCATCAGATTACATTTTTATATAATTGTATAACCTGCTTATGTTTTTATTGGTTGTTTCTCCCATTCAAAGGTAAGCTCCATGAGGGCAGGGAACGTTTTCATTGCTGTATCTTCTATACCCAGATCAGCACATGGCATAAAGTAAGTGCTAAGAAAATGTTGTCGAATGAATCAAATCAGAGCTAGAAGAACCCTCTCCCCTCACTCCGCAGATGAGCTATTTCATCCTTTTTGTTTTATAAGGAGAAACTTTCCCTAGTTAGCATAAAAGGCCGCCATTTGCATTGTAGTGAATGCAAGTGGCAGCTCCTCGAGCCTACACAGCTCAGGGGACTACAATGTGAATGGCTTATGGAGTTGTGCAGAAGGGCATCCTTGGACAAGCACAAGCCCTAAAATCAGACAGTTCTAAACTCAGGCAGTTTAGATTCTGACTCCACCACTTATTACCAATGGGGTATGAACTTCACCTCTTTGTGTGTCAGTTCTCTCATTTACAAGATGGGGGAAGTGGTAGAACTTGTTATGTAGGATTGTTCTAAGGATTTGATAATATACACAAACTGCTTTGCAATGCAACTTACACATAGTAAGTGCTCAAATATAAAAATAAAACTACGTGTATCTATGCCTGATAAGAGTGTAAGTCAGATGCTGAGAGATACATGTAGAAGCAATAGCAGGTAAATTAGTAAGTGGTAACCACTACTAACCCTCTAGCCAAGTGGTCACAAAAACCTTCAGGGCCAGATGGGTCACTAAGTGAGGGAAGCAGGCAGAGTGGCCACGGGGAGGGAGTGCTCCACTGAATGGGTTAGCTGCTGCTCAGCTCCTGCCATAGTTTGCCAGGGGAAGCTTGGTTCAGCATGGCCAGAGCTTCCTACTTTTCAGAGATGCCTAAGTCCTGAGAGTTGCCTGAAATCTCACAGGTTTGAAATATTGGCGGCTAATTCATTCAGTGCTCTGGACCAGCCCCAGCAAGTGTTCTAACCAGCTTTGTCACTTCCTAGTGTGAATTCCAAACATCTGCTTTTATTTTAATCAACTTCACTGAGGTGTAATTTACCTGCAATAAAATGCATCTACTTTAAGTGTACAGATCCGTGAGTTTTGGCAAATGTATATACTCATGTAATCATCAAAATAATCAAGATATAGAATGTTTCCATCATTCCAGAAGGTTCAGCAGGGTCCTTTCCCAAACTATTTTCACCTTTGCCCCCACCCCAGCCCCAGACAACTACTGATTTACTTTCTGTCACTATAGATTTATTTTGCTTACTCTGGAATTCAATGTAGATGGAGTAATACAGAATGTACTTTTTGTGTTTACTTTGTTTTACATAGCATGATGTTTAAAAATTATTTTTTGATCTAATAAGACTTGTTTTATGGCTCAGCACATGGAGGATATACCATATACCCTCAAAAAGCATATGCATTCTGTACTGTTAGATGTAGTGTTCTATAAACACTAGGTCAAGATGGTTGCTAGTGTTGTTCAGATTCTCTGTCTTTACTGATTTTTTGAGCTATTTTTGTTCTGTTGATTGGTGAGAGAAGGATGTTAAAATCTCCAAGCAAGTATGTGAAATTGTCTACTTCTCCCTTTCATTCTGTCAATTTTTTCTTCATGTATTTAAAGTTTTTCTGTTTATGAATATAGGCCCACCTGATGAATTGATCATATAATCATTATGAAAGTCTCTTTTTGGCTCTGGTAATACTCCCGGACTTGAGGTCGATTGCACTTGATGTTAACATGGCCACTTCTGCCTTCTTATGTTACTATTTACATCCTCAACCTGTGTCCTCTCTGTTTAAAGTGTGTCTCTATAGATAGTATACAGTTGAGTTGTTTCTAAAACTCTATTCTGAAAACCTATGCCATTTAATTGTATTATTTAGTTCATTAACAATTAAGGTAATTATTGATATGGTTGGATTTAAGGCTACTATTTTATGGTTTCCTCAAATTTTGTTTTTTTTCTAAATCATTGGTTTATCATCAGTTTTTAAAAAAAGATTATTTGGACATTTTTAAGAATTCTATTTCCATTTATTCATTAGCTTTTTAGTTACACTTTTTTGCCTTATTTTTCTGTGGCTCTTCTATGGGTTGCATCCTTAAGTTTTCACAGTTTATTTAGACTTAAGATTGTACCGCTTCACAAAATATGTACACAATAACCTTGCACTCATAGAGATCCTTTTACCTTCCCACCCCAGCCCCATGTTTTATGAAATACCATAATTTGTACTATATCTACATACATAGAGTGTATGTAATTTGTATTTTATCTACCTACATTATAAATTCTATGATATGATGGGTTTGTTGCTCAGTTTGTGTATTTTTTAAAAATTAAAAAGAAAAAGTAGACTTTCATATTTACCCAGATTTTTTTTTCCATTTCTGATGTTCTTCATTCCTCCTGAAAGATTTGAGTTTCCATCTAGTATCATATCCCTTCAGCCTAAATAATTTTCTTTAGTTCAGGTCTGCTGGTGACAAATTCTTTAGTTCCTTTTATCTGAAAATGTCTTTATATTATATTCCTTCTTTTTCAAAAACATCTTTATCAAGATATAATTCACATAACGTATGATTCACCTATCATATAATTCACCTATTTAAAGTGTACAATTCAATTTTTTAGTATATTCACAAATACATGTAATCATCACTATAGTCAATTTTAGAACATTTTCATTACCCCAGAAGAAACCTAATTCCATCTAGTTATCACCTCCACATCCTTCCAACCCTCCTCAGTCCTAAGCAACAACTAATCTCTTCTATCTATCTATCACTATAGATTGCCCTATTCTGGGCTTTCATATGAATGGAATAATAAAATATATAGACTTTAGTAACTGGCTTCTTGCAGTCAGTATAATGTTTTCAATGTTCATCATACAGGTTGTAGCATGTATCAATGCTTCATTTATTTTTATAGCTCAATAGTCCATTGTGTGGATATACCACAGTTTGTTTAACCACTTGCCCATTAATGGAGATTTGGGTTGTTTTCACCATTTGATTATTATAAATAATGCTGCCATAAATATTTGTGATACAAGTTTTTGTATGGACATGCTTCATTTCTCTTGGGTGATATCTAGGATCTGGTTCATATGGTAATTCAATGTTTAATCATGTGAGGAACTGCCAGACTGTTTCTCAAAGTAGCTACACCATTTCACATTCCCACCAGCAGTATATGAGGGTTCTGACTTCTCTACATCTTTGCTAACACTTGTTATTATCTGACTTTTTGAATGTAGCCAACTTAGTGGGTATGAAGTAGTACCTCACTGTGATTTTGATTTGCATTTCTCTGATTACCAATAGTATCAAACATCTTTATGTGCCTACTGACCATATGTATATCTTTCTTGGAGAAATGTCTGTTCAGAGACTTTGCTCCTTTTTAATTGGTTATTTGTCTTTTTAGAATTGAGCTGTAAGAGCTCTTTAGATAAGCTACATGCAAGTCCTTTATCAGATATATGATTTGTGAATCTTTTCTCTCCTTCTGTGCATTGGTTTTTTGCATTTTCTTTTTGTTGTCCTTTGATTCACACAAGTTTTTCATTTTGATGTTGCTCAGTGTATTAATCTTGTTGTTATTTCTTGTACCTTTAGTGCTGCATCTAAGAATCCTTTGCTAAATGCAAAGTCATGAAGATTTACTCCTATGTTCTCTTCTAAGAGTTTAATACTTCCAGCTCTTACATTTAAGTCCTTCTTCCATTTTGAGTTACATTTTGTACATGGAGTGATATAAAGGTCAAATTTTATTCTTTTGCATGTGACTTTCCAGTTGTCCCAGCACCATTTACTGAAAAGATTATTCTCCCCATTGAATGATCTGGGCACCCTCGTCAAAAATCAGTTTCAATTAGATGTATAGGTTTATTTCTAAACTCTCAATCCTGTTCTTTTGGTCTTTATGCCTTTCGTTGTACTAATAGCATGCTGTCTTGATTATTGTTGATTTACAGTAAATTTTTCAATCAGAAAGTGTGAGTTATTCTACTTTGTCTCTCTTTTTTATAATTGTTTTGGCTATTCTGAGACCCTTGCAATTTTGTGTAAATTTTGGGATTGGCTTCACAACTTTTACAAAGGAACACCTAGGATTCTGGTAGCGAAGACATTGAATCTGTAGTTCAATTTGGGGAGTACTGGCATTTACCAATGTTAATTCTCCTGATCCATGAACATGGGATTACATTCATTCTTGAAGGAAGGATAGTTTTATTGGTTATAGAATTCTGAGTTAACGGATTTTTTTTTTCTTTCAGAACCTTAAAGATGTTGTTCTACTATGTTTTGGCTTCCATAGTTTGTGCTAAGAAGTCACTATTCATGGCCGGGTGCAGTGACTCACACCTGTAATCCCAGCATTTTGGGAGGCCGAGATGGGCGGATGACAAGGTCAGGAGATCGAGACCATCCTGGCCAAAATGGTGAAACTCCGTCCCTACTAAAAATACAAAAATTAGCCGTGCTTGGTGGCACACACCTGTAGTCCCAGCTACTCAGGAGGCTAAGGCAGGAGAATCGATTAAACCTAGGAGGCAGAGGTTGCAGTGAGCCAAGATCGTACCACTACACTCCAGCCTGGCAACAGAGTGAGACTCTGTCTCAAAAAACAAAACAAAACAAACAAACAAAAACAAAAACAAAAATGAAGTCACTATTCATTTACATAAAATGTGCTATTTTCTCTGGCTAGTTTCAATTTTTTTGTGTGTCTTTAGATTTCCAAAGTTTGACTATGATGTGCATAGGTAAGATCTTATTTGTATTTATTTTGCTGAGGTCTAGAATCTGTAAATTGATGTATTTTACCAAACTGGGGGGAAAATTGGCTATTATTTTTTCAAGTATGTAGTTTTGGATCTACTTTCTTGCTTTTCTGCTTCTGAGACTCCAGTTATACACATGTTAAACCTATTGCTATTGTTCCATAGGTCTATAAATCTGTGTTCATCTTCTCTCTTCACCTGTTTCTTTAGATTGGAAAATTGTCTTCAACATTGAATTAGATAATTATCTTCAAATTGACTGATTCTTTCTCTGTCATCTCCATCAGATTGTTATGCTCAGCTAGTGATTTTTAAAAGATATTTTATATGTTAGTTCTAGAATTTCTAGAATTTTGGTTTTTCTACCATTTCTCTTTTTTGTGTGTGATGTCCTAACTTTCCATTCATTACAGTCATCTTTCTTTTTACTTGAGAAAAATTACTGTATTAGTTTTCTATAGCTGCTGTACCAAATTACCACAGACTACTTGGTGTCTTAAGAACACAAATATATTATTTCACAATTTTGAAGGCCAGAAGTCTGAAACCAGTTTCATTGCACTGAAGTCAGTGTTGGCAGGGTTGGTACTTTCTGGAAGATCTTGGGGAAATTCCATTTCATTGACTTTTTTAACTTGTTTAGCTGCCTGCATTTCTTGGCTCATGGTCCCTTGCTTATATCACTTTAATCTCTTGCTTCTGTCTTCACAGTTCATACTCTCTCTTCTGTAGTCAAATATTCCTCTGCCTCTCTCTTGCAAAGATACATGTGATTGCATTTGGGATGTACGTGGGCAATCCAGGAAAATTTCCATATTTTGAGATTCTTTACTTAGTCATGCCTGCAAAATT
Source organism: Homo sapiens (assembly GCF_000001405.40). Classification (NCBI taxonomy): domain Eukaryota; kingdom Metazoa; phylum Chordata; class Mammalia; order Primates; family Hominidae; genus Homo; species Homo sapiens. The sequence continues at coordinate 170,126,565 of NC_000005.10, read as the reverse complement.
TCTTTGCCAAATAAGTGATATTCAAAAATTCCATGGAACAGTCTTTCCGCTGGCCCCTAATAATTCACATTCATTTCACATGAAAAATACATTTATGCCATCTGAACATTCTCCCAAAGGCTATTATAACCACAGTTACAACAGCTACTTATCAATTTTAGTTTAATAATTCCATTATCGAGTCATATTGGGTCAGCCTTCTTTAATTATCTTTTCTTTTTAGAGTGAGTTACATTTTCCTGTTTCTTCATGTGATGAGTAATGTTGGATTCTGTATTCTGGACATTGGAACATTGTGAAAACTCTGCATTTTGATATATTCCTCTGAAGAGTATTGAGATTTTGGTTTTTGTTGTTTGTTTGCTTTAGTGGGCAATTAACCTGGTTTGGCTCAAACTGCAAATTTTGCATCTTGGGCTGCAGCTAAAATCCAAGTTCAGTTCTTTTATTCTCATCTGTCTAGAGCCCATCCTGTACAAACATGGTTCAGGAACCAGCCAGAGATTTGGGTAAAGATAAAAGATAGAGTAAAGGCCTATGTATACACCACAAAACAGGTAACTCACCAAGCAGATCCCTTTTTAAAATTACTAACCCCACTTGAGAATTTGCCTGTTGTTTACTCTTCAGTGACTTTAGATCGTGGTGTTGTTTTGTTTTTGTTTTTCTCCACAGAGTTTATAGTTTGTTATCAATTCAAAGGTAGGATCTGGTAAGAGCAATTTAGCCAGAAGTAGAGGTGCGTAGTGTTTTTATAATTTATCCATGTCATTGCAAATATCAGTATTTTATTCCTTCTTATTATTGAGTAGTGTTCCATCATATTGATTTACCAATATTTGTCTATTGTCATTTACCTGTTGATGGACATTTAGGTTATTTCTATTTTATGGGGCTGCAATGAATACAGATACTCTAAATATTTGTTTACAAGCCACTGTTTTTGAATACCTACTCTTCTCCAAGCACTTTGCATGATAATTTGATCTTACCAGATATGGGAGGCCAGGATTATTACTCTCAAGTTACAGATGAAGATCCTGAACTCAGTGGAGTTCTCATTGATCCAGGCCACACCCTCATGCTTCACAGAACTGGGTCTACCTGGTTCCAAGGTTCATGCTATTCCTGCCACATCTTGCTGATCTAAACGGCAGGTTATTCTCTGAGCTTTCACTTCATACTTTGCAGGAAATGGAGGGGTTGCGGAGGAGGCAAGAGTAACAGGACCAAATGCGATATTTTCATTTAAACACTAAAATAGTATCTAGTGCTTAATATTAGGTTGGCAGAGAAGTAATTGTGGTTTTTGCCATTACTTTCAATGGCAAAAACCACAATCACTTCTGCGCCAACCTAATACCTGCTAATTCCCTTCCCCTTTCCGATTTCTTTATGTAGTGGGGCCTGGGAGTTTCACATTTCTACTATACTTGTACACTGAAAAACTCTCTTCTGGAAAGAGGTAATCCTAGCTAAGGAATCAGGACACAAGAATTCTTGTGCTAGCTCTGCTGCTAACTTGCTGTGTGGCTCTGGGAAGTCCCTTTCCTTCTCTGGGCTTGGGTTTTCTCCTTTGCACAGAGAGGGCATTGGAAACCCTCGATAGTGCCTGCCAGAAACTGTGTTCTGTAATTCCTGGAGACTCCATTTTTTTGGCCTCTGAGGGAAATCTAGAGTCAGGCAAACCTGCTGAGACAGTGGGACAGGTGGCCCAGCCACCCAGGCCTTGTCTTTTCAGTCCAAGCAGCCCAGTCAGCAATGCCAATGGTGTGCTTTGCCTGGACTGGTCAGAAAATGGTGAGTGGGGCTGCTGCAGACCTTTGGGATGGTTAGAGTCCTTAGGGTGGTTTGAGCTCTCAGCTTTGAGCATGGCCAGGAAGACAAGGTCTTCTCTGTAGTCTCTTACTGGGGACAATGTAAACCACTTTACTCAGGCCAAAGGTAGACTCTCTACAGGTGACAAGGGACCAGCCTTGCCTGAGGGGAGAATCTAAGCAGCTTCATTCCCCTCTTACCTCTGTCAGCAGCATCTCCCATAGGTGCTGGTCAACCAACTCCTTCCAGAATGCAAGTCTCTCAGCAGCCCTGATGGAGCAGACACCCGGAAGGCCTCATAGGAGGGACCAAATGCTCCAACAGAGGCCGATGGTGCTGTCTCCCATGGAGAAGAGAACAGGGCGGATCTGCCTTTTCCAAGTAACCCACATTACTCTTTCTAGTAATTTTTTTTTCTGGCTGCCCATGAATTTTTATAACAGGAGAGAACACTGTTTGGAAAGCACGGGATTGAATGGATCGCGGACTGGATCTTGAACACAAGATTATAACTCCAGAATAGAAACTGTTGGCTGAGCAGTATACAATTGTATATACGGTTGTGTAATGTGCTTCCATTTCCTTACTACACCCTCATGAAGTCCTGGTTGCTTGCAGGGAGACCAGCCTGGCCTTAAGAATTTGCTTCTGCTAGTTCAGATGTGAAGTGATTAATGTTTATCATATACTTAAAACCTCTTTACAGTGACTGATACAGGCAGTTGTTTTCCTATGTACACAGAATGTATCAAGAAGATCAAAGAAGTCTAACAAGAGACCCCATTTCCAGCTAACAGGTCTGAGTCTATTTGTGTTTAGATTGTAAAACTTCAGGAAAATCTAACGTGCTTGTTTCCCTGAACAAGAAAGGTGACTTCCTAGTAATATCCCATGACTGCTAAGTGACTATTAAGGTAGCCAAATATCATCTTTTACTTATGCTTTACTTTAAAAGTTCAAAGAGAGGTGTGGTCAGATTTATCAATGTGATTTCCTCTCTAAGATTCTGTCTTCCAGGGGAGATTCCTTTCTCCTGTGATTTTCTGCCTAGGGGAACCTCAAGATATCTATGGTACAAAAACCAGACATCTGTTTTAGCAAATAGCTAGATATCACAGTGAGGAGTATGTAAATCATCTTGATTATTTTACCATTCATCAGGGAAGATATGGAAACATTGTGAGTTGGGAACATTATGTTATTTTTACCAGTATCCTTGCCTTTTAGAAGGTATCTCTTAGGAGTACTTAAAGTAAAATGGATTGCTTCTAAAATTGTGAGATGAGCTACAGGGCAGCTTTTCTACTTAATTAGCTTTTTTCATTTTGTATTTTCTGTTGAGAAAAGCTGAGTGGGACCTAAGCTATCCATTCATTGAAGCATGCAGGTTGCTTAGAATCCTTTTAGAAGTTAGCTAAGAACACTGTCTCTAGCCATTCCAAAAAAGTATAGCTAGATAATTTGTAAATTCATTGTCATGTTAATTACGATCAATTTCTTGTGTTCCTTTCTGTACTATGGGTATTTACCAAGCTCAATCATAGTTTATACCTCCAATGAAAAGATTAACAATTAAAAAAATTTTCTATGTACAAGTGAGGGTAAAAACCTCATTATCTTCCCTACTCCACCCCCAGTGCACCCAGGCTTCAAAATCCAAACTCATATATTCATTCTCCACTTCCAATCTAATATTAAATCATATAGATTATGTCTCAACAATATTTTTCTATTTGTTCCTTATTTTCTATTACCATTGTCGTTATCTTAGCTCAGGCTCTCTTATTTCATTAATTAAGCATTTCTTTATTATGCATTAAGTTATTAATTCAACAAACATGTATTATTCACCTAGTAGGTACTAGGTATTAGCAGCTGGGAATACCAGCAGTAATCAAGATGAAACCTTATGTTGGGTATAGTCTTCTCACCCAAGTCACTGAAAAGCCTTTAAATAGGTCCTTTATGTATTTTCTGTCTCTAGCCATTCCAAAAAAGTATAGCTAGATAATTTGTAAATTCAATGTCATGTTAATTATGATCAGTTGCTTGTGTTCCTTTCTGTATAGGTCCTTTATGTATTTTCTGTCTCTAGCCATTCCAAAAGTATAGCTAGATAATTAAATACCATACATTAAAAACACTATTACAAAATTAATGTTATTTAATGCTTCATTATAGCTTGAGATAACCTAACAGTGTGGTCATAGTCTTCCTTCTAAGGTTATCTCACATTATTTTCTTAATTTTCCTACATTTTAAATAAATGCATCTGCTAGGTATACATCACCATGATCCCCGGCCTTTCCTTCAGTAGTTATGTTGCTTTTCTTCTTCTTCTTTTTTATTTCAATAAGTTTTGGGGAACAGGTGTTTGGTCACACAGATAAGTTCTGTAGTGGTAATTTCTGAGATTTTGGTATACCCATCACCTGGGCAGTGTACACTTTAGGTAAGGTTAAATCCTCCTTGGGTGATCTGGATTTTCAGGTTCCCCAGTGAGGATGTGTGTTCGGAGGTGGGCTTTCGCCCCTCACACTTCAGGCACTCACCGTTTTTCAGCTATCTCATGGCTTTTGCAGTGAGATAACTGAAAAAGGTCTGTGTATTCTTTTCATTTTCCAGGTATGCTCCTGCAGTAATTGGAGCAAAAGTTTACGACATGAGTCTCCACATGCTGTTCTGCCTGTCCAAGTGGGAGCTGCTAGTCAGTCCTACCTCCCATGCCCATTTTTTTCTCTCTGGGTCTGGTACTTTCTCTCCAGCAACAGAGTTGCCCCAAATTCAGTCACTCAAGCTTTGCTTTTGCCGAGCAGTTTCTATTGGTTTGTTTGCTTTAACCATAGTCACATCTTACCTGCACTATCATTCATTTACTATTACTCATTTAAGTCAGCTCTTTTTTTCTAAAGTAAATTTATTTGAAAAGGAAACTTTATGTCATGACTTTAAAAAGTAAACCAGCCTCACTTGCTATATAGAAAAGATAATCGTAAAAATAAATGCAAACTATTCTTCAGTTATTGTTGGATACTATTTCCTGCAAAGGGCTTGAAACCTTTGTGGAAAAGGGAGATTGGCAGGTATTAGGGGGTGCTGATGACATGTGTGCATCAAACTGGACTTTTCTCTTTGGATGAAAAGAGAAAGCCTGAACCCAGTTAGAAAAGAACAACTTTCTTCTCTGAGTCAGTGTTGTCTAATACTTTATCCACGAGTCACCTAAAATCATCTGTGTATGTCAGTGCCGTGTGCCCCACATGCTTGGAAACTCGGCCGTATCTCATTTTGTCTTCACAGCTGCTTGATTAACCCGTAGGGAGGGTCTGAATACCTCTTATTTTAGACATGAGAAACCCAAGGCCTCTCGGACACTCACCCAACAGCGTGGTAGTAGCCAGGGTTTGAATTGGGAAAGTCACTCTCCAAAATATGTGATCTTTTCATTGTCTGCTATGTCCTGTTTCCCCTAGAAGTCCAGTTTTTGGGACTTGTGCATGGAAGAGCTGCATTCAAGAACTTCCTCTCAGTTCTGTTGGCCCTAAGTTCATCCAATGTTTCTTTTTGCACTAGTTCTTTCTCTCCAGCATAGCCACATGCTGTAACCTGAATGGTGTCCACTCCCCCACCACCTTGGCTCATTCATCTGTTAAAGCTCTAGCCCCAGTGTGACCATGTTTGGAGACAAGGCTTCTGGGGGGTAATTAAGATTAAATGAGGTAATAAGGATGTCCTCCTAATCCCATAGCATTGGTGGCCTTGTAAGAAGAAGAACTCTCTCTCTCTCTCTCTCTCAGCCATGTAAGGACATAGCAAGAAGTCTGCTGTCTTCATGCCAGGAAAAGATGCCTCACCAGAAACTGACCATTCTGGATCCTGATCTTGGATTTCCAGCTTCCAGAGCTGTAAGAATATACATTTCTGTTGTTAGGCAATCTGGTCTGTGGTATTTTATTATGGCAGTCCAAGCTGACTAACATACCAAATTTGGGGAGTTTTTAAGTCTACGTGAGCACTGACTTGCCCTCACTGGCACTCCATGACATTGGAGACAGCTTACAGAACTACACCTCATCCCCAAACCTGCTGCGTCACTAACATAAGGCCTCAATTCTGTGTCTGTCATCTGGGGAAGGGAGATATTGCCTGTCCTCATTTACTTCTCAGGGTTCCTTGGGGCATCAAAATATGACCACAGGCATAAAACAGATGGTCAAAGCTAAAGGAAGCCCGGCTTTCACTTTATTCTGCTGTTTCCTCTTCCAGTCAAGTCCATAAGTGCCAGGACTGCATTAAATAGTGATAGGGTCAGCACTCAAACACAGGGCATTTGACTTCCAGTCCAATGCTCTCTCCAAGGCACCAAAAGAAAGGAAGAGCCACTGGAGACAGCGACATGTGCCCACGCACAGTGGCTCGCGCCTGTAGTCCCAGCACTTTGGGAGGCCAAGGCGGGCAGATCATGAGGTCAGGAGTTAGAGCCCAGCCTGCCCAATATGGTGAAACCCTGTCTCTACTAAAACTACAAAAATTACCAGGGCGTGGTGGCAGGTGCCTGTAATCCCAGCTACTTGGGAGGCTGAAGTAGGAGAATTGCTTGAACCCAGGAGGCGGAGGTTGCAGTCAGCTGAGATCGTGCCACTGCACTCCAGCCTGGGTGACAGAGTGAGACTCTGTCTCAAAAAAAAAGAAAAAAAAAAGAGAAAGTGACATATGACTAGTTTGTTTGTGGTAGCTGAAGAAAGATCATCTATGTACTAACTTACCCTCCATACATTAAATAACGCATGGTATATTTTCACATATCTAAGACATTTGACATCCTGTTTGGTGTCTTTCTCCCTGTCCTCTCTCTGAGCAGTGCATCATTGATACCGCTTCGATTAGTTCTGCTAAATCTCTTTCATTCCTTTTAAATAGCTACATAGTCTTTCATCAGAATTATTATAAACCATGTCATGGTTTATTTATTCCATTTTGTTCATGGTAGACATTCAAGTTATTCCTGCATTTCACTAATATAAACTTTGCACTAATATAAATGTATCTGTGAGGCACATTCTTGTACATACATCTTGGTATGCCCAGCCTCAAAATTAAACTTGTAGTAGAGAGATCCTTAAGTCAAAAGAGATAGACATTAGACATTTCCATGGTCATTACTGAATCGCCCTTAAGATCATTTTGCCTTGTTCTTCATCCGAGAATATATGAGACAAGGGTACCTATTCCCTCCTATCCTTGACAGTTCTAGGCTTTGCTGATGTGTCAGTGGAAAGGATATAATATCATCTTGGTCTATTTTCTTTGATCATTAGTGAGACTAGGCTTCTTTACATGTGTCTATTATCTATTTGCATATCTTTGTTGGTGAAAATAGATTTGCCCATTTTCGACTGGGAAAGTCTTTGTCTTACTAATTTGCTAGAGATCTTCCTACAATACAGTTATTAAATTTTTGACATGTATGCGGTAACATTTCTCTCCCTTTGTGTTTACTTTCCTACTCTGTTGATGGAGGCTTTGCCGTACAGAAACAACTCATTTGTATGTAGTTGACTTTGTGAATTATTCTTTCATACTTCCTGCCCCAGTTGTAATGCAAAGAAGGGGCTTCCATCTCAGCTAGCTTCTAGGAACTCAGATTGCCCCTGAGGGCAGGAGGGGTGAGGCACCAGCCTTTCAATGTCATCAGTGTGACTCTCAGTTTTGTTACCCACCTGCTCGCAACCTTTGCAACGCTCCCTGATGCCTTGGGAAGAAGAAATGAGCTTCTCTCTGGGATTTCAGGCTACTTTGCTTCCTGCACTTACTTAACTCCTGCCATCTTGAATCACTTGCATTTCTCTCTCATCTCCAGGCATTTGTGCATACTCTACCTCTGCCTGCATTATTCAGCCCCTCACAGACCTCTCTCAGGTGTCACTCCAAGGAGCCTTCCTTGCCCCCTCACCTGTGACAGGTGCCTCCTTTGTGCTGACCCATCAGAGCGCATGCCACAGGGAGCCATGCTAAGATGTTTACTTGTCTGTTTATCTAACAGGCTATCAGCTCCTGGAGAATGGGACCATTTTTGTCTCACCAGTATACAGTGTCTCTAACTCCTAACACAGTGCTGGGTACATCATAGACTTCTGATGAACAAATGAATACTTGAATGAGTTTTCAACCCACCTATTATCAACGTCCTCCAGCCAAGGGCTACTTGGGACACCCCTGTTGTTAAACAAGTTGGGTTGGTCCCTCACTGCAGTGATGGGGAACATGTAACATAAAGAACAGTGAGCATTTCAGTATAAGGGTATCAGAGAGGACTTTAAAAATGTGGGCTTATGTTAGGTGTTTGGAGGACAGCTTAAGGAAGAAGGGCTTTGCTTGGATTGAATGCTGTTGGGAAGTGAAGAAAATTCTAGAATTGGGCACCACAATAAATCATATTTGGAAGGAGGGAAGCATGGAGTGAGGCTAAATCTGGAACAGGCAAAAAAGCAGCAGCCCCTCATATTAGCTAGGACTGGGGCCATGTGGTCATATTGCAGCTTGAGGAGTGCTTATGTTTTCATCTGTGTTCACACATGATTGTGGAGTGGTCTTGATTTTGTCTTGATCCATGTTGATGCTCTGAGAAATTGTTCATGTCCAACAGACCAAAGGCCTAGCTGTGAGGGCCCAGCTGGCCCCTGGATTTCTCCCCAGCTGTTCACTGGGTCACCCATTCAGTCCCCATCAGCACCTCTACCTTCCCCCACCGCCATTCCCTGCCATCACCTCCACCCATCTTCTGCTCCTGCCCACATTCAAACCTGCTCCCCAGAGGGGGTCTGTTGAACACTCTCCATGGGCAGTGTTGAAGTACAAAACCCCCAGGCCCCTTGGGAAGCTGGCACATTTGTACCTGATTGTATGTCTGGCATTAACAATGAGACTCTGGCCTAGGCCTCTTCACTTTGTGAGATTCAGTTTCCTCGCCTTTGAAGTCATGGCCTGAGTTCCAGATTCCAGGAAGCCATTTTGCTTCACTCCTGAGGGATTGAAAAACTGTGTCCTGCTCTCACCATGGGTGTAAGTTCTTATTCCCTGTGAAAATGAATCGCTTCTGGCATCTATGGACACATGGTGAGTGTGTGTGTGTGTGTGTGTGTGTGTGTGTGGTGTAGCATGACTTCCTGGCACTTCCAGACCCCACCATGTAGATTACTACTGCCCCTCCCCCTGTCCCGCCATGTTATCCACTCCTAGGACCGCCTCTCTGTTTGGGAGTTTGGGAGCATGAGCATGGGAGGAGGGAGAAGCCAAGTCTTTTGATTTCTGGGAAGGCACCATGTGCTTGTTACCAAATCATGGAGCTCTCAGGGAGGTCAGGTTAGGACAGGTGTGTTGGGTAGAGGGCAGGGAGAGACCTCATTACCCCTGTAAGCTGTAGTTCTCCCAGGTGTTGTGTGATTGAGCCTTCGTTTCTGAAGATACTTTTAATTTTTTTTCCAAGAAGAATCTATAACATTGACCCAGTGAGAGATCAATGGCTTATTGATTTGCATCAAATTGATAATTAAGAGGCATTTCCTCTGGGCAAGCTGCTTGGCAGGCTTTTTCCACATATCCTAATTGATGCTCATCAAAATCCTGACATTGGCTACATTCTTTATCTCCATTTAATATATGATGAATTGGAAGCTCAGAGGGGTGATGTCACAGGCCCAAGGTCTCCAGCAGATAAAAAGCCAAATCAGGATTTGAACCTTGCTCTGTCTAGATCCAAAACCTGGGTTCTTATTCTTATTTAGGGAGAGGGGAGTCTGGGGACAGAGAGTTTATACCAACGGTGTCCTGGAGCTTGCTCAAACTGGCTCAAAACAGCTGATTGTTAGCTTTTCAGGAGCTTTATGTTAAGCACAGCTGTTATTAAAAATTAAATAAACTTATAGTTAAATAAATTATATTATAAACAAAGGTAGTAAATAAATATTTAATTTTTTTTTTCTTCCAAAGGCTGGCAGTTTGTTACAGTATGAATTTTTTGTTGTGGCTCTAAAAATAGGGCAATCCTTCTCCTTCCCATTGCAACATAACTTTACCTAAACCAGCCAGGGCCTGGGATCAGGACAGTAATCAGTAGCTTTTTATTGTTTTTGTCTTTGATCCTCTCTCTGAATCAGGGTTAAACCCAGTTATCATTGGACAAAGGGGCACTTGAGCATCACAAAGAATAGCTGGGAGTAACTGGGGAGTGACCAAGGTTAGTCTTGAGAGTGCCACCCACCCCAGTGCCTTAGACAGAATTAGGAGTGCTAGACCAAAGTCTGCAGGGATGGGGGCTGAAGTGCTAAGGTCTTAGGAATTTCTTCTGGGGATAAATAGGTGCAAAGATTAATGACTTGTAGGAAATTGTATCCATCCAACCATCCATCCATCCATACATCAATCCATCCATCCACCCACCCACTCATGCATCCATCCATCCATCCATCCATCCATCCATCCATCCATCTATCCATTCAATGTTCTCCAAGCACATTCGCTATACCAGGGACTGTGCCAAGTGCCAAGGGAGCCACTGACACCTGGTTCCTGCCCTCAGAACTCAGTCTACAGAAAGCCAGACAAGTAAAGAGAAAAAGGCAACACATGGGTAAGTGTCCCATACTGTAAGAACGCACATGATTGGACCTTTGCTAGCCAGGAATGGCTTCCTGGAGCAAGTAACTTCTTAGATGAGAATTGAAGGCAAGGGTAAGGAAGGAAGGCCTTGGGGAAGAAGAAAGGAGACCTGGCAGAGAAAACAGCCCCTGGAAAGGCCCAGAGATGAAGATGGCAATAGCAGGAGAGTGTGACAACTAGTATTTTAGGGAGAGGGGAGTCTGGGGACAGAAATTATGGGTGTTTATACCAATAGTGTCCTGGAGCCTGCTCAAACTGGCTCACAACAGCTGACTGTTAACTTTTCAGGAGTTTTATGTTAAGCACAGCTTTATTAAAAATTAAATAAACTTCTAGTTACAATTATATTATAAAGAAAGGTAATAAATAAATATTTAAAACTCATTGCTTCTTGATTATTTTACTACATTTGATTATTTTCTATGCTCTGGGTGTTATTTACACCTATTGTGTGTATATGGTGGAAATATGATTTAATGTTGTGCTACTGCACGTATCTTCCCAACTCTGTCTTCAGTTACAGTGCATGGGAAGCTTGAAATCAGTTGTGAAGGGAGTATTTACACCACGGAAATGGGCAGACATTACAAATCCGGGGGACCCTTTTTTCTCCAGCAAACCCATTGTTAAACATTTATCAGCATATGACTGAGTTAATGTGCGTATGTAAAAATGCAGAAATCACAAGTGTAATCTCAATACATTTTCCTAAAGTGAACACATCTGTGTGACCAGCACTCAGATAAAACAGTAGGTGATTACCAACCCTACCTCATGCCCTTTTCCAGCCAGTAGCCTCTTCTTCCCCCAGAGCTAATCACTATCCCCACTGCCTCCATGCCTCTTAGAAACTCTCAGGAAGGCTTCTCCCCGCCCCTCATTCTCATAGCCCCCCCTTCTGAATTTTGGTGCTAGAATCTGGGCATTTATTTTCTCATGATCTTGTTTTAAGTATTTTAAAATTACGCTAAGAATACAGCATGATTGGGGAAAAAAAAATAAAACATGCTAATATGATTTGGCTGTGTCCCCACCCAAATCTCATCTTAAATTGTAGCTCCCACAACTCCCATGTGTTGTTAGAGGGATCTGGTGGGAGGTAATCGAATCATGGGAGTGGGTCTTTCCCATGCTGTTCTCATGATAGTGAATAAGTCTCACCAGATCTGATGGTTTTTTAAAGGGGAGTTCCCCTGCACAAGCTCTCTCTTGCCTGCTGCCATGTAAGATATCCCTTGCTCTCCCGCCATGATGTTAGGCCTCCCCAGCCATGTGGAACTGTGAGTCAATTAAACCTCTTTCCTTTATAAATTACCCAGTCTCCGGTATGTCTTCATTAGCAGTGTGAAAACCGACTAATATACAGGAATATGCAGGACATCTCTTGAGGCCACTTCCTGCTTACATTGACTCCTCTGGGCAGGTAGAGGGGATCTGAATCCAATTGAGTCTGATGCTAAGCCTGAGGCCCTAGCCAGAGAGATGATGCCAGAGCACGGGCTTCGAGAGCCATGCACATTAGTGTGGACCCGAAGGATAAGGGGCCAGTGAGGGGCTCTGAGGAGGGCAGAGGCAGGCGTGACCAGCTCTGTCCCTTAGGAAGTTCACACTCTGTAGTGCGGAGGCAGAGGCTGGAGGCAGAGAGACCAGCCTGGAGGCTGTCGCTGATCAGGAATGCAGAGATGATGGTGCCCCGAGCTGATGCAACATCTTCCTGATAGCATTATCCCACATTTGATTGTTCCAAAATCTGTGGAAAAGGAATTGTCTCCCTGTGGGGATACTGTCTCCAAATTCCCAGTTCAGGGGTTTTCTCCTAGCATCTGGGTTAAGAGCACAGGCTCTGGAGCTGGGGATACCTGTGTTTGAGGTCTACCTCAGGTGATAGCTGCATGGTCTTGGAAAAGTTACTCAATGTCTCTGAATACTGGTTTACTTCCATACCAAATACAAATAATGATAGTGTCAGCTTTAGTAGCATTGAGATTGTTAAGCAATCTATAGGAAGTACATAGGCCTGGCAAGGTGGCTCACACCTGTAATACCAGCAGTCTGGGAGGCCGAGGTGGGCAGATCACCTGAGGTCAGGAGTTTGAGACCAGCCTGGCCAAAATGGCGAAACCCCATCTCTACTAAAAATACACAAATTAGCCAGGCATGGTGGCATGCCAGTTACTCGGGAGGCTGAGGCAGGAGAATCGCTTGAACCTGGGAGGCAGAGTTTGCAATGAGCCAAGATCATGCCACTGCAGTCCAGCCTGGGTGATGGAGCAAGACCCTGTCTCAAAAAAAAAAAAAAAAAAAAAAAAAAAAGGGAAGTACATAGTTCATCCTAAGCATGCAATAAACGTTAAATGCTGCTGTTACCTCATCTGCCTGAACTGAAAGAAAAGCAGGAGAGTTCCCCCCAAATAGTTATACCACTTTCATGACAGACCCTGCATTTTGGCCTTCTGCTTGGGATTCCAATGGCTTCTGCAAGGGAGGAGCATATGTCCAAGGGGTCACATGGGGGCCCACAAGTAAAAGGAAGCAAATGGTGCCTTCAGCATTGCAATATTTCCGCCCCACAAGAACCTCAAAGAAACACTGAATAGAGAGAGTCAGAGACAAAGGCCAATTTCATTGTGTTTTCACAGCAGCTCCTAAGGAGAATATCAAAAGGCAGGTCAGCAGAGAAAGCAGCCCAGGTCTCTCTCCTTCGGGGCTGAAGGAAAGCAGGGGGCAGGCAGGAAGTCAGTGTATAGGGCAGGGGGCTGAGCTAAGCCTTCCACAGAGACAAAGCTTGGGCCTCCTGTGATGTGCTGGCCGACACAGCTTTCCTGATATGGATGCTATGTCCCTGTGCTCTCTCTAGTAAGCAGACTGATGGTTCTCTTGATGGCAGGCTTCACAGTGCCCATTTACAGGGGAGTGGGGGAGCCTGATATTTAAAGCATGTAGACTGTGGTCTGAGATCTTGAGAGGCTGCTTAAACCCTGGGTGTCCCAGTTTCTGCATAGGTCAAATGGACAAAATACTCCCCAGCACCCACAGCGTTGTGAAAATGACAGGAGATAACTGCATGCTCCAGTCCCGAGGGCCTGGTGCATGGCAGGGGGCTCATAAATGCTGGCTACTTCCCTGCAGCCCCTCCGCTCTCTCCTCAAACTCCCCTTCCTTTCCAGTCTTGTGCTTGATCTCTGCTGGACTCTCCAGGAACTCCGAGGAGAGCTTCTGCCACCTTTAAACTCCCACAACACTCTCACCAGCTTGGCATTAGCTTTTCAGCAAGTCTGAACATTTGTTTTTCTGACTCTCACGTTTTATTTTATTTTATTTTTTTTGAGACAGAGTCTCACTCTGTTGCCCAGGCTGGAGTACAGTGGCACAATCTCAGCTCACTGCAACCTCTGCCTCCTGGGCTCAGGTGATCCTCCCACCTCAGCCTCCTGAGTAGCTGAGACTACAGGCACACGCCACCACACCTGGCTATCTTTTTAAATTTTTTGTAGAGATGGGGCTTCATTGTGTTGCCCAGGCTGGTCTCAAATTCCTGGACTCAAATGATCCTCCTGCCTCGGCCTCCCAAAGTGCTGGGATTACAGGTGTGAGCCACCACGCCCAGCCTTGACTCTCACGTTTTAGATAAGTTGTTGTTCTCACATTGATTCCCCTTTCTTTCAATGGTGGCTGCCTAAGAGCCATGTCTGTGCTAAGGGAACTCATTCCTCAGCCATAGCAGAAAGAGCTCAGCTTGGGTCAGGGGTCCCTCAGGATCAGTCATCTGTGCTGGCGGGGGGATCATGGGACAACATGGCAGGTCTCTTGCACCCCTGTCATTGGAAGCAGTGGTATGTAGCTGCAGTGGCCTGGGATGACAATATGTCCACTGTACACAGAGATAAACACAATGACCAAAAACCACACCTAATATTTTATTAGGCACCAGACAATGACTGCTAGTATTTTATGTATAGTATTTCCCAACTTTTCCTCTTGCAACTTTGCCTATTAAAATAAATGGGATTATGAAATGTACCTATATTACACATATATATTCTGCTTCGAGGCATACATCCCCCAACCTCCGCGTCACTTGGAAATGGAGGCACGCTAACTCAGGGTTTGGGGGGGATTAGAGTTTGGCTGTTGGAAGGTGAGAGTATAAACTAGTGGTTTGAATCAGCTCACTTTCGCCATCCTTCAGCTCCAGTCGCATCTCCTCCAGGCAGCCTTCCAGGTGGCCCTTTTCTCAGACCCTTTATGGATGCTGGACACCATGGCTTCAACGTGGAGCCAAAGAGCAGGAGGCTAATCATGGAGTGTCCATGCACAGCACGGCACACAGGATTAAGTGCTTGGTAAATAACCAGTCCTTTACCCCTCCCTTCTTCCATCTCACCTTCTCCTCCCTCTGTCCCTCTCTCCGGCTCTTATTTCTTTTCAGAGGAAGAGAACAAAAAGAGGGACAGGCAGCCGCCAGGGAAGCTGCTGGGAGACCCCCTTCTTGGCCTGCGACTCCCCTCAGCTGTGCCCTTCTGGGTACTTGCAGAGTCATGCTTCCCATGAGCTCCTGGCGCTACTACCAGGAACTCCCTGCAGGGCCACAGGCAAGAGTTGGCAGGGTCTTTGTGTTGTCAGAGCCCTAAACACTTTCTCCTTTCTGCTTGTGCCCGTCATTGAATTTTGTGCTGAAGAAGACTGGAGACTTGAGGTTGTGGGCCTTGGTTCTAAATAGCCGGCTCCCCTCTGGGTTGGCTTGGGCTCTCCCAGGGCCCCTTCACACCTCCTTCCTGGCCCAGGCCCTCACCCATTGCAGACCCACCTCGGGGAAGGAGTAGGAGATGAAGAGCAGGCAGTGAGCTGATCAATGGAGAGGGTGGGGTTTCAGGGTTTGTTTGGGCAAATTTGGTGACAGAGGGATCTAGTGTGATAAAAAATCCTAGTCTGGGCTTCAGGGACTTGCATTTTAATTCTGACTCTGACCTCACTGTCCTGGTGACATTTGTGGAGTGCCTTCCCTCTGAGCTGTAGGCTTCCTTTCTCTGCAGAAAGGGGCAAGCCTATCTTGTGTTTTGTAACAGTCTGACAGTCTGACACCACGTCCCATCCTTTTACTTTCCTAGGCCACCTGGAATCTGCCAGAAGTCTCTCTGCAGAAAAGGACTCCCAGGGAAAGGGCCTGAGGGGTTCTCAGGCAGCCCTGCTTCTTTTACTCTTGGTTGTCATGATTTTGCTGTCCTGTGGTAAGTCCTGGGCTCCCCATTGCTAGATTCTGTGGAGAAGCACTTTAGCCACGGCATCAATGGATCTGCTTGAGTCCTGGCTATGGCTGCTTTCTATCAAGGTATGACTCTCCCCAGGCCTCAGTTTTCTTACCTACACAATGAAAATAATGGTATTGAGTGCACTGGATTATTTTGAGGATTACATGCAATAATGCAGTGCCTTGCACATGGTCAACCCATGATGAATGCTCTTACCATCATCATCACCATCAACATCATCATCACCATCATTATCATCATCATCATCATCATCATCATCAATAATCATTGCCATTGTTGTTGTTGTTATTTACCAGCTCCTCTCTGTCACTCTGTCACAAGGAAAGAGAGCCCCCAGGGTTTGAGTAGGCAGCGATGCAAGTGGCCAGCTATTCCTGGTTTAAGCCCTCTCTGTGCACACCCAAAGAGAGAACTCCTAACAAAAAATCCAGCTTCAATGAACAAGTCCTGCAGCATGCATTGTGTCAGGGACCCCAGGGGATCACCAGCATACACACTTATAGGCTGCTGTAAGGATAAAAAATGTCCCACCTACACAGCACTTGACCCAGGAACTGCCCACAGCCCTCAGTGAATCGCAGCCTGTAGTACTGTTGTTACTGCCTCTAGCATTGGTTGCATCTGAGACTACACTGAAGCATGATGAGCTGCAGGGTCAGACAGATCTAGGTGTGGACTGGATGTGGACTTCACGCGAATCTCTCAACCACTCGGACCCTCAGTTTTCTCATCTGTATAATGAGACTAGTATCCCCCTTTTCGCGGGGTTGTTAGAATTAAATGATCATAGCACAGTTAGGAGGTTTGCATGAACTGTAAAGACTGGGATACGCCAAGTCCATATTGTGTGTTCAGTACCAATGGATTCCTTCCATGACCCTACCCACCCTTCCCAGACTCCCCTCTTTTCCTTGGGGGCTTTTGTCTGGGCTCCACGCCAGTGAAGAGGTGAAAAGAGTCTTGATATGCATTCTTTCTCTGCCTCCTGTCCCAAATGCCTTCAGCTCCAGGCAGCAGTTGGCCCCCCTGTTGAACACACCAGGCAGCCGAGAGACAGAAAATCTCATAAGGAAGTCCCACGCTTCTGCACCACATGTTTGTTTGTTTTTTAATTAAAAAGAAAATAAGAAAACAAACAACACTTCCCAGGTACTCACAAAAACAAGGAGAAATCCCAAGAGATCACACAGAGACCCCCTGTGAGGGTGGGCCCAAGGCCCCTCCCTTGAGGCCATTGTTTTCTCAGACAAACATCCACCTCTCCTGGGCTAAAAAAAAGGAAGCGCTTATCCAACCTTGTTTCTCTTGGAAGATTCAGCCATCTCCAGCTCACTGGTCCATGACATGCACACAGGAAACTGGGCTTTACAAGATTTTACAGATGGGCAGTGCTGGGGTGGGAGGATTTAGGGGTACACACCACTCCTCTCACTGATCCCTGGATCTGCTCAAGGTTTCTGGAGGGCTGGGGAGCAATGCTGTCTCTCCATGGGGATGCATCGCACATGTCAGATGCATTGTTCTGCAGGGCCACCAGGGCTGAGTTTCCTGCACTAAGGCCACTGGTGACTTCCTTCCTTGAGTGGTAGCAAAAGGAGTGTCTGCAGGTAAGTTGGGGCAAGCAGAATAAGGACTTGGACCAGGACAAGTTGTGCCTAGGCTGGCACTAAATGTTGGTGGACAGAAGGCAGTGGAGAGATTTCGCTATATTTGCCATAGCAAGCTTTTCACACTGACCTTCCTTGGCTACTCAACCAATTCTCCATCCCGGCCTCCAATCTCTGAGGATCACATAGACCTGGATTTGACTCTTAGCTCTGCCATTTACTAGTTTATATAACCCTGGAAATGTTACTTAACCTCCTTGAGCCTCAGTTCCTCATCTGTTCAATGGGGTGGTTTGTGAACCTTACGGGGTGACTGTCAATAGTAAGTGTGGCCAGTACAGAGCCTAGTACAGCACCTGCCACTGTTAGTGCTGCTCTGCAGGCACCAGTATTTCTATTGCAAAGTTGGTGAGTCTGTGTGTGGGCCTATGTGTGATAAACAGAAGCCTTAACCAGTGTTCTAGAAAGAGGGTGGATTCCTCGGAGGCTCCTGCTTATGTCTGGGCAGTTCCGCAGTCATGGACCACCGTGGGGCTGGCATGGAGGACCTCTACTGCTTTTCTCTCTGGCATGTCCACCTGGCTCAGGAGCTGTTCTGTACCTAGACCTCGGTGCCCTCCCTGGGGTAGAGGACACCACTGGTGTTGACACTGTTGTAGAAGTGAGGGCTGAATTGGCTGAGCACAGATCCTCCATAGCTGAGCATGTTGGTGGGCATGGGGTTCGCCCAGTCACCCCCACCGCTGTGGTTGCTGAGGTTGGTGAGCGGGGAGAAGGAGTTGAAGGTCAGTGAGTTCTGCCCCGTCTTGTCACTGGGCTCAGGGCTCAGTCCTGGTGTGACCAAGGGGTGGCTCGTGGGGCTCCCCCCGCTCACATAGGCTGTCATAGAGGAAAGGAAGCTGTTAAGGCAAGGGGCGCCTGATGGGGGAGGGGAGGGCCGCTTCTCTGGGGAGCTGGTGGTGCCCCCTGGTGAGGCTCCATCCAAGATGTCCTGAGGCTCCGTGGTCTTGGGGCTGTCCACCGGGAGACTGCTCTCTGTCTTCTCTAAGGCCAAGGAGGCTGTGCTAGAGGAAACATCTGATTTTCTCTTCCTTTTCCTGCGGAAATTTCCATTGTCGAACATTTTCTCACAGTTGGGGTCCAGGGTCCAGTAATTCCCTTTGCCTGATACAAAAGTGAAAGGGGGTAAATAGAGAGGTGGACAAAATGCTTTGCTTCTGTTCCTCCTTATTGTCATAAACTAAAAGCCAAGGTGACAGATGCAGGAAGACAGAGACCGACAGGCAGGGACTGAGAAATGGAGGAATTCCATCAACTGATGAACCACACCACCTCCATCTTTAATTAAGCAGCCCATGACAGGGCCCTTTGGGACTGCAGCCGAGAGGCATGAGCATTAAGGAGTTTGCAATGTAGGTCTCTTTAAGAAGGATGAAGAACTGGGAGCAGGGATGCTGAGGGATTTGGGGGTTGGGGGTTGGAGGGCTTTCAATGCTGAAGGAAAAGAAGACTCAGGAAAACTCTGGGACTCCCTAATAGCCGTAGGCTTGGAGTCTGAAGACAGACTTGAGTCCTGGCTTTGCTCCTCACTGACTGAGGGGCTTTGGAAGAACCTGTTTTCTAGTCTGAAAAGTGGGCCCATTGCCCCTGTCTTCCTCAGGCCCACTGAGAAAGGATCCACACCGGATATGGAAAGGAGCGTTGCAGCTGGGAGGTACCTTCCCGAGGGAAGGCCTGAACTCTTCCTGCTACCGTCTCTCAGCCTGAGGGTGATGGCAGTCCTTGGACAGGACACTTGCCCTCTTCTGGGGACAAACAGGCCTGGTGTTTGCCACCCTCAAATGGGGCAGAGTTGGGGTTCCTTTGAGCTATACCTTGGCTTCCTGCGGTGGAACAAAAGTGGACTTTAATTCTGGGAAATGGATGCATGAGTATTTAATACATGCCTCTCTGCAGGTCTCTGAGTTTTAGAAATGCATCGTTGAAAAGGAAAAGCTCACAATTTCTGATGTTAGAGAAAACTGAGTTCAAATTCAAGCTCCATCACTATCACTTCATTCTGTGTCACCTCTGAGTGTTATTTTCCTAATCTGTAGAATGGGTTTCATAAGAGCTACCCTGCAGGGGTGTCTTCGGGTTAAAGGAGGTTACCTAAGTAGAAACAAGGCAGGCAGCAAAATGGGCCATTAGTGGCTGTTTAACCCAGGTCAGATCCTCTTCCTGGCAGTCTTGGGATGCCCTTGGGCTTTGGTTGGTCCAGTCATTCATTCACCAAAGACTTTCTATGTGCTGGGTGCTGGAGATGCAGATGAATCGTAATTACTGCAGGCGATTAAGCGCTTGATAACACCTAAAACCTTGTGTACATTATCTCATCACCTCCACTGCAGCCTGCAAAGCAGATGCTGTCACTATCCCTGGTTTTCCGATGAGGGAACTGAGGCTCTGAGGTCTAACCTGCCAGAGGTCACTGACTGGGCAGGAGCACAGCCAGGGCTGAAACCCAAATCTTCCCCCAGGCCCATGCTCTCCTTCACTGCTGAGCTCCCCTCTGTCCTGCCTGGTAGCATCCCCCAGTCTTGGGGGGCACAGCCCTAGTCAGAACTTTCTAGAATGGGGTCTTGGGGAGGAAGGAAGTGAGTCTTCCTTGGGGACACCCCCCACACTCAAAGCCTCCTTACCCGGGTCGTCCTCGTCGCGGGGCACCTTCTTGAAGCAGTCGTTGAGCGACAGGTTGTGGCGGATGGAGTTCTGCCAGCCGGCCTTGCTCTTGTTGTAGAAGGGGAAGTTGTCGGCCACGTACTGGTAGATCTGGCTGAGAGTGAGGCGCTTGTCGGGTGCCCCGTGGATGGCCATGGCGATGAGAGCCGAGTAGGAATAGGGTGGCCGCACCAGCTTCATCAGCTCCTCCTGCGAGGGGATGGGCAGCCAGCCCAGGTCGCTCCCCCCAAGCCCCGACACGCTGGGCAGCAGCGGCCTCTGCACTCCATAGGCCTGGGGCAGGAAGGGGCTGGCGTTGGGGCCGGGCAGGTAGGGTGGCGGGGTCATGGTGGGCCCGTTGAACCAGAGGTAGGGGTTGGGGGTGGCCCCATACTCGCCGCCCCCCTCGAAGGAGGGCCGCTGAGGGCTGGGCACGCCCTGTGGGTGGAAGAAGTTCTCATAGTAGAGGTTCATCTCGGGGGGCTCCTGGCCGATGCTGGGGAACTGGGGGCTGCAGCGAGGTGGGGAGGGCGCCGGCAGGTCGAAGGAGCTCATGCTGGGGCTGGGCTGGCCGGAGCCACCTGCCTGGCACCTGCACCCCGGAGCTGCCCCTGACAGGTGCTCAGCAGGCCCGGCCTCCCACTTATACCCCTAGGGCTTGGCCGGGCGGCCCCACCCAGGGGCGGCCACCTGCCTGTGGATCCCAGCCCAGGGCCCGCCCTCCCTCAGCCTCCAGCCCACGGGGAGGGGACTTTCCCGCTGGCGCCTCAGGTCCCCACTAATGACATGCTAGACGGCTTACCAGAGCTGACACGCAGCGCAGCGAGAACGCCCCTCTATCCTCTCTCCCGGCTTTCTCTCCTGTCTTTTCTCACCATCCTCATGATTCCCTTCTTCTTTTTCTCCTTTATTCTGTCTTACTTCTCTCATTTTTTTTTCTGTCCTTCCCTTTCGTCACATTTTTCTACCCACCTCGGTTTCCTTCTCTCTCTCCCTCCTCTCCTCTCTGCATCTCATTCTCTGTTTCTTTCCTTCTTATTTTCTTTCCTCCCTTCTGCTCTGAACTGTGTTTCTTTTCTATGAACTGATCTGGCCACATCACAGCTGCTCATTCCCGTTCTCTCTCTCTCTCTCTCTCTCTCCCCCTCCCTCTCTCCCTCTCTCCCTCTGTCTCTAGGCTTCCAGTTCTTCTTTCCACTTCCATCTCTCGCTTCCATTCTCATTGTCTTCCCGGCTTCTCCCCTTTCTCCTTCTCTTTCACTCTGTCCCTTTCTCTCCACCTCTCATTTTCTCTGCGCCTCTCTTCCCATCCCCTCATTCTCCCTCCTCTTCCCCCCAATGTCCCCTCATTCTCTAACCAACTGCCCCAGCCGGGACTGGGTGGGACACTTTATCAGAAACCCTGTTTCTTGGTCTTTTGAGGTGAGGAGGCACTTTCTGGAGTTGCCAGGAGAGAACCGGCCCTGGAGACTCAGAAGAGGGCGCAGAGGGGCCTGGGCTGGCTTCTGGTGGGGTTCAAGGGGGCAACCAGTCATAGGCACCGCAGCCTCCCCCAACACACACATACACGCACACACGCGTACGCGCACACGCACACACGCGCACACGCACACGCGCACGCCCACACACGCGCACACGCCCACGCACGCACGCGCACACACGCACGCACACACACACGCATATGCATACATGCTGCAGACGGGCAGAGAACCTGAGAATTTGCCTGGAGAGCAGCAAGGCTCTTAAAAATAATAGCAAAAGGGGAAAATGGGGAATCAGTCTTCAGGGAAAAGTGAGAGAACTTGAACAATTCAAGTTTCTTTCCAGCTGCAGGGCAAGCAGGCTCCCAGCTCCTCTCTGATCCAAAGACCTTTCATGTTTCAGCTCGCAGAGGCCCCTGGCATGGAGGCAGCCAGGGCACGAGGAGAGCGCCCGACTCACCATGCCCCAGGCGTCCTCTCTCTCTCTCCCTCAGGCTCCAGAAGCAGGAGCTGCAGCCCCTGCTGGCTTCTCCCTGTGGCTCAGCCAGCTCCTCTCCTATCTGGGCTCCATCCTCCATCTTGTCCCAGCCTCCCCTGGTGCCCCAGGTCAGGCCCTCAGCTTGGGCCATGGGTGGTGGTCTCCCTACTCAGAGGGTAGGCGCTGGCCCCTGACCAGGTTCTGGTAGCAGCTGAGACTTCTCTCTGTGATGAAGCAGATGGGAGAAAAGTTGGGGTCAGCCCCTCTGGTCACCACCTCGCTCCCGCTTGCCTCCTTCTTCTTCCCATCCAGCTTCCTCCCACTTCCTGCATGCCCTACTTTCTTTGAGGCAAGAGAAAGAGGTCACTGACTGTCCCAACTGGAGAGGATGCTCCCCAAAGAATTCTTCCCCTCTCTGCTCCTCTTTCATGGTTATGTGGGGACACATGTGGCAAACATGAATGAGACTGAATAAACTTCATTTTCAGCATATTGGTGCCCAGAGGATGAGTTCCAGGTAACTGGGTAGGAGTGGTCATGTTAGGCCCAGAGGAACCTGTCCCCACCATAAAACAGTGATGAAATGTGACTCTCTGAAAGGCTCTGGCTGTCCAGATGAGGCTTAGAGTAAGGCACACTTTGCAGAGCCAAGCCAGAGGCAGAATTTTTGTTTGGTACAGTTTCTCTATGAGGAGGCCTGGCTTGCTGAAGGTGGAGCCCTGACTTTTCAAAGAGCAGTCACATTGGAGTCCCCTAGTACAGACTCAAAGCCTTACAATTAACCTAGCAATTTCACTTCTCAAAGCTTATCTTACAAAATTCAACAGAGCAAAGAATTAGCCACAGGGATGCCCACCACAGCATTGTTTATAGCGGTGAAAAATTGTAACTAATCTAAATGCCCAACAGTAGGGGATTGGCTAAATAGTGTATCATCCAAATGATGTAATATTATGCAACTATGAAAAATAGATTCTGGAAAAATAACTAATGATATGAAAAGATGTTTATGTTCTCATGATATTATTTGGAGAAACAGGTTGCAAAATGCCATGAGATTTTTTTTTAGTACAAATATGTATTTATAATTGTATATGAAATCTAGAAACATAAATATCAAACTGCCAATTATTATTTCTGGATGAAGAATTGGATGCAATTTTTGTTGTTGTTTTTCCGTAGTTTCTGATTTAAATGATTAGAGAAAGGCAAGCACACAGGTGACTTGCTTTTGGGGTTAAATTTGAAAGGCTAAAAACAGATAATATAGCAGAGACGTAGCAAACACAGGCTCTGAGATCAGGAGGACCTGGCTGCAAATCCCAACCTTGGTATTGCAAATCCCAACCTTGGGATCACTGCAGGCCCTGACAAGTGATCTAGCTTTTCTCAGCCTCAGTGTTTTCTGGTGAAAAAGGGAACGATGCCAGTACTTAACTCACGAAGTTGCAGTGAGCATTCAGTGAGGTAGTCAGTGTAATCAATGTCAATCATTTCACATGGCACATACAGGCTCACTCAATAAATATTAGTTATTATAGATTATAGTCAGTATACATTTGCTGTGTACAATCAAGCACACCTATGTTTGCTACACTGAGAGTTAATCGCATGCAGCATGCAGCAGGGATGTGACAGGGATTATGATGCAAAAACAGAGGGAGAAATATTCAGCGTAGACACCGATTCTATAACCAGACTCTACATTTACAGATGACAATCAGAGAGGGCCCAGAGTCACACAAGTTCATGGCTGGGTCAGGACCCACTCTGCCCCACTTTGGCGTCTCCTGCTTTAGCGGCATTTTCTGAGGAATGCTGAACTGGGTCTCCCTAGCTGCATGTGGACCCTAGTTCCTTTCCCCCAGTAGATCAGAGAAAGCCTGGCCTGTCTTAGGAGGCCTTATTCACCGGGAGCCTCTGGCACCCAGAGCCCAGTAGCTGGGGATCACAGCTTCTCTGCACTTGGTCACAAGGTTAAACCTTCGGGCCAGGGTGTCCAAAGCATCCCAGAGGACCCTTCATTCCAGATTTGTAGGAACACTGGCTATAGCCCTTGGGGTGGACAACAGGAGCTAGCTGTTCCCACCCCGCAGTGAGGTTTGAGAGTTATGGTCCTGCAGCCCGCCTTGACCATCCTAGGGCCTCCGGGAAAAGAATCAAATGTCTCTAACAACTAGGGTCATTTTGTGAATGAAATTATTTTAAACTTTTTGAAATTTCTAGAAGTGAAAATTCAAACCTGAGAAGATGCGCTCTGCCCAGCTTCAGGGAAATAATAATAGAATAATAAATAAAAAATAAGAGTAAGAGTTGGGTGTGTGAGGGCCTGAGCCTGCCTAGGGAATGCTTGGGATGCAGTTTGCATACTACAGTCCAGAGGGAGGCCTTCTTGGACATGAAAGACCATATATTCTGTATATTCTGAACCCCAAATTGTGACATTTGGGACAAAGCAGTAAAACATGGAACACGTGGGCCTGAGGATTGCATAGAACTGGGTTCAAATCCCAGCTTCGCTCTTTGGTAGCCTTGTGATCTTGGCCAAGTTTCTTAATCTTACAAGGCCTCCGTTTGTTTATCAATAAAGTGAGGATGAAACTAGAATCCGTCTCATGTGGATTTGGAAGGAAAAAGTAATATAAATGTGTAAGTAAAATGTGGAGCCCATGATCTGCAAAAGCTGCAGATCATGAGGATGATGATGAATGCAAGGGTACCTGAGGCCAGATATTGACACGGGAGAGGGTTCTGGGCAGGAGGCCTGGCATCATAGCCTCCTCCAAGCAACGTTCAACCATTTGCTTTCCCCTTGGGAAAATCCTGCCATCTGGGAGCCATGCCCCCGAGGACATGTCCCAGCAGTCAGCTGTGGATATTGCTGGGTCCAGAAGCCAATGCTGACTCAAGTCCTGCAGAAAGGGTAACTGTACACAGGCCCCCAGCCTGACTGTGATCAACCAGCACTGCCACTTCTGGCCTTGACTTTCAAGGGTGGAGAATCATACTCTTTTAGAAGTCAGATCTCAGTTCACCTGTCTGGTAGGAGGTGATGTGCATTTTCACAAACATGAACTCATGTAGGACCACAGTGTGGTAAGGATTCAGTTTCCCTGTTGAACTTTGAGGAAGCAGGTACAGAGAGGATGACCAGCCACCGAGATGAAGGAGGCAGGTGGGAGCCAGCCTGGCTGCTGCTCCACTGTGGCTGGAACTGTATCACGCAGGCAGTGCCAGGAGCAAGGAGCTCCGGCCCTGGAACCAAACTTTCTGGGTCTCGACCCTGTCTCTACTCCTTAGGCACTGTCATACCTTAGACAGCAACCATTTGTTTTGGACCTTAGTTTTCTCATCGGTAAAACCAAGTACTTCCTGGTGCTGCTCTGGGCGCTTCATGTCAGGCTTTACTGTACAGTATCGTACCTGCTCAATACAGTTAGCTCTCATTAGGGACTCGGGAGTCCGAGGTGATGGGAGATGCTGGTGGTTCACCAGCTGGGGCTACAACATCCCCAGCTCTTGGACCCTACATACCTCCCCCAAATTCACATTTGATTAGAGGCTTGGCTTCATGGATTCTTTCCCCCCTCTCCACATAATACACAAATAGTTTCTAAGTTCCAGGATTCCCAGGAGCCTAGCACAGTACAAAGTTGTCTGAGGCGGGGAATCAGGGGATTAGGGACCAGTTGGCCTCTAGCTTAACTCTCTGCACCAGGTTCCTAACCTGTAAAATGGGGATAAAAATTGCAGTACTACCTACTATCTATGATGGCTCTCTGTGAGCGGCAATGAGCCCTCGTCTGTCCTGCCTGGGCAACAGGGTTCACGAGAGTCATGTCTTGGGGTATTTGGGGCTGACATGGGGATGGCTTCTTCATGCTGAGCATGGGCTTTGTGGAAGTCTGGCTGGCTGAGGCATTAGCCAGGCTGAAGGTGGTCTTGGTGCTCTGCGGCTTTTTGGCTTCTGATGTGCTTGTCTGAAGAAATGTAGATCAATACCCCCCTCTGGCGGCCGTCTCTTTAAAAGCGGGAAGTAGATTGCAGGGCTTGGGTGAAATTTCAGGGCAGGCAAGAGTCTTCTCTCGGTTCCTTTAAGGACAGGAGACAGAGAGATTTCAGTGTCAGGTTCCCGGGAGAAACAGTCGCTTAGAGAAAAAGACCTTACTCCTGCTGCAGTGGGAATAGTGAGAGCTGGGTTGGGAATGGGGAAAGGTGTCTTAGAAGGCAGCCCAGCAGCAGGCAGACTGACCTGAGTCAGAATCAGACTCCTCCAGCTGTATTTTCTGAGTGCCTTGATGTTTAATCTCTGAGTCTGTTTGCGCTTATGGAAAACAGCTGCTGCAGGGACTGGATGAGGTACTATAGGAAATGCTTCTGAAACCATGCACGGCTGTAATTCATTCCTTCATTTATTCAGCAAATACCAGGCTGTCTTCCCAGTACCAGTTCTGGGCTGGTGTTCAGGAGACAGTGACAGCCACACAAGCTGAGGCTCCCTTTGCTTGTGGTGTTTGCCATCTCTGTGTGGTACCTGAAGTTTTGGTGTACCATACTTAAAAGTTCTCATGGGCTTTCTTGCTCTGTTTCTGATTTTTACTTAGTGAAATTGTTTTAAAGATAGATTCCTTATAAGTTCTGGAAATGGATCATCAGTCGTCAGGATCACTTGCTATAAATAAAATAAGAAGTTAGTATTTATTTAGTGCTTACAGTGTCACGGGCACAGCCTGAGTACCTTACCTGTGTTATCTCATTCAGCCCCCACAGCAACCCTAGGAGGCCCGGATTGTAATTGTCCCCATTTCATAGATGAGGACACTGAGGTGGCATCAGTTGTCTGCTGAAGGCTCTGGCCTGAGTGTGCTCACTCTGCTCAAACATGAGGTCAGCAAGTATTAGCAAGGTGCCAAAACACTCTGACCAAGAACCGAGACTTTCTTTTTGGAGAAGGCAAAAGGATTGAAACAAAATTGGAAAAGAAGAGATGTTCTGATCATGAGAGTGGTAGGTAGAGTAATGAGCCCCTCCCTCTCCAAAGACTTCAGTCCAAATCCCCAGAATCTGCCAATAGGTCATCTTCCAAGGTAAAAGACACTTTACAGAAGTGATTAAATCCATGACCAGTTGGAGAGGTTATTCTGCATTATCCAAGTGGGCCCAATGTCATCATAACTCTCCTTATTAGAGGGAAACAGAGGGAGATTTAATGACAGACAATGAGCTGTAAGAGAGAAAGCTGATGAGTGATGTGGCCACAAGCCAAGGAAAGCTGAATGCCTTATAGCCTTTAGGAGTCAGAAGAGCCAAGGAAACAGATTCTTCCCAGAACCTTCAGAAACAGCAAGCCCTGCCAACACCTTGATTTTCACCTCATCTTATTTTAAACTTCTGAACTCAAGAACAGTAAGAGAATACATCTGTCTTGTTTTAAGCCACTCAATTAGTGGTAATTTGTTACAGCAGCCATAAGTAACTAATACAGTGGGATTCAATGTTGTGTGTGGCTGTGATTCCATGCCCTAAAGGTCCCCTCCCACACCACCAGTGGCCTTCATCCTATACCTAGAGAAGGTGTCTGCTCCATAAAGAGCTCCTCCTCCCTCCCCTCTTCCCCCTCCCTCTCCCCGCTCTGGGTGAAGAATGCTGGCTGGGGACAGTGTCTCTAGGCCGGGCACCATTACTTTGTCCTCAACTCACGAAGGCTTTGGTGGGCTGTGGTGCCCCTCTGGGTCTCAGTTTCTTTGTCTGGCAAATGGGAGGCAGAGCTGAGTGGTTTTGAAGGACCTGCCCAGCAGGCCCCGCCTTTGGAGCTTATTAAAACACACTCTCCTGGACCCAGGCCTCCAAGATTCTGACTTGTGAGGCCCAGGTGAGGCCTGACAGGGGCTCCAATGCATAGCCAGCTTAGAAACCAAGTGATATGGGGATCCAGGTTCTGTCCCCAGAGTTATCCCTTGGAAACATGCCGCTTGATTGCCTTCTCCTCAGAGCCTGCAGCGGGAAGTCCCTGTTCCACCACTTCCGAGCTGTGTGACTTGGGAGAAGTGTCTGTGCCCATTCTGTGCCTGTGTCCTCACCTATAAATTGGGAAGAACGACAGTCTATACTTCAGAGGGTGGTTGTGAGCTTTCAGAAGGTGTTAAGTGTAGCTTGCTAATGACAGTGTCTGGCACACAGTAGGTGCTCATAGGTGCTGCCTGTCAATGTGCCAGCTTCTCCGCATGGCATTCCAGACCCTTATGCACTAAGACCCAGCTGGACCTCTCCTATCAGTCTCCCATCCACCCTCTGCACCCCCCAGGTCGTGGCTGCGTGAACTTCTCCCTGGTGCTCCGGTCCCTGCCTGGCCCCTTGCAGGACATCCTTTGTCAGGAGTGCCCTGCCCCCTCCGCTTCCTGGAGGACTCTCGCTTATCTTCAATGCCTGCTGAAACGCCACTTCCCCAAAAGCCTTCCTCCTGGTTTCCAGGCCACTCTCCGCATTTCCTCCCTACTCTGAACACCCTTCGGGCCTGTAGTGGGTTTCATTTTGCTGCTATCATCAGTTTCTTGCCTGACTTCACAACTAGATCTGGAGTAACCCTGAGGGCAGAGGCAATATTTTCTCCCAGGCTTTGGACAATGCTAGGAGCAAATTTTAAGTTCTTAGTTCATTTGTGAGGGAGGGAAACGGCTGTGTGCTGTTCTCTTCACTTTGCTTTGTCCTGTGGAAATCAGGACCACAGTGGTGGCTATCTCATGGGTCTCTATTCACTGGACGTGGGAGGCCATCTCTGTGAACCACAGTCGACTGCGCTGCCCCATGTCCAGCTGGGTGGATTTCCGTGTGACCAGCCCTGTAGGCAGTTCCCAAGATCATAGGAATCACACCTATTCACTTGTAAATGTGCTCAAAGTTGAACGCCAAGCAGGGACAATTCATAGAAGCCGATTGATTTTTCCAAATGTTCATTGGTTTGCACTTTTTGTAATTACTGTTAGATTTTCTACACATTTAACACCAAATATGCTTTCTATTTTTAATTTTAAACTTTTAAAGATCAAAATGAATTTTGGAGGTCTGTCATAGGGGCATGCATTTCATAAAATCTACTTTTCCCAATTTCATAAACAGTCATAAAATAACTGTGTATGCAACTCTCAAGGATTTTCTCACCAGAAACATAAAGAGTGCAATCTAAGAAAAACAACATGGTTAAA
Source organism: Homo sapiens (assembly GCF_000001405.40). Taxonomy (NCBI): domain Eukaryota; kingdom Metazoa; phylum Chordata; class Mammalia; order Primates; family Hominidae; genus Homo; species Homo sapiens. Next base: position 170,097,351 of record NC_000005.10, on the reverse strand, counting down.
TGTGCTAACTATAAGGGTTTGAGTTATTAACCCTTACTATTATATGGGTTAATTATTATAAACTTCTAAGCATATGATATTTGATAAACCATGATTAAAGTCTTCCAGAATAGTACCTGCTCTGTGTATTGGGTGGGTTTCAACTCTTGCCTTTCCTGTGCTCTGTCCTGACTCTCAGCGAACAGAAGCCCACACTAAACTCCCTGCCTCACGCCCTCAAAGGGGACGGTTTCCTTTACTGCCAATCCCTCTATTCTTCACCTAACCTGCACTCTGCCTTCTAAAATCTACCTCTGGCAAGAATCCTCTGGAGAGAAAATTTGGCTTTGGAACTGGTTTCTTCCTCTGCTATCAACCCTCATTAACCCATTTTGAAACTTCCTCATCTCACCCCACCAAAGCATTTAAGCTTCTCAACTTACTATTCATGGTACTGCAATAGCATGTTCCCCATCTTAGGGACATGGAACACATGTCCCTATGTGTCCCCGTGGAACACAATAGTGTGTTCCCCATGTTAGGGACATGTGCATTCTGGAGACCAAACTAATGGATGCTGTGTATGAATAGCTCTGATGTGTCAGATTCTGAGCAGGAGGTTTTCCATTCTTGAGCCCTAAATCTCAGGATGATTTATAGGTGCAAGGATGGGGAACTCTCCATGGACTCTTTCTGGATTATCTTTCCTTTGGAAAAGGGAAAATGACAATTATTCTGGACCCAGTGGCCTTGGCAGTACTCCACTTTGCATTGGCCAATAAATGCTTTCAGAAAAAAAAATGTTTTAACTCCTTCCATTAGTAAACATTGTCTCCTTAAGCAAAGGAAAGCAGTGGAACCAATGGCAATCTGGAGCCCCTTTCTACTGGGTGGGTTTTAGGAATGAGTCAACCAATGATCATTAAGCTCTCACTTGTGCTTCAAGTGTGAGGATAGAGATTGCCTTGGCTGTTGTGGTATCTCTAGCATCTAATACAGCACCAGAAAATGACAGGTGCTCACTCAATGTCTGTCAGTGTTGGAGTGGCAAGGCCTGGAGTCGTGGACCTGGGGGTACGGTGGGGAGGTAGCATACACTGTGATAGTCTGGGACCTCTGAACAGGAGACACTCCTCCTCTTTGCTCAGTGCCTGAGATGTAATACGTCCCTTTAATGTTCTCTGGAAAATGCCTCGGCTGGGACTCGGTGCAGACAGGTCTAGAGCTAAGGTCTGTGTGTGTCTATGTGGGTGTCACTGATCATGAAGCTGCCACCAGCCATAAGCACCCTGAGGGAGACTTCTCTACCCCAAGCACACGCCTCCTCAGGATGAGGGTGGGAGACTTGGGAGGGCAGGGAGTGGTGCCACTTCCAGGGCTGTCCACTATAACCATTACTAGAGAGCCCCTTATTATTAAGGGAGCTCAATGTGATCAGTCTATGGGGCTGACTCAGGGAGAATTGGCAAACACCATTGCCCCACATCCTTAGTTCCTCTGGTTGGCTTAATGCCCATCTGTCATTGTCCTTTTTCGCATATGAGGAAATTGGGCTTAGAGAGGTCACATGCTTTTCCAAAGGTCACAGTTATCTGATTACATCTCTGCAGGAACTGGAGATTCTTCTGGAATGATATGTCCTCATTAATGTCTGCAGGGATTTCTGGGTGCTTCCTAGGTAAAAGGCAGAGAGAAAGGAGGTTGTCTAAGCCATCTTCAACTTGGGGACTGTGTCCCTCTGCACATCAGTGGGAATTTGCCCTCACTCTGCAGAAAACAAATCACAAACAATCAAGCAAACAAAACATGGCAGTGGGGATGGTCTACCCAGCCTCTTAGACCTCAGTCAATGCTCTGAACACAGGGCTCAAGGGAAAGAGGGAAAGAGCAATGAGGTCTGAGCCTGGAGGGGTCATGCCTGGCTGGGATGATCCAATGCGTTCCAGTGAGAAGGGGTTGAAGCTACTTTACTTGGGTCTTCGTGGTGCACTACCTAGGGCCAGTGAGTCATTTGGGTGAGAAGGCTGGACCACTCCCCTGTGGTGCTGCTGCACAGCCAGGCCGACCAGCTGCATTCCCTAAGTTTCTTCCTGAACCTGATTTGAGCAAAAGATAGAAGATCTGACTTCCCAAGTGATGCCAAAGGGGCTGGAGGATGCAGCCTGGAAGTGTAGGGAATTAGTTAATTCTCCCTTTGGCTGTAAGAAATAGGAGATAGAATACTCTATATATCCTTTCCAGGGATGTCAAGAGTAGACGAGCGGGCACCTCTGTGACCAACCAGCTGGCCCTTTGCAGCTTGTCATGAAACAGCGTCCAGCACCGTAATGCATCACCTTCAATTGCTCAACACCTTTCCCTGCCTCACTTCCATTTCCCCTCCTGGTGCCCGGACCTGCACTCCCAAGTAAGCCATCAGCTTGTAATCTTTGGGTTGTGTTTTCATGGCCAATGCTTTCAGATCTTTTTTTTTTTTTTTTTCGCAGAGTCTTGCTCTTGTCACCCAGGCTGGAGTGCAATGGCACAATCTCAGCTCACTGCAACCTCTGACTCCTGGGTTCCAGCAATTCTCCTGCCTCAGCATCCTGAGTAGCTGAGATTACAGGTGCCCACCACCATTCCCGGCTAATTTTTGTGTGTGTGTGTGTATTTTTAGTAGAGATGGGGTTTCACCATGTTGGCCAGGCTGGTCTTGAACTCCTGACCTCAAGTGATTCACCCGCCTGAGCCCTCCAAAGTGCTGGGATTACAGGCACAAGAGCTGTAGTGGTTTTGTTTGTTCGTTTGTTTTTGAGACGGAGTCTTGCTCTGTTGCCAGGCTGGAGTGCAATGGCGCAATCTCGGCTCACTGCAACTTCCGCCTCCCGGATTCAAGTGATTCTCCTGCCTCAGCCTCCCAAGTAACTGGGACCACAGGTGCCCGCCACACCTGGCTGATTTTTGTATTTTTAGTAGAGATGAGGTTTCACCATGTTGGCTAGGATGATCTCGATCTCCTGACATCATGATCCGCCCACCTCAGCCTCCCAAAGTGCTGGGATTACAGGCATGAGCCACCATGGCCGGCTGGGCTGTAGAATTTTAATGTGCATTTGAATCATTTGGGACTATGGTTCAAATGCAGAGTAGGATTCAGCAGGTCTAGGGTGAAGCCTGAGATTCTGTATTCCTAACAAGCCCCCAGGGGAGGCCCACAGTGGTCTTCTGCAGACCACTCTTTGAGTAACAGATTCTAGGAGACCCAGGATATAATCAAATTGGAAACGGAAGAGAATTTAGAAAACAGGCTCTCAGGATGGGATTTTGGAGTTGCATTGCTCGTGTCCCAAGGCAATAGAACTCCCTGCTGCTAGTAGTAAGTGGGATGGAAATAGCTCCTCACACATGGTGACATCATCATTCCTTATGCTTCTACCTGCAAAATGAGGTGCAGCATGCACTGAGTGATCAAATAGCTGAGGTGCTCAGCTGGTTACAGGCTAATAATAATTACAACAACTGTGGAGTAGGATGGCTACTTGGATTGTCCTGGAGGTCTTTCAAATAGAAACTGCTAGGCTGGGACAGCCAAAGGCACGCTGTCAATATCAAAGGGTCTCTCTGTTTCCTGTTGCTGTATTGTGCTACAGCAAATGATCACCCACTTCATGGCTCAAAATAACACAAATTCCTTATCTTAAGTCTGCGGACCAGAAGACTGACATGGATCCCACTTGGTTAAAAACAAAGTGTTAGCAGAGCTACGTTCCTGTCTAGGGCTGAATCTGTTTCCTTGCTTTTCCCAGCATCTAGAGGCTTCCTGCATCCCTGGGCTCATGACCCCCTTCCTCCGTCTTCAAAGCCAGCAACAGGCAGTGACTTCCTCTCACATGGCATCCTCTGACTCTCCTCTGCTGCCTCCTCTTTCTGCTTTTAAAGACTCCTGTCATTACGTTGGACCAATCTGGATAATCCTGCATAATCTCCATGATCTTAAACTCAGCTGATCAGCAAACCTTAATTCCATCTCCAACCTTAATTCTCCTTTGTCAGGTAACCTAACATATTCACAGGCTCCAGGGATTAGAATACAGCCATCACTGAGGGGTTACTATGGTGCCCGTCACAGCTGGTTTGAAATATTTTAGAGACCTCATCTCATGCAGTTGCTGAGCAGACTCTGCTGAAATTGGGTTAGAGTCTGGTTAAAAGGGTGAAAGACTTGCAAAGACAGGAATGCAAAGCTTCAATAGCCTCCTCCAGTAAAGTCAGCGCCCTCACAGGAAGACTGCAGCCAAAGATCTGATGTAGAAACCTTCAGCCCTGTAAGCCTGAACATTTTGAATCCCCCAAACATCCTGCCTGGCTGAAGCAGGCCCTTCTCTCTTATCAGAAGGGAACGGCCTCCCCTTTCTTGGAGCTCTTGCTTGAAACACATGCTCTGCCAGTGGATGCTTGTTCCTCTGGAGAACTGACTCCACCGCCCCTTACTGCCTCCACCCAGCAACCAGAATCGGGTCTGAGAGGGGAGCACAGCCTGGGAGGGGAGCTGTGTCTCCTGCCTTGGGAAGATACAGCTTACATGGAATTGCAGGATCTGGCTGGTGGCACTGGGAACATGCATGGGAGTGGATCTGAGGGTGCCAAGGCTTAGGAAGTTTTTGGAAATAAGATCAGATAGAGGAGAATTCATTAGCATGGGGCGCATGTTCCTGGCTTGGGATTCAATGTTAGGGCAGACGCCCAGTGCTGGTTTTGATAGTTTTCCAAGATAGTTCCTTGAAGCTGGGACTGAGGGTGGCCTATATTGAATGGAGTAGACACACCAGAACTTGGTTTATTCAACACTGTTAGTTCAGAAGGGATCAGGCAGCTCAGGGAAGTGGATGTTTTAGAAGAAATTTATTATGCCTGACTTGAGATTATGTTCCCTGGGAGAGCCTAAAGGACATATATTTTTTTTTCATTTAGGACAAAAAGTAAAGGGTACCTGTATTATGGGTTGAATTGTGTACCCAAGAATATATGTTGAAGTCCTAACCCTGGGTAACCTGGGAATGTGATCTTACTTGGAAATAGGGTCTTTGCAGAGGTAATCAAGTTAAAATGAGGCTATCCTGAATTAGGGTGCTCTAAATCCAATGACTGGTGTCCTTATAGGAACAGGGAGAATTGGAAACAGAGAGACACGAGACACAGGCACACACGCAGAGAAGGTGGCCATGTGAAGTTGGATGCAGAAACTGGAGTGATGCCGCTGCAAGCCAAGTAACACCAGGCATCGCTGACCGCCAGAAGCCAGGAGGAGGCAAGGGAAGATTCTTCCCTGAAGCCTTCAGAGGGAGTATGGCCCTGCTGACACCTGGATTTCAGACTTCCAGCCTCTGGAACTGTGAAGGGACACATTTCTGTTGTTTAAAACTCCTGAAGCTTTTTGTTTGTTTGGGTTTTGTTTATTATTTGCTATAGCAGCCACAGGAAACAAATAGAGACACCAAGCATGGGAGTGGCCATCCTCTCTAGGTCAATGTTAATGGCAGGTGATGTCAGCGTGGAACTGGGCTCCCTCATGTCAGTGGGGATGATGGACTGACGGACTCCTAGTTTAGGAAAGGCAGGTACCTACATCTGACTTTCAGGTCCCAAGTAGAGGTAATTATCACAATGAGCAACAGGGTGAGAGAGACAATCAGCGTGCCTTAACCCACAGGGACCTGTAGGATCTGTAACCCACACTGACCACTGTAGGTGATGGTATTCCCAGAGGCCAAATAGATGAGAAGCTATGTAGATTGTTGCTTGGTTTACATAATCAGAAAATCAGCCATGGTTATGGGAAATTGTGACCCCTCGCTCAGCTTTCAGATCTACATCAAGGCCCATTGATTGAAGGGGAGGCTGATTCTTTAAGACAAAACCCTGCAGTGTACTCACAAGTATCTTCAGGAAATAGTTCTCTAAATTTTCCCAAAGGGACTTATGACTATTTCCAGGGTGACTGTGAACCAGGGAAAAGGAAATATCTGGATCCCTCAAAGCCAAGTAGATATGAGATCTGAATTAACACCAATATCAGGGGATGTAAAACTCCATGATGGTCCTCAGGTTGGAGTGTGGACCATTGGAGAACAAGTGATAGGGGTCTTGGCCTGATTCCTGAATGTAGAACACACTCACTTATGCATCTGTTTGTTGACCTGGGCAGTTAGACCCATTACAGTAGGAAGTTCTGAGTGGAAGCCTGTTTTGTCAAGATCAGACACAAGAATTGCAGAGATAAACACAGCTGTTGAAGACTTGAAGAACATAGGGCCAGTGGCCCCTATAATATTCCCATTCAATTCACCTGTCTGTCTCTAAATAAGAATCGAATCTTGACAGATGATAGTGGACTACCATCAATATCACTAGATGCTAGGTGGACTTTCGTGTCTTTACAGGAACGGGTCAGTACCGCCTCTGCTCCTTGGGATGTGGTTATTCGTTTCATGAATGTTTTCTTCTTAGCATTCATATGAAAGGAACATGAAAAGCAGGTTGCTTTGTTATGGCAGGACAACAGGGTATCTGCACTGGGTAGACTCGGTGCAGTGTCAACTCTCCTTTTCTCTGTCCTAAGATAGTCCATAGAGACCGTGCTTATATTGGTATTTCCAGAAACATCACACTGTTCCTCTACATGCATAACATCATGTTCATTGGCTTGGTGATCAGGGAGTGTCAGGCACCCTAGATTCCCCACCAAGACACATACATGCTACAAGGGTGGGTTGATAAACCTGAGTGATTTAGGGGCCTGATATATGTCACCAATGTGACTGTTACCAATTTTTGGGCTCCAGTTGTTAGGGCATGCTGGGACATCACCTTTAATATAAATAACAAGCTGTTGCATCTTACTTTTTTTTTTTTTTTTTTGAGATGGAGTCTCGCTCTGTTGCCCAGGCTGGAGTGCAGTGGCATGATCTCAGCTCACCACAACCTCCGCCTCTTGGGTTCAAGTGATCCTCCCAACTCAGCTTCCTGAGTAGCTGGGACTACAGTTGTGCACCACCACACCTAGCTAATTTTTGTATTTTTTAGTAGAGATGGGATTTCACCATATTGATCAGGCTGATCTCGAACTACTGACCTCAAGTGATTCACCTGCCTCAGCCTCCCAAAGTGCTGGGATTACAGGCATGAGCCACCACACCCAGCCTGCATCTTACATTTTCTTTTACTAAAAAAGAGACATAGAAGCCGATGAGTCTTTTTGGATCTTGGACAAAGAAAATGTGGACTACTGCTTCCAATTTGTTATCAGGTGACTCTGGAGTATGCCAGTTTGAGTGAACCTAGAGACAAATGCTCTGCAGCAGGTCTAGGCTGTGGTTCTAGCTGCTCTGCCTCTGAGGCCATATCTGATTACCGTGGAGATATTCACGGCAGATGTGGATGCTGAATGGAGATGCTAACAAGACCCTATAGGATGATTACAGCACATACCTCTCAGAATCTAAATCAAACTTATGTTCTCCTTGACTCTCTGTCTGAAAAATAGCTCTCAGAATGCTACTGGGTCTCCTCAGAAGTTGAGCTCCTCACTATGGGACACCAAGGGACCATGCAACCTGAGATGTCCATCATGGGCATCATGGTTGCATCCACATCATAAGGCAGAGCGTGGCAGAAATCCATCATATTATGAAAGTGGTATCTTTGGCATCAGGCTCAAGCAAGTCTTGAAGGCAAGAGTAAATGATAAAAACTGATGACCCAGAATTCCATGGTACCTACTTTTGCTTAATTCATGCCTGTCCTTCAACCCATACTTTTGGACTTATGGAGGGATTCTACAAGGCCAACTTATGGAGAAGGCATACTATGTTAATGCTAGCTGGAAATGGACTGCAGCTGTGTTGCAGCCCAGTGGTAGGGCTATGAGCAGTACATTTGGCTGTCTTCCCTAAAAAGAGGGGAACATGAACTGAGATAGACATTTATTCTCCTGGGCAATAAAGAATGGCTTTGTTGATTGGTCAGAGGACTGAAAAGAATAATACTGGAAGATTCATTACTGGGGGTCTGGGCAAGAAGTATGTTCATGATCCAATGGGAGCAGACTCAAAATTTGCAGATCTGTGTTTTACTGCTCACCAGAAAGACCACAGATCAGTCTTTCAACCATCAAGGAAGTTGGATGATCAGTCCTATAGCTCAGCTTTGCTCCTCTGCCATCCATTGCATGTGCAATGGGCCTGTGATCAAGTGGTCATGGTGGCAGAGATGGAGGCTCTACCTAGGTTCAACAATATGGAATTCCTCTCACCAAGTGTGGTATAGCTATTTCTACTGCAAAGTGTCCACCTGCTAGCAGCAGCGACTGACACTGAGTCTATTACATGCACCATTTCTTAGGGAAACATGGGTCACTTACACTGAGACCTTTCCACCCTGCAAAGAACAACAATTCATGCTTATCATGATCAAAACATCCTCTAGATATGGGGTTGCCTTCGAAGGCCCATGATGTTTCTGTCTGCATTATCATCTAAGGGCTTACAGAAAAACCTTATTCATTGAGTTGGGATCCCACAAACCTTCAGCTGGAACAAGGGACCCATTCTCAGCAAGGAACTTAACATAATGGGTTCAAGGCCGTGGGATTCATCAGCTTTACCATGAAGCCCATCATTCAGAAGCAGCCAACCTGATGGAACAGAGCACAGCCTTTTAGAGGCTCAGCCAAGGTTCCAGTGGGGGACACTACCTCCCAGGGAGCCGTCCTCCAGTCTGTAGTAAATTCAGTGGACAGTGGGTGATGTATAATACTATGGGCGGTGTATAATACTATGTCTTCAAAGTCTCCTAAAGCTGGGGACCTGGTGTGAGAGTACAAAAGCCCTTCTCACTATCACACCAGTGACCTACCCGTGGGATTGATGCCTCCTGTCCTTGCCGTCTTGGGCTTTGTAAGATGTGAGGTCCCAGTCTGTATTTGTTTGCTAGGGCCACTGCAACAAATACCACAGACTGGGTGGCTTAAACAACAAAAGTTTATTGTCTCACAGTTCTAGAGATCAGAAGCCTGAAATCAAGGTGTTGGCAGGACTGTTTTTTTTTTCCTAGATACTGAGAGAGAGAATCTGTTTATGCCTTGCCCCTAGCTTTTGGTGGTTTGCTGGCAATCTGGTGTTCCTTGGCTTGCAGATGCATCCCTCCAATCTGTGCCTTTATCTTCACATGGCATTCTCCCTGTGTGCCCATCTTTCTCTAAATTTCCTCTTTTTATAAGGACACCAGTCATGTTGAATTAATACCCACCCTAATGACCTTGTTTTAACTTTACTACCTGTTTAAAGACCCTATCTTCAAATAAGGTCACATCTTGAGGTATTGGAGGTTATTATTTCAACATGTGAATTTTAGAAGGACACAAATCAACCCATAATATGGTCACAAGGTAGGGCCAGAGTGATGCCCCCATTGAACTGGAGGTGTGACGACCACTTGGCCACTTTGGCTTATCATGCTCATGGATCAGCAACTGACCCTGATTACATGAGGACCTCGGATGTTGATTCAATAGGCGCAGAGAGGAGCGTGCCTGGAACCAAGGGGATCACTGGGCCCTTTCTTAGTACACTCATGCCCACTGGTAATGATCACTAGGTAATTACAACAACCACAAACCAAGAAGGGTGGAGCAATTAGACTCAGACCCTTTGGGGATAAGAGGTCTGAGCAGCCCAGCAGGCAGGCAACCCAGTCCAGATGAAGTGTGACCTGTGGGTCAGAGACACTTAACTGGGTGGTGGAGGAAGGAGATAATGAGTATCTGTTATAGTCTTGGTCCAGCTGCAGTAGCTATCGTGGCTTCTTTCACAAATCTTCTTGCTGTAGGTTGTGTGGGAGATCATAACTAAATGCCGCCTTGAAGTGGACTCTGTGACTGCTTGGACTGGGACATCCCTTCTTGGGAAAGGAGAAAGCACATGAATTTGGACATCTCTTATGGGAAAGAAAACATGTGGACTTGGACATGTGGAAAGGAAAAAGCACATGGACTTGGACATCCCCTCCTAGGAAAGGAGAAAGCATATGGATTTGTTCATCTTTTTGTAGGAAAGGAGAAAGTACATCTTATACACACACTCACACACACAGAGAGAGAGAGAGAGAGAGAAGATTCACAAGCTATAATAGGAGCAGGAGATAACAGAAGGGGCATGTGAGGGTCTGAATGTCCCAGACAATCTCATATGCCTTTTCGGCTCCTTCAGAGGCCATGGTTTTCTGGGACGCCAGCTGTCTGCTCTACCTCAGTAGCCACTGCAGCCAACTTAGGTTCACATGGTCCTCCCACCTGGAGTCCACCAGTTGCTTGTCCATAAGGCCTTGCTCTTCCCTTTTCTTGCTGCAACAGAGCCCAGACTACTGGCTTATTCCCTGAGTTGCTGGTTTCTTACACAAATTCTGCCCTTGGATGGAATGCCACTTTGTGGGGCGTGGGATCTAGCTTCCCAAGCAGCTACTGAAAGGGCTAAATGATGCAATCCACAGGTAAAACCATGAAGGGTTTTACCATACCCAACAGGGGGAACTTACTACTAGAAACAGGAGACTGAGGTAGGGGCAAGCTGGGCAAATACATTCCCTTTTCTTCCTTTTTTTTTTTTGACAGAGTCTCACTCTGTTGCCAGGCTGGAGTGCAGTGGCACAATCTCGGCTCACTGCAAACTCCACCTCCCAGGTTCAAGTGATTCTCCTGCCTCAGCCTCCTGAGTAGCTGGGACTACAGGTGCATGCCACCACACCTGGCTAATTTTTGTATTTTTAGTAGAGACAGGGTTTCACCATGTTGGCCAGGATGGTCTTGATCTCTTGACCTCATGACCCACCCACCTTGGCCTCCGTAAGTGCTGGGATTACAGGCGTGAGCCACCACGCCCGGACTTTCTCCTTTTTACAGACTCTTCTGGGGTTTGATTTCTCTATTATACCCTGCCCAAAGATACCCTGCTCAATGCTGCCTGACAAGTTGAGTCTCTTTGTGGCTTAGTGTGAACCAGAGACAAGTAGAGTTAATACCTCAACTTTCATTGCTTCCAATCCCTTTTCCCTCTTTCCTTCACCCTAAGATTGCACAGCCCCAAAAGAGCATGGCATTCAATCATTGCCTGAGGATCTGTTTCCTAGGGAACTGAAGCTATGGCAGGGAGGCAGAAACACCCAGGTTTCAGCCAGGAGAGGCATACAGATGTGTTACAGGTTAGCATGTCTGGAAAGCAGAGCCCAGCCTGATTTTGGATGCTGGGAAGGCCATTTGTTTCCCTCAATTTCTCTTCTACTTGCTGACATAAGCCTGAAAGCCTAGAAGAAAGAAGGAAGACTTCTACTCCATGCTTAGGAATAAAGGCTAAAAATACCCCTCCCTTAAGGAAAGGAAGGGAATGTAGTGCTCTAGATCAAACCAAAGTATGAATCGCAGATATCAACCCTGTCTTGGAGACAGAGAACAAGCGTCACTGGGTGCTTAAAGAGAAGGTGAGAGATTTCCACTGATGGGAGATTACCTGGAAGAAGACCTGGATTCCAGATTGGGTCCTGCTGATCACAGCCATTGGAGAGATCACTTAACTGTGTAAAATGAGAGCACTGGATGAAGTGGTCCCTAAGGGTCCCAGAAAACAGCATCAAGAAGGGAAGACATATAAAGAGATCCTTCCTCCAATCCCATCCAATGCTACCTCCTTCTGGAAATTCTGAGACATACACCCTTCCTTGAGATGACTAGCTTGTTTTGGACAGAACTTGTATACAATAAGGGAACATCGGTGGTACCAGGAGGGCTATGCCAAATGCCTAACCCCACCTTCATTTTTCCCAGGTGCCACCATTGGCATTGTAGGAGAAGACTTGCAAACAATCATGGACGGTGAAATAGAGTCTGACATTGAGCTGAGGTCCCAGGTATAAAGTGAATGTGTGGATTAAGATCACGAGGCTTGGTGTGGATAGAGATGGCTGTGTCCCTTACTAGTCAGGTGACAAGGCCACATCACAAACTCCTCAACCTTGGAATTGAGTTTCACATCAATGTGATTGGGACCGTAGTGTCTAGCTCATAGGATTGGTGTGAGGATTTAAGGAAATGACATATAGAGTAAGTGCCTGGTAAGTGGCAGCTGTATTATTATTATTGCTTGTTATTGTTATTACTACTGGCATTGTTTTTCCTGCCATGTGATGGCAGCATCTAAAATTTTTCTGGCAAAGGATTAAGTGGGCTGTCAACCTCATTTCTTAACTGAAATGACATTTGACTTTCAAACCCTGTTTATGGGTTTAACGTCTTGCTCCATTTATATGGGAAAACAGGGAAGTGCCAATGGTCCCCTTCAGACTTAATAAGAAAACTCATAGATACTGATAATCTTCAGAAAATAGAACTCAGAAATATTATTACCAGGGTCACACGGTGTTAAGCGAGAAGATCAATCAGTTACAGAATTTTTAGGGGTTAAAGCTTACTTTCTCGGGACGACATAGCAACAACCTCTGAGTATGGGTGTTTTTCAGTACTCCCGAGTGAGGGTAACATCTGCAGTTTCAAGGCACAGGATCATATCTGCTTTTCTGTAGTTGTGGGAAAAGGGAGAACCATTTTCTTTTCCTTGTTGAGATTTGCCCCCTCCTCCCTGGCCCCCACTGCCCACTGGTATTTGGAAGGGCTTACATGTCAAAGCTAAACAGTAGGATTTTATCAGTTCATAATAAGAGAAAAAGCAGGCATGAGAAGCCAAGCTCGTAATAGAGTCCAATCCTCCAGGTGCTGCTTACTCACCTTAGGGAACCCAAAGGTGTTTGTTGTAGCCCAAACCCCAACAATCATCGCAACAGGACTTTTTAGACTGTTGAGGAAACTAGAAGCTGAACTAGGCAACACGTCTTCAAATGGGGCTTGCAGCAGGGACATAGAGGCCACCAGGGACAGGCTGGGGTGGATAAAGGCTACCAAGACTCAGGATATTCTGTGCACTAAGGTGTCCCAGAGACAATGTAGGGTGGTGCCTAAGAGTCAGGCTTCCCACCCAGCTGTCTGGGTTTGAATCCCAGCCATTCCATTACTAAGCGTGTGATCTTGGGTCACTTCATGCTTCTGTGCCTCCATTTCTTCATCTGGGTAGCAATCGTATCTACCTCCTAGGGCTGCTGTCTAGACTTAGGAAGTTCATTCTTATCATGTCTATAACACTGTCCCAGAGACAGTCAGGGCTCAATAAATTTGAGCTACCATCATCATTCTTTCTCATCTCTTACTATACCCCAGGGACCCAGCCTGTAAATGAGCATCCACCCCAAGGTTTCCAGATGGCTCTAGTTCTGAAACCTGTGTTGTCATGCACTTACCCAGTATTAATTTCCTTCTCAAATGCAGTCCTCCGCCTCCTTCTGGACCCCTCCCCTGCACAGCTCCCTGCTCTCTGTAGGATCCAGACGTGGGACTTTGCTCCCATCCTCTCTTGCTGCTGCCTGACAAAGCTACTCACCTCCTTTGGGCCTCATCTGAAAAACCTGAGAATTCCTCCAAGAAAAGCCACCACTTGGGAGCCGGTGACAAGATCCAAGAGCTGGACCATAAGTCCACTGGACCTCAGACCCCTCTTTTCCTAACTCTTTGGCATTATGTTTGGTCTTTACTAGAGTGACCTGGCTTGGGTGGTCTTGCCATCTCTTTCTAAAGGTGAAGAAAGGAGGTATGACACTCCACTATTCAGATTCGTGAGGAAGACCAGGGCAACTTTTTTAACATGCTGGTAGCCCAGGGTTTGGCACCTAAGGAACAAGAGTCATGGAGATTCTTGAAGAATCTTCTCATAGATGAGGTGGGGAAATTTGGCATTGGGCAAGGGCATCACCAGGCTCCTTCACATCACTGCAGCCCCTGGGCCTGCCTTCCTTCCAGGGAGCTTCCTGCCCAGTCCTGGGCCCAGGAGAGTCAGCCAACAGAATCAGGCAACAAGGCTTATTCGAACCAAGAGAACATTTTTTATTGTCAGTAAGAAACAGCAACTCTTCAGAGATGATTGGCTAGAAAAGAAACTGGTTGGTTGTATAAAAAAATGTAAAGTACAAAACTGTTAATCTAAAATAAAATTAAAAAGAATATTTAAAAGGCTTCCTTTTCTGTTAAGTTCTGAGACTTAATAAATGAGATAAAAACAGTTTCTTACACCTAAGAAACTGGGTTATGAAAGCTGTGCCTAGGATGTTGGGGAGAGCACACTGGGAGAAGGCATTCTTGCTGGTACCTTGAGTTCAGGAATCTACGTTGAGGCTTCCTCATCCACCATGATCACAGCCCCAGGGGATGCTGGGCTTGTTAGCATTCAAGCTCTGGGACCTGATTGGCCTCTCTGTCTCCTCTAAGTAAGGACAACTGATGGGGACAGTCTCCCACTCTCTGAGGCTTCGATGTTCCACGCATGGCTTTCCTCTTCCAGAAACTCCCCTCCCTGGCTCTCCCATGCAGCCCTAGTCAGCAGCAGCTCACAGGTCCGTGGACAGCGAGTCTGGGATCTGTTTGCCTTCTTCAGCCGATTTGCTGGCCAGCTTTTGAGAGAATAAACAAGCACAAAACCAAGATGCGATTATCAGATTAAGCACCAAAATGGAGCTTCCCAGTCCTAATCACAAGGGCCTCAACACTGACCCCTGCCCAAAGCCCAGTGAATGTGAGCTGCTATGCCCTTGGCTTTGGCCAGAAAGGCAGTGGTAGACAGTAGAGTGAGCCCAGGCTCACTAGCCATGTGGACTTGGGCACCTCACTTACCAAACCCTGTGAGCCTCCCATATAAAATCCTAAGAGTGGGAGCTCAAATGGCACCATGCTTGGGAAGTGCTTAGCATGGTGCCTGACTCATCGTGTGCTCATGGTAAACTTGAGATATTTGTAGTAGCAGAGTCCTGATTTCATATTACCTTGAGGATCAGATGTGTTATGGTACCTTCTTGATCTTGAGCAAAGGCCAACAAGTAACAATAGGAGATGGGACTTGCAGAATCAGCGCTTGGAAACTAATGTTCAATTTGTAGGATTTTGTGATATAGGTTGAATAAAAAAGGGCTGGAGCACTAAGGGGCAGTTTAGGCGAGGGTAGGCCACCTACTGCTTCTGAGGTCCCTGGGTCCTGCACATCCCTAGCTGGGGTCAATCCTGGTCAGAGGAGCTGCCTGAGGCCCCAGAGGAGAACTGCCCTCTGGGCATTGCTGCACAGTGTCCCAGAACTCAGGGCCTCCTGACTATGCCTCCCTAGGAATGACCACATATGCACACACAACCCCCCATTTTCTTCTCTCTGCATTGCTCTCTTCCCTTTCTCCTCCCAATGCCTTCCTTTCCTTCCACCCTCAATGTCCTCACCATTGTCTTGAAGAACTGATTGACCTTCTTCCGTGTGAGTGTCTTCTTGTCACCATCTGAGAGTTGGAGGAAGGTCTGGCTGAGGCGGGGAGATGTGTTGGCCTCATCCAACCCAGGGATGCCTGCCACTGAGAGCGCCAGGGCTGGAAGGAGAGCAGAGCTGGGGTGTGAATGGGTGGGTAGAGGAGGGGCAGTGCCTTGGGGGAGGTAGACAGGGGGAGGGCTGGGGGACAGAGCCAGCATCCAGGGATCACACATTGTATGTGCCAAGCAGGAGGCAGGATGCCTATTTCCTGCCGTGCCAGGGGACATTGAAGCTGTCCTCTTGCAGTGAAGATTGCCCACCCTACAGACAAGGGTTCAGCCTCCTGGCTCCTGGTCAAAACCTTGCCCCAAAGCCCTGACATCCCCAGGAAACAGAACCTTCTGCTCCAAGGCAGGGGACAGTGTGAGCTTACTCTTCCTCCAGCTCCCAACACCAACACCCTGGATTTCTCTCCCCATTGCAGGAGACAGCGGGAAGAGAGTCTCAAACCCACGTGTCACCTGGTGGAGGGGCCAGATGACCTAGTGGTTACAGCCCCAGCTTGGCGTCACAGAGACATGAAAAATTAGTTACTCTCTGACTGCTGGTTTTGACATTGGCCAAATGGGAGAAAGAGCCCAGACCGCCAGGGTGTGGTGAGACCTGCTGAGCAGATACCAGTGAAATGGCTTGGGCCAAATGTTGCAGCTGTGTTCAGGCTATCCTGGGGGTGGTGGCGGGGCAGTGGGTAGGTGCCTGTTCCAGGGAAGAGGGCCTGGGTCTGAACTCAGTCTCTGCCATTTGCTGGCTGGTGATAGGCAAGAGAGTGATGTTCTCAGTGCCCCAGTTTCCTCATCCATACAATGGGGTGGATAACATGAACTACTTCCTGGGTATGCGCAGTGGAGTAAATGAAATAAAGAAGGAGTAGCAGTTGGCGCAGGGCCTGGCACCCTCAATGTTCAGGAAACAGCAAGCGTCTTCACCATGATCGGCCTGCTGAGTTCCACAGGGCAGCACTGGTCCTGTCTTGTTCCCTTCTGACCTGGCCCTTAGCACACAGAGCCAGGCACATAGCAGCAGACGTCAAGGACTTCTGCCTACCAGATGGAGTGCTCTCAGGCATGCCATGTCCCCTGTTAGGGCCTCAGATTCCCTTCTGTGAGTTAGGACCATCGGCTGTGCTCTAACCTCCTCACTGGACAGTGAGTGAGTGACGACGGTGGCAGATAGGTAGCATCTATGCACCAAACACTTTGCAGCTATAAGATGTGGTGGCCATTTCTGTAAAGCCAGAAAGAGTCTTCCAGGTCCACAAAGAAGCCACAGGTCTTAGGGACATACCAAGGGCAAACTTCTGGCCCCTGGGGAGGCCTGGCTAACTGAGAACAAGGGGCCACCTAGTGTGACAAATGGATGCTCAGTGAATCCTGAGGGCCCAAGGGACAGCAGGCCTCTCCCCTGTCCCTGCTGGAGCTTGCTGGGATGGTGTCACCCCCAGGAAGTGGTGGGTGTGGGGAGAGATTAGAGGGTGGGTGGCTATGAGCAGAGCCTCTCACTCCAGGATGCCTGGCCCACTTTGTTGTGTAGACACAGTTCCCATCCATCCTCCACCCACAAGGCTGGTGGCCTGCACTATCTCTACTCCCTCATGCTGGTGGCAGCAGGGGGCATACCTGGGATGGTAGGCATGGACTGGCTGGCAAAGCTCATTTGAGAGAGGACAGACGCCTTGAGGGGGATGGCCGCATGCTCCGAGAGGTTGGTGTCACTCATGAACTCATGCTTCCTGGAAAGCTGGAGGAATACACCAGACACACACACACACACACAAAGACAGAGGCTTAGCATGAGGCAGATCTGGGTCTCTGAAAGATCAGTGAGGAGGGCGTGGCATGGTTTCTATGAAGCTGGCTCCAAGTTCATTTATTCTGTATTATACCATTCCATGCCAGCCTGCCACATATGGTTGCACAGGTTGCACACTACACAACTACAGGCGGGGGTGGCGGACATTCATTTAGACTATCATGTAAATGGTGTCCCCTAGAATCGACAAACACAGAAGACATTTCCATTCTTATCCATCCACGCAAGAGTAGCCTGCGAGGCCCACTGGGAAGTTTCTGGAGGGCCCTTTCTTCACTAAGGCATCTTGGTTGGCCCCTTGCTCTTTCATTTGGCACCCCTCCCTTGCCAGGGCAGTTAATCCATCTCCCACTCCCAGGTTCCCAGAACACTTCCAACAAACCTCTTTTCCAGGGGGAAACTAAGATTGAATCCAGGGCTGTCTGAAACCAAGTCTCATTTTTAAATAATCGTTAGTTTACAAGACCAACACTCTCAAAGCCAGGACAGTGAGATTTCATCCCTGTATCCCCACCTGGACTCCTGGCACACAGGAGGGGCTTGCAGGGGTCTGAGACATCAGTGGTTAGAATAGGCCTGGGGCTGGGGGCTATAGAAACACCTAGCTCAGTACCAAGTGGGCTGCTCTCCCTTTTGGTGGGAGAACAGGTGGATTCTCCCCAGCCTGGAAAAGCCCTGTGTGATGGTGGAAAGGATACACACAGGCTCTGAAGTGCAAAGGTCAGGGCTCAACTCCCAGCTCTGTCATGTCCCAGCCACCCCAGCTGCCTGGGCACGAGTAAGCACTTCACCTCTCAGCTCCTCAGGTGCCGCCTCTGCAATACCCATAGCACCGCAGTGGCAGGCTTCAGGAAGCCCATATCTGGAAGCCCTGGGTTTTGTGCCCAGCATGTAGTGGAAATGTGCTAACAGCGCTGGAGAGGCAATCTGCCTCAGCCACTCACCCGCTTCAGGTCCGACTCTGCAGCTGCTTTCTCATCCGCAAAAACTACGCTGCTTCTCTTTGTCCTCTTCTTGGACCTCCGCAGCTTGACCTCAGGCAGGGTGCTCCCCGGGGAGATCGGTTCCTCCTGCTCCACTCTCGGCGTCTTGGGTGATGCTAATTCCAGGTCAAAGCTGAAAGGCCAGAGGGGCAGCAATAGAAACTGCAGTTAGAGCTTCAGTAGAACTGCCTTGCAAGGACCCAGGAAGCTGAAGGGGACCTTTGGGCTGCCTGAGCTGTCACTACAGGGTCTGGAGTAGATCAGCAAATCTGGCAGAGGATTTGGGGAGCAACTTGCTCAATGCACAAACAGTTAAATGTGATGAGTAAAGTTCACTTTATTTTATTCGTGGTAAAATGAAATTGAAAGAAGTGAGCCATAGAAAAGAAACTGGTGGTGAGGAGAGAAGACTGGTTGAAAGCATGAATGTGGATTCAAATCCAGGCACGGCCAGTTCTTAGCTGAATGAATAACTTTGGGTAAATCACTCAACCTCTTCAAGCCATCATTTCCTTTTCAGTAAATGGAGGTCTTCGCAGAGACCTTGCAGAGTGGCCATGAGATGATGTCTGAGGAACCCTTGGCATATTCTTGGCATATGGTAAGTGCTGGGTTGCTCATGTATCTATGATTAGAACAGATGAGTTGGGCAGGGTGAATGGTGCCCCCTAGAATTGTGAATGATGCCCCCTAGAACTGTGAAACAGAAGACGTTTCCATCCTTTTCCCTCTGGGCAAGAGTAACCTCTGAGGCCCGCAGGGAAGTTTCTGGAGGGTCCAACAATGATGGCCAGAGGGCTCCAGGAAGGTGGAAGGGGCAAGGGAGGGAAGACCCCCGACAGAGGGGTGGGTAGGTGGTGCAGGAGGAAGAGCTCTGCAATGGAGACATCCCATCGTGGTTGGGAGGAGCTTCCTTGAAAGGGAACAGATCCCTATGAGAGGTGACAATATTCCAGAAGGATGCAGGCTTGGTGAGGAGCTCTGCCTGGCTGACAGAGATCACTGGACTAGAAGTCTGGGGGCTGCAGGTGACTCCTGCTGGGTCCTCAGGAAAGCTGCCTTGCCTCTCTGAGCCTCTGATAATCCCCTAAAAATGGTACTAACCATGAGCCTCCTGGGGTAGTTGTGAGACTGCAGATGGGAAAAGGCTTTTAAACTGAAAGGAGGAAGGGAAAGGTAGAAGGGATGTTGCCGGAGAAGAGAGAGAAGGAGGGGGGATAGAGCCAGGGAGGCAGGGGTGTGGGGGGCTCCTTGGGGTGCAGGGACTGACCTCTCTGAGGTAGGCTTGCTGGGGGTGCTGCAGTCAGAATTCATGGAAGCCAGAGAGATGATGGACATCTGTCTGTATGAGCGCAGCATAGACCTGGGACGGCCCACTCTCCTGTCGTCAAAGTCAGGCTGTGGTGGGAGAACAGGGTGGTTAGCAGCTGTAGCCTGGGGAAGGTGGCCCCAGCCTTCCTGTCACCTTCTTCCTCCACCTAGGCAGGGCAGAGTTGTGGGGCTGAGTGGAGCATCAGCACAAAAGTTCCTGGCTGGCTGAGGCTAGGGCGTTCTTGTAGAATGAAGAATGTGGATGACCTTTACTCCTGGTTCCTGGAAGGTAATATCTAAAACTTTGGAATTTCCTATGTGATAGTAGTATCCTTGTTATTATTCATGGTGGCCCCCTTGACCATACTTGATTTTATGCTAATAAGATGGCTCCTGATGGCCAGAAAGACCAGCTCTATGATTATAGGGCTGGGCTGGGGCTTTAAGCCATGTGGTATCAGCTCAACCTCCAGGGAGTGGACAGGCCCAGAGACTGATTTCCATCACATGGCCAATGGTTCAATCTATCATGACTACATAATAAAACCCCAATAAAAACTCTGGACATTAGGCTCTAGTGAACTTCTCTGGCTGGTAATCATACATCAATGTGCCAGAAGGGGGATGCATCTGGAATACGTGGAAACTTCATGTTTGGGACCCTCCTGGACCTCACTCTGTGTCTCTTTACCTGGCTGGTCTTGATTTGTATCATAAACTGAAATCATAAGTATCATGCTTTCCTGAGTTCTGTGAATTATTCTAGTGAATTATGAAACCTGATGGGGTAGTGGGAATCTCCCAGTTTGTAACCAGTTAGGCAGAAGTGTGGGTGGCCTGGGTCCCTGAAGCTTATGGTTGGTGTTTGAAGTGGGAAGTGTCTAAGACTGTGCTTCTAACCTGTGAAATGTGACCTAACTCCAGGGAGTTAGCACCAGAATTGCATTACAGGGACTTCATGTAGGGAGTATTGAAAGTGACAAACTGCCTCATGGAAAAAAATCTTTGAATCAAGAGACCTGAGTGCATCTGTAGGTTCTTCCAGTAATTCACTTTTCTTCTCTGGGTCTCAGTTTTACCATCTGTAAAATGGGAAGGCTGGACCAGATGGTTTTAAAGGAATTGCATGGCCTTGACATTTTATAACACCAGTTAATAAGGAAAAGGATGAAGAAGCACCCCGTAAGCACCAGGCTCATGGCCTCTTTAGGCCAAGGAGCTCAGCGGTCAAAATCACTGGCCTTAAACTAACAGAGCCAGATGCAAATTCTGCCCCACATTCATTTGCCACATAGCCTCTGGCAAGTTGCCTGACCTTCTGAACCTCAGAAGAAATACAAAGGATTAAAAATCTTTCCTGCCTCTCAGGCTTGTGGTGAGGATTAAATGACCTAGTAGATGTCAAGTGCTTGAATCAGGCCTGGCACATAGTAGATGCTGCATCAGTGTAGCTTTCATTATTA
Organism: Homo sapiens; assembly: GCF_000001405.40. Classification (NCBI taxonomy): domain Eukaryota; kingdom Metazoa; phylum Chordata; class Mammalia; order Primates; family Hominidae; genus Homo; species Homo sapiens. The sequence goes on along the minus strand of NC_000005.10, from coordinate 170,076,333 downwards.
TTACACAGTCCCTTGAGTAGTTGGTATCTGCACAATCCAGTTGTAACTGGAGTTTGTCTGGGGGTTACTTTTGCTGGACCAAGTTTCCAGGAGGGTTCCCCTGGATGGGATCCAGCAATGCTGGCCATCATTATCTTCTCTTTGGAAGCAGCTTCCTTTGCTGGATCCCCTCCAACTTCAGCCTCCAGCATGCTTCCCTGCCCCACCCTGCACAATCCCACCCCTCCAAGCCATAGGAACCACCCATACCATCTCTCGGACACCGTACTCCTTCTCCACCTTCATTTTCAGGTTCTTGAAACATTCCTCCATCCGGTCATGGAAGGGTCGCAAGTTATCTGACACCCTTTTCTCATGGATCTTAATCCCAGCTCCCAAGAAGGGGATCTGGAGAGAAAGTGGTAAAGAATGAGCCAGAGGCTGACCGGTGGGCCTCAGCCTGGCACCCCGCCCATCAAGGCAGCTGCAGTCAAGTCTGCCTGCTAAGAATTCATCAAGGGCTTCAGGGTCCTCAGAAACCTGCACACACGGTCCCCAGCCATGGGAAATGGGGAAAGTTGCAAACATGAGGTTTGCTCTGGAAAGGAGAGAAAGACCCCCAGCTTCCCTTGCCTCATAGGAGGGCTGGACTCCCCTCTTCCCCATGAAAGGCCACATGGTTGGGAAAATTGCCCCCTTAAAGAATCTACTTGGGGGCAGAGTGTGGGGATCAGAGGAGGGGAATCTCTGTTGCATTGATTTAAAACCTTGCCTAAGATGTTCTTGGCAATACTAAAGTGAAAGGATGAATGTCAGAAGCTGAGAGATAGAGGAAGGCAAGAGCTGAGAGAAAACAGAGGAGGGGGCATAGCCTCATCTTACCACATGGAGCCAATTGCACTTCATACAGCTGCTGAAGAAGGATATGAATGTGCTAATATCATAAAGTTAACCCCCCAGTAGGGAGCTCTGAAAAATGATAATAAAAGCCTTAGGAAGATGAGGGAAGAAGAGAGGATTGATGTGAGGGAGTTGAAGTCTTATTTGTCCCCATAGGAGGTCAGTGGATACTGTCTAAGTGTCAGCTACCTTAAGGGAGAGTAGCAGAGCCATGGTGGGCACTGTCAGAAAGAGAACTGAGAACTTTAGTTGTGTGGTCTCAGGGAAACATAACCAGGGGAGCAAAGGGGTAGATTATGAATTACTTGGGGGAAAAATTGCTTTCATGATGGTGACATAAAGATATTTCTGCTTACTTCTATTGGAGGTCTCCCAGAAATGACAAGGTGAAGGAGAAACTGAAATCTTCAGTGAAACTTGGAGACATTCATAAACCTGCCACACAATATGTGTGCCAGGAGGTGGGAGGACATAACTGACCTTCCAGAGCTTCCAGAGCAGAGGAGGGAGGTGGTGATAAGAAGCCAATCTGCCTACATGAAGCCAGGAGGGCCTCAGAGATTGGAGGCACCAGGTACTACAGAGAAGGCGGGTGAGCTGAGGGGCCAAACACAGAGGAATGTGTTGAAGTTCTGTATCAGGAGCAGTTAGATTGCCTGACTGCCTCACCCTGCAGCCAAGTGTTCTTTTTTCCCATTTTCCCAAGAAGGAGGAGTTTATCCTCTAGAACAATTAGAACAAGGAGCTCTGGGCTTAGGGGCATCAGGCACAACAGAAGGCAGAAGCAGAAGCCAGACTGCAAATAAGAAGTTGAAGAGAAAGTCTGCATTTGGGTCCTGAGAGCTCCACTTCCCAATTCCCAAATGGCCAGCAGAGTAGCAGCTGGGATTATCTTTCTATATAACAGCTTGAAGGGTCTGACTCTGGAGAATGTGAATGGTCCCATGTAGAGAGAGACGTCTGTGGGTCATTCCGTTGCCACACAGCAATGCTACCCAGTTGCCAAGGCCCTCTCTCTTGTACTCAGATTTTCTTTTTCTTTAGCCTTGCTCTTAACTATGAAGAGAATGCCAAGTATCACCAGACACTGGAGGAAAGTCTCCAATAGGAAAGACAGAGACCAGACCAACAGATAGGGAAGAAAGCAAATAAGGAAGAAAAGAAGGAAAGAATAAAGGAAGAAAAAACAGAATGAATTTGGAAGAAATAGAATAAAGAGAGCCTAAGAAAACATGTTTTTCTAAAAAATTTAACTAATATATAGGAACAGAAAAGATCCTTCATTCATGAAAAAGACAAAGATTTTATATAAAAAAGGAAGCTAATGGAAAAACTACATATAAATAGTAGTGAGATAAGGTTGTAAACGGAGATACATTTATGGCTTTAGTTTTACATATTAGAAAACACAGAAAATAAATTAGCTAAGCATCCATCTCAAGATATTAGTAAAAGAACAGCGAACTAAATTCAAAGGGAGAAAAGGAATGAAAATAATAAAGGTGAGAGTGGACACGAATAAAAATAGAAAACAAATTTACAACAGAGAGGATCAACAGAGCCAAAATTTGTTTCTTTGAAAAGATACAACATTAACAAACTCCTAAGAAGACTAATCAAGAAAATACAAGGTACTAATAACCAATATTAGGATTGAAAAACATAATTACAAGAAGTACAAACATAAAAGATCATAAGATGAGTGTATTACAAAAAGTTAACAAACAGAAAATAAAATTTAAAAACAATACCATTTACAATAGAATTTAAAATATCAAATACCAAAGAGCAGATCTAATAAGATATATGAAAGAAAATAAAATATGTGAAAACCACAAAATTTTGCTGAGAGAAATTAAAGAACTATATAAATGGAGAGCTAGTCCATGTTCATGGATGAGAAGATAGCCATTCTCTCCAATTTAATCTAATAGTTAATGTACAATTAATCCAAATCTCAATGTGTTTGGGAGGAGTGTGTAAACATTGGCAAGGTTATTTTAAAATTTATAGAGAAATACAAAGGACTTAGAAGAGGCAAGACACACTTGATGAAAAGCAACAATTGGGGTACACTGACTATTAGATTTCAAGACCTAAGATGGTGTGGTATTGGTATAAGCATGGACATAGACCGATGGATCAGAATAGAAAGTCCAGAATAGAAAAACACATATATGGTCAATTTGGGGGGTCAAAAGTGGGGGAAAATAGTCTTTTCAACACATGGTGCTAAAGAAATTGGAAATCTGTGTAAGAAAATAATCTGCCTCTTACTTTACATCAGTCAAAAAGGATCATACACCTAAATGTATAAGACAAAACAATAAAAACTCAGAATAAAACATAGGAGAATATCTTCATGATCTTGGGGTAGTTGCGGTTTCTTAAAGTGGACACAAAAGCACTAATCATTTAAAAATATGATAAATTAAACCTGACCAAAATTACAACTGCTGTTCATCAAAATACATCATTAAGAAAGCAAACAGACAAGCCAGACTAAGAGAAGATATTTGCAATACATATATTTGACAGAAGATGCATATCTAGAATATATAAACTCCTATAAATCAATAATAAAGAGACAACTAAATTAACAACATAAGTAAAAGATTTGAAAAAGTATTTCACAAAAGGGTAATCCAATTAGCAGTAAGCATATGAAAAGGTGCTGAACATCATTGCTCATGAAGGAAATGCAAATTAAAACTAAACTGAGATATCATTACACATCCACCAGAAGGACTAGAATTAAAAAAGACTCCCAGTATCAAGTGTCAGGGAGAATGTGGATCAACTGACTTAGAAGTTGTGTGGGAGTGAAAATTGATTTAGCCACTTTGAAAAACTGCTTCTTGTGTCCAGTAAGGTTAAATGTGCATGGCCCAGCAATTCCACTACTGCATGTATACTGAGGGAACTGGGTGCTTAGGTCCACCAAAAGGCACAAACACGAATGTTCATAGCAACTTTACTCATAATATACAACACCTGAAAACATCCAAATGTCCAACAGAACGGATAAATAAATTGATATATTATTGGTAATTTAGATACACATACAATAGATGACACTTAGAAACAACAAAAAAGTCAAACCTCTAGTATGTGTAACAACCCAGAGGAATCTCAAAGGCATTATATTGAGCCAAAGAAGCTACAGATACAGTAGTACATACTGTACTGTATAATACAATTTATAAGAGGTTCAAGAACAGGCAAAATAACCTAACCTATGGTGATAGAAGATTGGCAGTACCTATGAAAGCTGAATATCCTCACATGCTATGACCAAGCAAATCAATGCATAGGTATATACCCAACAAAAATTTTGCATATGTGTACCAAAAAAACACACAAGGAAGTTCAGAATAGCATTACTTATAATAGCCCCAAGCTGAAATAAACCCAATTCTCTATTAGTATAAAAATAAATAAATGCATTTTGGTATAGTTACATAAGCCAGCTGTACGGACTACTATATAGCAATGAAAATGAATGTGAATCATAGTTATGACTCATAAACAAAATGAATGACTTTCACAAACATAACATTGGGCAAAATAAGTTAGATACGAAAGACTGTATATTATGTGATTCTGTTTATATGTAGGTCAAAATTAAGCAAATCTAAACTATAGTGTTTAAGAATGAGTGTTTGGGTGGTAAAGTATTTTTTTTAAAGCAAGGAAATGATTACTATAAAAACAGAACAGTGCTCACTCTTAGGGAAGGAGGCCTAAGATAGGATTAGGGGAGCTAGCAGAATTCTATTTCATCTGGGTGGTGGTCAAACGGATGTATGTTTTTGATAAATCAGTGGGTTATATATTTTTATGTGTACTTTTCTGTACATAATATTTCACAACAAAAGCTTTAAAAGAAGAGCATACTATAGACATCTTTTTATGCCAAAAAATAGAAAGTCTTCAGAAAGAAAATAAATTAACAAGCTATCGATCTTGAAATCTGCAAAAACGTTGAACACCAAATGTACTTTGAAGGCTTCAGCATTTGTTCGGTTGCTAGAGGTACAAATACATTCACTCCCCTTGAAATCTAACCTTCTCGTGTTTTAAGTAAATTCAAAGTGTATTTGGCTTTGCAAAACCAAAATCCAACATAGAATTAAGCTCCAAGTGAGCAGGGAGCAGGCCCAATTTTGTCCATCACTATTACTGTTGCCTAGGACACAACAGAGGCTCAATAAATATAAGTTGCAAGAACAAACGGAATGAAACAGGTAGGGAAGAGCTAATCTGCTGCATGTGATAATGTTAAAAGGCTGCCTTCACTATGAGCAGGACTGCATCTTTTGCATGCGGGTGCCCATAGTTAGGGTGCCTGGGCGCTGGGTGGGAGGGATATGGCTGAGGTCAACCTCGTTTGGGGGTTAGGTGGGCCTCTGTATAGGTGGTCTCAGGAGCAGCGGGTGGTGCTAAGGAGAAGGCGGCCACTAGGGGGCGGTGTCTGAAGGCGCCTAGCTAACGGTTCTCAGAAGCCGCCACATCTAATAGAGTACATGCTTTCAAAGCCTTCCGGCTTTGTTGGTAATGTCCCTCTAGTAAGCTCCAAGACAGTAGTAGAATTTTCTTGGAAGGTACAGCTTGGTATTCGCTGTGCTGTGAAGCTGCAGTTCATTCTTTGGGTACAGTAAACACAGCATGGAGAAGCTGTTTCCAGAGGAGAAGAGGTCCCCAGTGGAGAGGACCAGGGCAATTGTATAGATTCAGAGTGACATCCAACAACTAAGCAAATCTGTATGACATGTTAGCCTTCCCTGAGGCCTCCCAGCAATATCTGAGGATGGGAACGAGTCAAAGCCTGGCCTTCCTGCTTCCCAAACTGGGGATGCTAAGGGAGAACATCATTATTTGAATAATAAAGGGCATGACGACCCCAGAAGGCTGGGGACCTGGGGGATATTTGGGCTTCACAGGTGGCACAAGGTAAAAAGAAAGAGAAAATTCCAGACAGACACACAACATGCATTCGGGAAAAGCGCGTCTGTGCAGTGCTTGGTGTTTCATTTTTAAAGCCCCACTTTGCATAAATTGGCAGAGGCAGAGAAGGACCTGAATTAGGAATTCTTATTTTAAGAAAAGAGGCTGCACCCAATGCTTCTCATTCCCTGATTTCCCTAGAGTAACAAAAACTCCCAACCACAAAAGCTTGCTTTTCTTTGCACAGTGACTGGCAAGAAGAAAGCGAGGGAGGGCAGGCAGCTGCAAGCTGCTACCACCTGCCCCTGCATCCACTGCTCACCTCCCGCCAGCTCCTGCCCTCCGGAGCCCACCCCTGTGTTCTGATGGGTGGTTTGCTGAGAGCCCAGAGTGGGCGAATGTCTGAGGAGGGGGCTGCTCTGGGCCTGGAGGGAAGCCTAGCCCTGTGTAAGCCTCTATGAGAGGGATCTAGCCGACTGTTGCTTCTGCAGGGAGATGGAGAATGAGACAGAAGAGGAAGAGAAGCCAAGAGAGGAGTAAGATGTGTGGGGGTGGGGGGCAAAAGACAGAGAGGCAAGGAATAGAAGTGCAGGCTTCTAAGAGAGAGAGGGAAAGACAGACAGATGCACAGAGAGAAAGAGAGAAAGGAGGAAAGACAGAGTCCACAGGAAGAAGAGGGATGCAAAGAGAGAATGGAAGGAGAGGCAGGTAAGTGGCCAGCCCGAAACAGCAGGGTGGTAACTTCTAAGCCCGTGGGCTGAGCAGCGGCTTGTGTGGGATGTAGACCCTTTGACTCACAACCACCCACACAAAGGCCTCAATTATTTTCAAAACCTGATATCCATCTGAGCATTATTGCAACAAAGTGGGTCAGCTCTAAAAGGAGGAGAAGTGGGAGTAGGGGCTCAAGTCTTCTATTATCAGATTGGCCTGTGCTGGGTGTCGGGGGAAGGTGCTGGTTTGGAGTGTGGGGGCCTGGTGTTTATTTGCATCCCGCTGTGAAAAGCCATCCCCTGAATTCAACATCAAATAAGATAATCTTGGCACCATCCAGCATAGCATTGCTGCCTGGCACCATGCAACACCCAAGAGTGCGATGCCCCAAATCTCTGTTCCAGGATGAACCTGCTCAGGTGTGATACAGAGTTGGAAGAGGGGCTGAAAAGCAAGGGACAGGAGGGCATGTGAATTCAGGCTGCCTCAGCTAGAGCCTAGCGTGGGGCAAGTGAACCACGGTGGGGGGAGAGGAAGGAGAGCAGCATGCTCCCCTGGCCAGCGCTGCCTCACCTGCCATGCAATCAGGTCCTTGAGGTGGGTCAGCTTGTCCTGGTCCTCAGGGTGGTCCCTGACATACTCTTCAGTGAAGAAGGCCTGGGGAGGACAGATAGGAGGTCAGGGTTTCCTGTTCATGTGGCATTTCACAGCCAATCTCTTTGGCACTGGGAGAAGATTCAATTTGAAAGGGGCAAGGATGAGGTCACAGGCATGTGGATGGAACAAGAGTAACAGGTCTGGAGAGACTGACATTGTTTTATCTGCTTTGAGGCTCAGATCAGCACCCAGTGGGAATGGGCTGCAAACTCTGGGGAAGCTGTTCTCAAAGTCAGGTTCCTGAGCCAGTAGCAGCAACAGTACTTTGGAACTTGTTAGAGATGCAAAGTCTCTAGCCCCAGCCCAGACAGCCTGAATCAGAAACTCTGGGGGTGGGGTGAGGACCCGTGTGTCAGGAAGCACTGTAGGGGATTCTGATGCTCCTTTCAAGTTTGAGAACATTGCTCTGTGGAAAATAATTCAGTAAGGAATCTCACTGGTGGGTGTTCCAGCTCACCTCATGGCCTCCCTCATTGCAAGTGACCCTGGCAGCCCCTTTCTGGGGCTCATGTCCTTAGTGTGTGCTCATGTATAAACAGACATATCCCATCACTGCTCAAGGCTGAGCAAAGGGTTACCAATGATGACTGCATGGGTATCTGAGGGTAGTTGGAAGGATTGATTAGGTGACTGGAATTATTGTCCCCAAATTATACTACTGTGTGGTATTCTTAGTTTTACATCAATGGATAACATAGGAAAGATAATAGGGAATTCATCAAAAGATTTGTTAGAATGAGGAGTTCATTTTTCCTTCAGTGTCTGCTAGGTGAAAACCAAGTAAGAACTTTCTACTCTATTTCAATGCCAAGAACAGCTACGTATCCTTACTGAGAAATGGGTATTTTTCCTTCCAGTGGATAATGTAACTCATATAAGTGATGCTATTTCCTTTTTTGCCGTGAACACCAGGAAGCTCAAAAATAAATCTGTGGCTCAAACATGTGGGGCTTTCTGGAGGGACCTTATGACCTTGATATCTAGATTATAGCTCCCCTTTTGGAGTTGATCTCTTAGTTTTTATGGCTTTTCACAGATTCTGAGTTTCATTTCTTTCCATTAGTATACATCATTTCACATCCTCTGTGGAAGAGGTGGGTTTATACAACTGGCACGTACTTTTATGGTCTGGCTCACACTCATCCCAGAGCCTTTCCTTAATAGAGCCACCTGAATCTGCCCAGTGAGATAAGGGGACCTTATGACCCCTGCCCCTTCCTGCCCCTCCCTGCCCCAGCACAGGGTATGGAAAAGAGGCTGGGAGGAAGACAGGAGCTCAGCTAAGACATGAGGCTATAGAAACATGAGGGCCAACCAAGCTGAGGGTCCCTCTGGGGACAAGGACAGTCAAAGTAGGATAAGTGACATGTACCTGCATCTGCCCCCTGGGTCCTCCCACCACTGCTCTGCTCACCGAGCTCCCCTAGACTTGGAGAACAGAAATCCTCACCTTCTCATACTTGGCGAAGCCTCCCATGACAGCAGGGTCCACAATCCCGTTCAGGAGCATGGAGAGTGGGTTGATGGGGAGGGTCTCATCACTCTGGTACTGGTTTATCATCATCAGGATCTTCTCATTGGCCGTGGACATGGTTTCTATGGCATTCTCCAGAGGACTAATTGTGGTCTGTTGAAAATGAGATCACCAAGAAGAAAGGGCCTTAGTTAAGTCACTTTAAAAACAGATATTATTGGTATTGATTTCACTTGGGGTGGGAATTCAAATGAGGCAATGCTCCCTAAGGGGCTGTAACAGGATCTTGTAATTACTGAGCTCTGGGGGCTGTCTGCTCTCTGGGGAGAGACAGGCTGGCTTTCTGCTTAGTGAGAAAGGGATTTCTTTGGGGAGGCAGAAGCAGGAAGTGTCAGGTACCTGCTGAGTGTGCCCCAGAGAAGGTTTTCTCTTCTTATTATCTGGGTGAAACACATGCCAATTCAACCCTTTCAGTATTGGTTGGGCAGATACTATGTGTGAGTTATTGGCCAGAGAGATTAGAGCAGCTTGCGATGTGGGCACCCAGCCTGGCACATAGTAGGTCCTAAGACTGGTTGTTAGAGGGGTTCACTGTTCCAAGGTAGATTCACTTTAGTTGGGAAAATTAAACAGAACACCTGTCCAACACCTCTTAGAAGGCGATATAAACAGAGTGCCATCAAAAGCTAACCGGCAAAAAGTGCAGTTTGCAAGAGCATGAGATCTGGAGTAGAAACCTAAAGTAGAGGTCGGCAAACATTTTCTGTAAAAGGGCCAGATAGTAAATATTTTAGGATTTGCAGGCCAGATGGTGTCTGCTGCAACTACTCAACTCTGTTATTGTAGGGCAAAAGCACCTACAGGCAGTATGTAAATGAATGAGAATGGCTGTTCCAATAAAACTGCAGAAATAGGTGACGGGTAGAATTTAGTCCATGGGCCACAGTTTGCTGACCCATGAACTAAACAGAAACAAACTAAATAAAAATCTTAAATTTGTTAAGACTTGTTTTGTGGTCTAACACACGATCTATACTGAAGAGTGTTCCATGTGCACTTCAGAAAAATGTGTCTGCTGTTGCTGTGGGGTGGATTGTTCTGTATATGTCTGTTAGGTCCATTACGATCTAAAATGTAGGTTAAGTTCAATGTTTTCTTATTGTTTTTCTGGCTAAATGATCAGTCCAATGTTGAAAAGTTAGGTATTGAAATACCCTACTAACATTATGTCTCCCTCTAGATCTCCTAATGTCTACTTTATATATTTAGGTGCTCCAACATTGGGTGTATATGTGTTTACAATTTTTATATCCTCTTGATGAACTGACCCCTTTGTCACTATATAATGACCTTGTCTTTTGTTTTGTTTTTTTTTACAGTTTTTCATTTAAAGTCTACTTTGTCTGAAATAAATATAGCTGCCCCTACTCTCTTTTTAAAAGTTTTCATTTGCGGGAGGCCGAGGTGGGCAGATCACGAGGTCAGGAGATCGAGACCATCCTGACTAACATGGTGAAACCCCGTCTCTACTAAAAATACAAAAATTAGCCAGGCGTTGTGGCGGGCGCCTGTAGTCCCAGTTACTCGGGAGGCTGAGACAGGAGAATGGCATGAGCCCAGGAGGCGGAGCTTGCAGTGAGCTGAGTTCGCGCCACTACACTCCAGCCTCGGCGACAGAGCGAGACTCTGTCTCAAAAAAAAAAAAAAAACAGTTTTCATTTGCATGGAATATATTTTTCCATCCCTTCACTTTCAGTCTATGAGTGTCTTTAAAGGTGAGGTAAGTCTCTTGTAGGCAACATATCTGATACAGTTTGGCTCTGTATCCCCACCCAAATCTCATCTTGTAGCTCCCATAATTCTCACATGTTGTAGGAGGGACTTAGTGGGAGATGACTGAATCATGGGGGCAGGTCTTTCCCATGCTGTTCTTGTGATAGTGAATGGGTCTCACAAGATCCCTTTTTTAAAGGGAATTTCCCTGCACAAGCTCTCTCTTTGCCTGCTGCCATCCACGTAAGATGGGACTTGCTCCTCCCTGCCTTCCTCCATGGTTGTGAGGCCTCCCTAGCCATGTAGAACTGTAAGTCCAATAAACGTCTTTCTTTTGTAAGTTGCCTAGTCTCAGGTATGTCTCTATCAGTAATGTGAAAACGGACTAATATACAATATCATTAGGTTTTTTTGTTGTTGTTGTTCAGTCACTCTATTCCTTTTGATTGTTGAATTTAATCCATTTACATTCAAAGTCATTACTGATAGGTAAGGACTTACTAATGCCATTCTGTTCATTGTTTTCTGGTTATTTTATAGATCCTTTGTTCTTTTTTTCCTTTATTACTTTCTTCCTTTGTGATTTGATGGCTTTCTGTAGTGATATGCTGTGGGTCTTTTCTTCTAACTTTTGTACATCTATTATAGGCTTTTGCTTTGTGGTTACCCTGAGGCTTACATAAAACATACATATAACTGGCTATTTAAAGCTGAAAACAACTTAACTTTGATCACATACACAAACTTCAATTTTACTCCCTCTCCTCCCATGTTTTAAGTTTCAGATGTCACAATTTACATGAAAAATAATTTCTATCTTTAACAAACTATTAGAGCTTTAGGTGTCTTTTTATATTTTTTTTGCCTTTAAATCTTTATACTAGATAATTGATTTGCCCACCATCATTAAAGTATTAGCATGTTTTGGATTTGACAATGTACTTATTTTTTAACACTAAGTTTTATATTTTCATATTTTCACGTTACTAACTAGCATCCTCTTCCTTCAGCTTGAAGAACTACCTTTAGTATTTCTTATAAGGCAGGTCTAATGGTGCTTAACTCAGCTTTTGTTTGTTTGAGAAATACTTTTGGTTCTCTTTGGATTTATCTGATTTGTTGTCCTTTGGGCTTTCTGGATCTAGATTTCTAGTTTCTTTTCTAGATTTGGGAAGTTTTCTGTCATTTCTTTGGATATGTTCTCTGTTCCTTTCTCCCTCTCTCTTCTTATTTTGGTACCTCAATAATGTGTATGTTGTTACACTTGATGGTGCCCCATAATTCTCTTATACCAGTCTCATTCTTTTTCATTCTTTTCTTTTTGCTCCTCAGGTTATATGATTTCCAGTGATTTGTCTTCGAGTTTGCTCATCCTTTCTTCTGCTTGATCTAGTCAGCTATTGAACCCTTCTATGGCATTTTTCAGTTCAGTTATAATATTCCTAAGCTCTATGATTTCTGTTTGGTACACTTTATGCTTTCTCTTTGTTAGAATTCTCGGTTTGTTCTTGCATTGCTCTCCTGTCCTTGGTGAGCATCTTCATGAGCATTATTTGGATTCCCTGCTGAGTAAATCACATGTCTTGACTCCACACATTTCGGTTTCTGGAGATTTATCTTGCTCCTTTACTTGGAATATATTACCCTGTTTCTTCATTTTCCTTCAGTGTCTGTGTTGGTTTCTCTGCATTAGATAAGACAGCTCTCTCTCCCAGTCTTGTCAGACTGGCCTTGTGTAGAAGAAGGATCTGACCAAGCCATCCAGTGTGAAATGTTAGGGTTCCTCTCAAATCTCTCTGTTTGTCCAGACTGCTGTCTCTGTTTTTTGTAGACCCCTATAGTTTAGGATGTGCCACTTCCTGTCAGTACCCAGTGACAGATAAGGCAGGGGCTAGACTCTCTAGATGTAGCTGGAAAGGTGGGGGTATTAAATGTGTGTTCCAGTTTTTTCCATCTTCATGGTGAAGCTGAGCATGGGCGATTACCTCTCACTCTCTCTGCCCTAAGCTGGGGAGAGAATCTGTGGCAAGTGCCTAGACTCAGGTTCAGGCCGCACCCTCTGCTTCTGGGGATATAGTTGTTGAAATTGGACCCATTGTATATCCACCTCTTTTTGCTGTGGTCTAGGGCCACTCAGGAAGACAAAGTCCCATTGACTCCCAGAGCTATATCCTTAAGAGGACAGTCCCTTGGGTGGGAGCTCTAGTGTGGCACTTGGTATGTGGCCAAACTCCTTGCAGGAAGAATGGATAGACCTGGATTTATCACTAGGTTGAGACAGAGGAAAGGCTAGTGAAGTGCCAACCTCTGGCTCTGGCTGCTGGAGAGCTATTGTTTGTTTGCCCTATTAGCTTCCTGATGCAAGTTTGTTAGCTGCCAGGCCATCAAGTAGCCACTGGAAGTGTGTGCCCCTTCCAGAAAGAAAATGGGAGCTGTTAATTTCTGCCCACTTTCTGCACTGCTCCAAGGGGATGTAACCCCTGGAAGTGTTTGTGCACCCATTTAAAACCATCTCTCTGTTCTGTGATCTGGGGAGAATTGCATATGCCTGCTCCCTTCTGTTCCCAGAGCTAAGAGGTTTAGATGGAGTCCTTTTAGAAATAGATCTAAAAGTTGGGACATTCAATGCATAGCATAAACCTCATCTAGGGAGGAATAGGGGGTTGCAATTTTTTAAGCCCTTTCTCTGCACCAACTCTCAGGGAATGAAGCCCTGGAAGTGCTTTCATGCCTGTATAAAACTGCTGCTTTTTTTTCCTGTGGTCTTTGGCGACATGCATATGCCAGTCCCCTCTGCTCCCAGAGCTAAGGTGTTTAGAATATAGCCCTTGGGTGGAAGCTGTAAAAGTTGGGAAACTCAATGTGTGCACAGACTCCTTCCAGGAGAGATTAATAAACCTGTAGTTATTGCTAGGGTGAGCCAGGAGGCAAGGTTTGAGAAGTGACAGCCTGCTTCTCAGGCTGCCAGTGGGTTAATATTTGTTTGCCCCTTAACTCCTCAGTGGAAGTTATGTAGAAGCCAGGCTGCCAAGTAGCCACTGGAAGAGTGTGCCATAAATGCCTTCTGGGGAGAAGCAGGGGATTCCATTTTTAAAAGACCCTTTACTACACTCCTCTCAGGGGATAGGATGCCTGAAAGTTCATGTGCACCCATATAAAACCACTGATTTTTTCCTGTGGTCTAAAGAGACTTGCATATGTCTAACTCTGCGCAGTCTCAGAGTTGATAAGTTAAGAGCCAACCCATGAAGAACCTCAGAATTAGAATGGTATATGTGAGGTCCAAGCCCTCCTGGGGAACCTTAGAATTAGGGTAGTATATGTGAGGTCCAAGCCCTCCTCTCCACAGGGAGAGAAGATGAGTACTGGGAATTTCTTTCCTGATTTTATAGCACAGTGTCAGAGCAGGGTGCATGCCTGAGTGTGCCTCAGCTTTTCATATCGGTTCAATGTGGATGTTTACTCAGTGCCTGGTAGGTAGAAGTCCCTCACTTCATCTCTGAGTTTCTCTCAGAGGGAATTGATCCATGAGTAGATATTTATCTGGTGCATTTGGGGGTGGAGGGAGACCCAGGAGCTTCCTAGTCTGCTATGTTGCTAATTGTCTTCTTGGTCATCTTTTAAAACCATTTCTGTGAAATTATAGCCTCCTTACTCCCTTACCCTGAGTCTGGATGTTTCTGAAGATGACTGATCTCTACAGTGAGAAGGCCCTGGGAATTGACTGACTCACTCTCTCTGTCTCTCTCTCTCTCTCTCTCACACACACACACACACACACACACACACTCATATACATACACACATAGATACACATATACATGCATCCACACATGCACACCCTGGGCACACCCACACACCCTACAACTGCACATGCATGCACACACATAATGTTAACTGAAGGAGAACAATGTCCAGCTTGGCTGCAGCCATAGTCCTCCAAGGTGAAACCCACGGTCTAGTATCTGTCAAGTACACAGACCAACTCTGGGGGGGCTCTGAGGGGCCAAGGTGTAGACTGAGTTGTACTGAAAATCTATCACCACCGCTCAGATTGAGCCCAGCAACACACCTGCATTTGAACAATAGACTGCCATATCTGAAAGACTCAGGCTTTAAGACAAGTCATTAAAAATGGAAAGAGCAGTTGATTGGCTTTCCTCCTTGCTTTTGAAACTATTTTTAGATTCCCAAAGTGTTAGCCTCATTATAGCCATTAGGAACAGAGAAAGAGAATGAAAATAATTTTGGCTTCTCGCCTACGGGCATTTGTATAAACCAAATATGTAACTTTCAGGTCATTACAGGGGTTGTATAGTTGGTGAAAGGCCTAGATTTCAGAAGTTAAACCCACGGTTTAGCTAATAACAGGAATAAAAGTAATGATCATGATAATGAAGATGACCTCACTTATCAATTGCCTCCTATGTGCCAGCCCATGCTGGCCACATTACACCCATGCTCATTTCATTCCCCCAGCAATATGTTAAGTCACTTATCCCTGAGCCACGGGGCAGAGCTGGAAAGACAACTCGGGTATTTGTGATTCCAAAGGCAGGCTTCTTCTACTACACGTAAATCAAGCTTTGATACCACACTTGCTATCAACGGGCTGTTGGGACTTAATCTAGCCCTCAAATCTCTGGTCTTTTCCCTAAGCTGAGCCTCAGTTTCTTTATCGACATAGTAACTCTTGCCAGGCTTGCTGTGAAGAGAAAATGAATTATCAGGGGAGGGTGCTTTGGAAAAAAATGTAAAAGTGTGTGTGGATGGGTGAGGGAACATAAGATGAAAGAGAAAGTGATCTCAATCCCTGGCAATTAGGTGGCATTTCATATTTTTCTTTTTTTAATTTTTTTTTAGATGGAGTCTTGCTCTGTTGCCCGGGCTGGAGTGCAATGGCATGATATCGGCTCACTGCAACCTCCGCCTCCCGGGTTCAAGTGATTCTCCTGCCTCAGCCTTCTGAGTAGCTGGGATTACAGGTGCATGCCACCATGCCCAGCTAATTTTTGTATTTTTAGTAGAGACGGGGTTTCACCATGTTGGTCAGGCTGGTCTTGAACTCCTAACCTTGTGATCCGCCCACCCCAGCCTCCCAAAGTGTTGGGATTACAGGCATGAGCCACCACGCCCACCCCAGCATTTCATATTTTTCAAAGCCATTTTACCAATATTGCCTTCTTAAGTCTACCCAGGAATCCTATGAGCTGCACAGGACAGGTGCTCTCTCATGACCTCTGAGTTCTGCCACAAATTGCTTTGGCAGTTCAAGTCCCATTGCTAGGCCTCAGTTTTCTCATATACAAAATAATGCAGGTAGACAAGAACCAGGAAGAATCAGGACAAAAAACTTGGAGAACTGCAAGCCAAACCAGGCTGGCGGAGGTCTGTCACTTAGCTAGCACATTGATTCTAGCCTTTAAAAATGTAATTCAACAGAGATGGAGGAGGGGGCTGTTGCTACTGCACTTTGCCACAGCCCTTACTAGGCTATGAAGGTATTCCAGTTTATAGCTTTAGGACTAAAAGACACCTAAGGTCCCTTTAAGCTCCCTAAAGTTCCATCATTTTGCAATTCCTATTTACAGATGATTAAAACTAAGACCCAGAGATATACAGTCCTTATCTAACATACATAGCTCATTAGTGACCACGTTGAATTTGGATCTCTGACCCCTAGATCAGGGCTCCTTGTAAAGTCTCCATTTCTCAGGGCCAAGAACAAGAACAAAATAAAACCCCAATAGGCAGAACTTATACTTGAAGCTCATCAGAAAATGCCTGTCTATATAAACATTACTGTAGTCATGATAATTTATGGAGGAAATAACCAAGAACAAGATACAAATTCATATAACACAAAAACAATCTTTGGAAATGAAGTCACTTAGAAGAGCATTCAACTTTTGCATCTGAGACACCCTGAAATTCCTGGTAACTCATCTGAGAGAGGCCATTAAAGATAAATTCACTCTGGCCAACTTTTTGAAGGTTTCCCCAATGCCATCTATGAGAAGCCATCGGGATGAAAGAAACAAGCCAAAAATCTTGACTATTTCTTTCCCAACTTCAAAACGCTGAGTTTATAAAATAAGGTAACCGGTTTAGACATTACGGGTGTCTGCATATTGATTGACTGATTAATTTATGTAAGTATTCTTTAGTTAGCATCAGTTGTGGGCCAGGGACTATTCTTAGCACTTGGAGGTATGGCAGAAAATAAAATAGACAAAATATCTGTCTTCTTGGAATTTATATTCTAGTGGAGCTTATGGTCTACTGTTATATTTAATATTCTCTTAATATTAAAAATAAACAAGAAAATTATGTAGGCTATTAGGAGATAAGTGCTTTGGGCTGACACACAGTAGCTGAGGGAATGGGAAGTACAGGGATGGGCTCTCTCAGTTTGCTACAGTTTGGCAGGAATGACTACAGAAGAGGCGCCTTGCTGAGCACCACCAGGTGACAGGGCTCAGTCAGGGCTAATGGGCAGAGGCTACAGATTGACAGAAAGTTTCTGATTCCTTACCTCCTAAATAGGGCTCATAATAGTATGTACCTCACTGGGGTCTATGAGAATTAAATGAGATATAGCTATAAACCTTTGACACAGCACCTGGGGCACTTGTTGAAACTTATGTGCCATGAAGCAAGGGCACAGACACTTCCTTCCTTTTGGGGGTACTACTTGCTGGGGTGGGCTGGGGTGGGCTCTTCTTTTTCTTAAGGAAAAAAAGATAAAGAGTCCAAGCCAGGTGCCTGACAGGGGAGGTTAAAGTCATACCCTATCTCTTTTACTAACCTTGAACAATGCACTAATTAACTCTGCATCTCAGTTCCCACATCTGTAAAATGGGAAGAATAATAATATCTACCTCACAGGGTTGCTGAGGGGTTGAAATGAGATCATGCATATGAACAGTTGAGCCCATACTCAAAACAATGTTTTTTGCTATCACCATCATTGTTATACTTTTCCAAGGTCTAGGTCATGCCTATAAAAAGGAGGCTGAAGGGCTACTGAGCTGCTGGGTTCGCTGAAAAGAGAGGGGCATTAAGGGTAGAAGTGAAACGGTCTCAATGCTATCGTCTGATACAATAGCTTGAAAACGCAAGTCAGACCACGTCCCTCCTCTGCTCATGGCTCTGTGTCACTCAGTGGGAAAGTCAAAGTCCTTATGGTGGTCTACAAGGTCCTACATGATCTGGTATCAGATGACTGTTACTCACCCTCACTTGTTCTGATCTGGACACAAGCATACTCTGGGCCCAGGGCTTTTCACTTGCTGTCTCCTCTGCTGGAATGTCTCTCTCTTCAATGTCAGCATGGACCCCTTCCTCATTTCCTCCAGGCCTCTCCTCAACAGCCAGTATAGAGGGAAGCATTCTCTGACTACCCTACTTAAAATAGCAATCCCTCATATATCACCTTTCTGCTTTAATTTTTTCCATCACAGTTATCACCTGTCATATATTTACTTTGACTTTTTAGTCCGTCTTTCCCACTAGAATGGAAGCTCCATTGCAGAATCTCTAGGTCTTACAACAGTGCCTAACATGTTAGGTACACATTAAGTATTTTCTGAATGAATGAATAAATAAATAAATAAGACATCCTAAATATGTCCATTTACAAGGTTTCCTCACAACCACACTGACCATTCCTCTGTATCTTGGGGACTGCAAGATCTTTAGCTGTCTGAGGACGTGGAGACCCTAAGCTGTGCTGAGAAGCAAAATAGGTGTTATCTGCACAAGGGAGATCAAACATTTGGATTCTAGCCAAATGATCTCTCCCTTCTGAGCCTCAGTTTTTCCAACTATAAAATGGATTCATATTGGGATACTGCACAGGTGCCCCCAAGGGGGTGCTGTGATGAGAGGAGTATGAGGGGGAGATGGAAATGATTAATGATTGTGTTCCAGGCCCTCTGCTACACCCCACCCACCCAACAGAAGCTCCCCATTCATCAGCTTTATTACTGGAGGCCATGGAAAGTTTCATTTGCAGGGAACAAAAAGGTTATCTGATGCTTAAAAAAAAAAAAAATCTGAAAGGCACTATTCTGAATGCTGCCTGCATGGGAATTCTGGGACTCACACAGCAGCTTCAAAGAAAAACATGTCTCCTTTTTAAAGTCAAAGGGGCCTTTGGAGACTGGCTGTGCCCTGCCCATCGGAGGAAGGGTGGCCCTGCCACGAATGTCCCAGACTCACCTGCGACATGTGCACCACCTCAAACCAGCGCAGGATCCCCGGCAGCTTGTATGCAGTCACGAAGGAGGTTCTCTCAATCCACATGGACTGTCCGTGGGCAGAGGGGTGGCAAGGGCAGGAAAGCAACAAACACATTTATGAAACCTGGGTATCGGAGAAGCTTGGCAGAAACCCAGCCAGGTCCCCGGGCCTCCCATCTACCCGAAAGCAGAATAAATATTGCAAGACCCAGAAACACGCTCTCACCTTACCCTTAAGAATTCTTTCCCAACATTAAGTGTAAGCTCTCCCTGGACTTAGGCCAAGTAAGTACTAACCTGGGTTTATTAGCAGTCTGAATTTTTAGGCAATATTGAATGTGTCCATTTGTTTTCTCGGGGAAGGGTTCCCAGTGTTCATTAGACTCTCAAAGAGGCAGTGGCTCCAAAAATATTAAGAATTACTGTCCAGGCCAAAGAGCTGAGACTTGGAGACACCTCCTTAATCCAGTCTTGTTTGAATCCTAGCTGGACACACACAGAGGAGACTAGCACTCAGGGGACAGTGATGACTACATTGCTGTGGCTTCTTACTGGTGTTTGCTGGAAGGTTTGATTTTATCAACACCCCTTCTTAGCCTGAGGGTTTCTACGTGCTGGCAATGCCTGAATGCCCTGTGGTTGAAAAAGTGCCTCTGACATGAGGCCTGGGTTCTGTATTAAGGGGAAAAAGGCTCAAGAAATAAGGACACAGGCCCTAATGGAAGAGATTGGGGAACGGACGTCATGGTATCCATGGAGGTTGGCTTTATTTTCTCTGGCTTTCTATCAAGTTCCTTCCCATTCTGAGGCTGGCCGATGCATGCTCTGGTTCCTCCAGGTGGCTCCAGGGAATGATCAAGGGTAGGGAAGATACTCACAGCAAACTCATTCTCTGGGTCTACGGTCCCCCTGCGCACGGGCCGGGAGTAGTGGAACCTTTGCACGTAGTTGGATTTGTAGAAGCTGAAAGACAGGAAGAGGCTGAGGCTCCTGGTAGCCATCCCCGGCTGCTGACACCCGATCTGACCCTGCACTGTCCAGGGAGGTTCATTACAGTAAACTTCAGGCCTGGCAGAGTCCCTTGTGGTGCATTTAAAATCAAGGTCTGTGTTCTGGGCTCCGTAAGAGTGACTTTTGCACAGGCTTTCCTGACAAGGCAATTTAGAAGGTAGACTGGTCTTGTGCCCCTTTGAGAACATAGTACCCCTAGAGTATCCAGGCAATTGGAATTCTAACATTGATGGCCTAGGTCATGATTTCCTGTGATCTGCAACAAAGGAGCTGAGGTCTGAGCCTAATTTCCCAGAGGTGTCCTCAAAGGATTTCTTTAGGTGTCCCAGCCAACCCCCTAAATCAGTCTCCCTGAATCGTTGGTGAGATTCTAACTTCAGGGCCAGCAGAACACCGTGCTAGCTGCACAGTTATTGTCCCCTGCTCATGGGTGCCTGTCTGAGAAGGTGAGAAGGTGAGGGGAGGTTAAGACCCAAGCTGAGCTCCACCTGCTCTGCTGTGGCACTTCGTGAGGCTGCTGGGAGGGGCTGCCTCTCCCTGAAGGGTCCTTCATCTTGCAAAGCAGATCCTGTTTCTGACTGTCCCATCCAGAGGGGAGGACCTACTCTAAGACACTCAAGTGCTCCATTACAACCTGGGCATGGGGTAGGGGGAATGAGCTGGGCAGCTGGGAGGCATACAGCCTTGGGTCCCACAGAGGCCCCACCTTGTGGCCTCATCAGTGACTTTGCAATCTGATCTAGAACAGGTGGACATCAGCCTTCACGGCACTTCCTCTACTGTTCCTTTATCAGAGCCTGAACACACCATTGTCAATGTACAACCTTCACAAATGCTGAGGAGATGTCCCTCTGGGAGCATGTGCTCAGCATGGACAAGGCCCCCTGTCTCCACCCTGCCTATCACTTGCCCAGCCACACTCTGTCTGTGGACTCCCTGGGGCCACTCTGAGATCAACCTGAGCAACAAATAGGCTGACTGCATCCAGTTGAGCAAATGCTCGATGCTTGCTGAGGATTTGCTGAGCCATAACCCTGGCTCTCCCATCCTTCCTGGCTTCAGCCTTGTCAGGGGCAGAGCCCAGCTAATTGGAGGGTGATTCTTTGCCCAAGAGGAAAAGGGGGGAAAAACTGGCTAAGATAGAGAAGGAACTAGAAAGACACTGGGGTCTGTTCTGCCACCAGCTCAGTTTGGTGGCCCCAATGGGTTCTCTTCCCCATCCTTCTTCCCTGTGGACAACGAGTCTTACTTTATAATCTGGTCAGGCACTGGCTTATTCTTGAACCTGGGATGTTCATCCAAGACAGGCTGGACAGTGAAGCACTGGATATCTGGAATCCCTGTAGTTAAGGACTTATATCTGTTGGCTGCGGGGACAGTTTTAAGTATAGCTGGTCCTTGCTGAGACCTTCCAGGCCAGCCTTTATGGGGCCACATTTTTACTGAATGATGAACCTCAGGTTGCTGGCTGCCCACTAGGCACTAATGACTAGTTAGTCACTGAGGTCCTTATCAGTGCTGTCACCCTGCAACCTTATGCCAGGGCTCAGCCCCTACAAACAGAGTTGTCTAGTGGTGTTTAATCATCATCATTGCTATATTATCATTAATAATAATACTATTGAATGAATTTATAGCTCTCAAATCAATTGCAGAGTACATCTTCCCATGATCTCATTTGATCTCCTCAATTCCACTGAGTTGCCTTATTAACCTAAATTGTCCCCTTCGAGGCCAGAGAAGCCAGGCCACTTGTTGAAGGTCACACAACTTGTAAGAACAGATCCGAGTTTGTATTTAGGTCTTCTAACTCTAAGCTCAGAATTCTTTCACTCTGGACTCACTACTCAAAGGCGGCCCTTTGACCAGTAGTGTCAGCATTACCCGTAAGTTTGTTAGAAGTGGAGACTCTGGACTATCTGAGAACCAACTGAGTCCGGATCTGTAAAAGATCCTTGGGTGAAACATATGCATGCTAAAATTTGTGAAGCACTGCTATAGAATATGCAAATAAATGTCATTTTGCACCCCAACTCTGAAAATTTGAAAGCAACTGCCTATGGCAGGATGGTAAGGAGCTGTGTTCAGACAGTGGAAAAGAGTCCCATGGTGGATTAGTGATGCCTGCAACAGGCACAGATATTGGAAAAGCACTATGTGGGTCAGACCCTTGTCATGCCTCTTCTAGGTCTGTCTTTAGTCCTTTTAAGCTGACAATATGGCAAACTGAATGAAAAAAGTCAGCGGTCACTGGTCCCACTCCTGACCCCTCTTCCCTTTCCCTACCTCCCATTTCTTCTTTACCCACGTCTTTTATTTAGGTATTCAAGGTCTTTCCTCCCTCTATTCTACCCAATGACCACCATGACTCCAAAAAATCTTTTCCTGGGCCTGACATGTCTGCCAACTAAGGAATCAAGAACTCCTCTGGCTAGCATTCAAAGCTAGGCCAGTATGG
Source organism: Homo sapiens (assembly GCF_000001405.40). NCBI lineage: Eukaryota > Metazoa > Chordata > Mammalia > Primates > Hominidae > Homo > Homo sapiens. The sequence goes on along the minus strand of NC_000005.10, from coordinate 170,054,177 downwards.
CCTTCACCCATTTTTTCATCATTATCTGGATATCCAATGGATCCTACTACTTCCTTTCCTTGGAACATTTTCCCTTATCAGCATCCCTCTCTTGTGAACCCTTTGGACAGATGTCAAATACCACAGTCCATGAAAACAATTCACCCCCCAGTTAGGAGTTGTTTTCCTTCCTTTGGCTTTCCACAGCCTTCGTCTTTGCTTCTCTTAGGATCCACCCTCCAGCTCCTTGTAGGCTTCCTCATCCCCCCAGCCCACCTCACACCCTCCATCCTGCCCAGATTGTGAGCTTTTTCATGGCAGAGACTATGGTTCTTTCACACATAAGAAATGACCAAAACCTAGTTCCAAATTAAATTGAATTGCCTCTGTCTGATGAACTTACTCTATGCTAAGAAGTTAGGTGTTTCATTGATTTACTTCTGATGCCTGTTTCTGCCTTAAATAGATTTCTCTTCTTAAGAGATGGCAATGTTTAACACGAATGAATAAATCTCAGTGAAGGTATTTCTATGATTTTCAGGAAAACCATTTTCTTTCTCAAGCCATGTGGCCAACAGCCTGCTCTGGGAAGAAAATCACTCTGGATTAAGTCTAGGGCAGGGGTTGGCAAACTATGGCCCTGCGGTCAAATCTGGTTCACTGCCTGTTTTTGTAAGGCCCAGAGGCTAAGAAGAGTTTTCAATGGAGGGAAAAAGAGTATTTTGTAACGTGAAAATGATAGAAAGTTCAAATGTTAGTGTCCATAGAGTTTTATTGGAACACAGCAATACCCGCGCATTTTTGGGTTTTCAGTGGCTGCTCTCCCACTACAACAGCGGAGCTGAGTAGTTGTGACAGAGACTGCATGGGCCACAAAGACTCAAATACTGCCCATCTGATCCCTTCCAGAAAGTTTGCAGACCCCTGTTTTAGAGAAGGTTCTAGGTCATGTTTACTGATCTTAGCCACTGGTGTTGGCCCAAGAGGAGAATCCAAATCTGTCCTAGGGAAGCCCGTGACACAAGTCCCCTGAAGTTGTACCAGGAGGATGGCTGGTGAGGTTGTTATGCCACAGGCTGAATGTATGCGCGGAACTGGGGCCCCAGAGGGCTGGGCAACTGCAGACTCCCTACAAAGAGACTTTGGCTTTCAATTATCATTTCCTACTTGGATACCTAAGTGAGAAATGAGATCTGTCACCCTCTCAGACTGCTTATCAGCTTTTTAACAAGTGAAGGCAAGAGAAGAGAGCATTAAGAACTCAATGTTTTGTCAAAAAGTAGGCCTGAGTTCAAATCCAAGCTCCATCACTTCCTAGTTGTGACCTTGTGCAAGCTGCTTAAATTCTGTGAGCCTCAGTTTTCCTATTAGCAAAATGCAGGAAAGCAATAATACCTAACTTGTATAAGTATTGGAGGGTAAAACAACAATGCGTGTAAAATGCCTAGTACATGGTAAACAGTTAATAAAGAGAATGCTGTTCATCAATCTTTTTAAAAAGGATGATGTACTAGAACATAGTTTTTGAAACAGACAGATCATGGGGTTCAAGTACCAGTTCCATCACTAACTAGCTTTGTAACCTTAGGCAAACCACTTTACATCTCTGCCCCACATATTTCTTGTCCATGAAATAGGGAAAATTAACACTCCCCTTAGAGGGTTTTATAGGATATAAAGCCCTCAGTCTCAAGAAAAGGACATTTAGCAAATATTAGCCCTTCCCCTTTTCTTTTGCACCTGCCTCCTGGCACTGAACCAGGGGAGATGTTGTGTCCCAGGAACACGTACTCTCTCCCTTGCCTCATGTTAAAAGGCCACAGAGCTGTTCAATCCCAGGAGATCCACTTAGAAAAGCCTTAGAACTAATCCTATGTCTCGCCTATAACCAAATTCATATTTGTAACCAGCCCAGCCCACCACCAGTTGCATTTGATCCTGCAAATAACCATGGTAGAGCAGGTACGCAGGGCAGGCAAGCATAATGAAAAGGTTACAGATGAATATTTACCACCGGAGAGAAGAATATTTGGATTAAAGTACAGCAGACTGAGCAGACCAGACTTGCGACCTGTCAACCCCATTTTAAAGGCTGTAACTTAATTTGTGCTAAACGGTGCAATGCTGGGAGTTAGGCTGAGTTAATGTGCTCCCTGGCTCAGCAGTTGGCCCTATCCTTGCATTTATATGCTCCCTGCCATGCGAATCCTGTCTGTTGCCCAGCACTGGCTGCTGGCCCACTAAAGACCATGCTTGGCCACACTGACACCCACTTATACGGCACCCTAATATCACCCCATGTGACTTCTGTGTACTATGTACTCCAAGTGAGCTGGCTACTTCTCTGCCTCCTTCCTCCCTTTCTCTATTTATTTATCTCTTTTCTTCTTTCCTCTTTCTGTGTTGTTTTCTTTTTATTTCTATTAATCAACAAATATTTACTGGGAGTCACTTTGTACCAGGCACGAGGGAGTGGGGGACTTAACTGCAGGGAGCAAGCCAGGGCAAGCATCTTCCCTCGTGGAGCCGACATTCTAGCTCACCTCCATGCACGTTTAAAAAGCACCAGAGATAATGGCAAATTGAGACAGATTTTCCAAAGAAAACGGAGCTTGAGATACCAGGGTCATGAAGAGTTCAGAGAAGGCCACATTAGACAATAGAAAGGCCATGGCAGGCCTCTTCCAGAAGGTGACGCCAAGCTAGGATCTGATGGGTAAGAGACAGCTAGTCATGTAAGGAGCTGAGGAAGGGCATCCAAAGCAGAGGGAACAGAGAACATGAATGCTCAGAGGCAGGAACAAGCTGGGCATATCACAGGAACAGAAACAAGAACCCTGTGGTCAGAGGGATGTGAGAAAGGGAAGGAAGGATGGGGGTGGGGCTGACGTTGGACAGGCAGGCAGGGGTCAGATCATGGATGGCCTTGCAGGCCTTGCTTAGCAGTTTTGATTTTATTATGATGGCAATATGGCGTCATTTCAGTTTGTGGAGCCTGCTATGCTCCTTCCTGCCAAAGGCCTCTGCACACAAGTGTTCTTCCTTCTGTCTGGGATATTCTCCCCACTTCCTGCTAAGCTTTGGTTGCTAGTAATCTCAAACATCACCTTCCTCAAGGAAACCTTCTCTCCTTTCCCAACCACAGTACTCTGCATGGCTTCCTCAAGGCACAGATTATATTTTTGTAAATAAATATGGAATAGTGCAATTAGTCACTTAACGCCTCTTTTACTTGCTACACTGTAAGCTCCCTGAACGTAGGACCACTTTGTGAATGAAAATCTCCAGTCCCTTGCACCTTGCTTAGCATAGAGTCAGGGCTTGAGAGTATTCAATATAAGAATGAATTAGTGAGTGAGTGAATTAATCAATGCATGCAACATTTACAATGTATTGAGATAGGTTCTTTGGATCTCATCTCAAATATTTACTGGGAGTCACTCTGTACCAGGCACCGTGGGAGATGGGAACTTACTGCAGGGAGCAAGTTGGAGCACGCCAGAGCAAGCGTCTTTCCTTATACAGTTGACATTCTAGCTCACATTCATGCACTTTTTGAAAAGCACCAAAGGGAGACAAATTTTCCAAAGCAAACAGAGCTCAAGATGCCAGGATCATGAAGAGTCCAGAAAAGGATCCAAAGAACATGGATCCAAAGAACATGTTGCATGTTCCTGCAACATGGCGCCACTGCAATGATTCTGGCAGCAGCCCTGAGCTCTAAGGTGGGTCTTTGTGGGCTGCAGCCCTGGCAGGGCTGCTCAGGTCTGGCCCCTTGGCTAGGGCATTCTCCAAGGATACACTGGCCTGGGGCATTCTTCACATCATCTCCCGGGGCAGAGGTGGTGTTCATCTTCTCTGCATTGGGGAACTGGGTCATCAGCTGCATCTGGAAATCTTCTCTTCGCTCATATTCCTTCCCGCGGTAGATGAACACTTTGTTCTGCAGAGAAAGGATGCTCATTAGAGATTTGGGGACCCAGGTGTGAAGAAAGGGGCCAAGCAAAGCTGGGGAGCTTGTAAAATGACCACGGTCCATGGGGATGTCCAGTGCATCACTCTCCTCTTGGTTTCCCCACAGGGAAAGGAAGGGCTCAACTCACTGACCTAGCAGAGGCCATCACTACTTTAAAGGGTCTGGGTCTAGAGGAAGGGAAGATCATGGATGCTGAGAACTTTCTTCTTCTTACCATCCTATGTACAGCTTCCAGAATAATTACTCACTCAGGTTTCACTGTGTCACACCCACTCTCCTATATACATGGCCACAACATTTCCCCGTTGCCTGTAATGGGCCATGTGGGCTGGACCTGTGGGCTGGAATGGTTCAGCATTCATATCCTCATCACCTGGCTTCTGGCTCTAAGCCTGTGAAAACACACTCTTTATCCTTCCTGACCATGTTAGTCTTTTATAGATCAGTGGTTCTCAACTAAAGGTGATGTTGTCCCCCAAGGGACATCGGCAGTATCTGGAAACGTTTTTTGGTTGTCACAACTGGGAATGGGGGATGCTACTAGAACCTACGGGGTAGTGGTTAGGGATGCTGCTAGCATCCTACGATGCATAGCACAGCCCCACAATGAAGAATTTTCAGGCCCAAAATATCAATAGTGCTGAGGTTGAGAAACTCTGCTCTAGACATCTGTGCCACCCATACTGCCTAAAATGGCCCCTAATTTCCTCTGTCCAAACACACATCTGTCATACATCTCTACATATCAGTGCTTCCAAACCTGGCTGATCATCCAAGGAGCCTAGGACACTTTTAAAAATTCAGATTCCCAGCTGGGCCTGGTGGCTCACGCCTGTAATCCCAGCACTTTGGGAGGCCGAGGCAGGCGGATCATGAGGTCAAGAGATGGAGACCATCCTGGCCAACATGGTGAAACACCGTCTCTACTAAAAATACAAAAATTAGCTGGGCGTGGTGGCACATGCCTGTAGTCCCAGGTACTTGGGAGGATGAGGCAGGATAATAGCTTGAACCCAGGAGGCAGAGGTTGCAGTGAGCCGAGATCAAGCCACTGCACTCCAGCCTGGGCGACAGAGCAAGAAATGGAATCTGTGGATCTGTGGGAGTGGGGCCTAGGAGTCTGCACTTTTAACAAGTTCTCCAGGGGATTCTGACGTACAGCCAGGTTTGGGAAGCCACCTCTACTTCCTCCATGAAACCTGCACCCCTCTCTGCGGCTCATGGCAATCACTCCTGCAGGCCCACTCTCACTTCCACATTGATTGTTGATTAATAATTGTGAGTGATTTATCTCCTTGACTAGACTAAATCAAGTGAGGTTGGAGATCAGATTAGCCATTTCTTTTGTATTTCCCTCACCCCAGAGTTGAACCATAGGCTCACAGACTGAAGGAAGCCTACTGGTGACCTAATCCAATTCGTCACGTGATGGGTAAATAGGCCACTACAGTAGTGGTTCAGAAACTGTGCTCCAGGGACACTTGAGGTTCCCAAGACCCTCTCAGGAACCACAAGATCACACTGTTTTCACAATAACATGAAAGCTGTTATTTATCCTTTTCATTCTCATTCTCCCATGAGTGTACGATGGAGCTTTCTGAGGCTGCGTGATGTGTGATCGCAACAGATTGCAGAAGCAGACATGAGAATCTAGATGTCTTCTCTTAAGTCAGACATTAAAGAGATTTGCAGAAATGTGAAGCAATCTCATGATTTTCACTGATTTTTTATTGGAAAATAGAGCTATTTTTCCTAAAATTGCAGTTTATGTTAACATGTAATGGGTTTATTAGTGCTATTTTTATTTTTAAGATTTTATTTATTTTTTGAGACAGGGTCTCTCTTTGTTACCCAGGCTGGATGGAGTGCAGTGGCCCCATCATGACTCACTGTAGCCTCAACCTCCTGGGTTCAGGTAATCCTCCTGTCTCAGGCCCCAAATAGCTGGGATTATAGGTGCGCATCACCACGCCCAGCTAATTTTTGTATTTTTTGTAGAGGCAGGGTTTCACCGTGTTACCCAGGCTGGTCTCGAACTCCTGAGCTCAAGTAATCTGCCCACCTCAGCCTCCCAAAGTGCTGGGATTACAGGCATCAGCCACCATGCCTGGACCATTATTGTTATTTTCAAATAAATGAACACTTCAAAAAACATTTTCTTAGTTTTAATTTCTCATGTAGTAAATGTAGATAGAGATTATCTTTATACACACAAGTTCTTTGGGATCCTCAATAATTTTTAAGAGAGAAAGAAGGTTCTGGAACCAAAAAGCCTGAGAACGACTGCTCTACAGTAACTCCTGAAAGCAAATCTCTGCCAGCAAACATCCTCCAGCCTCTCTTTGAACACCTCATTCCAGTGACGGGGAACTCACTACCTCACGAGGCAGCTGTAATTGCTGTGTAGTTAGAGAAACACAGTAGATGAGAAATGCTGGTGATTATGATGAGGGCTATTGACTGGGGAGTCTCCTGGGGATGGGGGCAGCACTCAGACAGAGAAGAGCACCGCTTCTGAGCACAAGCAAATCCTCAAAGCATAGAAGGACCGCTGAGATGCCGAGGCCCTGGGGCTCTCGCCTGGTGTCCAAGTCACCCCCAAACTCACCCGCAGGAAGGAGGGGAATCCCTGGCCGTAGTATCCAACAGCAAAGTAGTCTGGTTTGGGCCTGAGGATTTTCATGATGCTTTCATAGAATTTTGCCTGCTGGATCTAAAGGAAGAAAACAAGGTTTGTTGCAACACAGATGTGTATCAAAGGCACATTCAACTCAAAGAGGCCTTGGTGAAGACATTTTCATTATACCAGAGCCAATGAGCCATGTGCACATATTTACATATCTGTGCTATGTCTATAATCACAATAGTAATAGCTATATTTACAGTATACCAGGGACTGTGTTAATCACTCTACCTGCACTAGTGTGGTTACTTGAATCACCCTTGTAATAATCCCATGAGTATCTCCATTTTGCAGATAAAGAAATGGTATCTCGTAAAGCAGCCAGTAAGCATGGAGCTGAACCCAGTTAGTTGCATTCAGGGTTCCCATCATTGCATCTCTGCTCCCACCTCCATGCACACTTGGGCATGGATTTGTGAGGCTATGGAATGAATAAATGCCCCCTGATACAGATGTTTTCCTGTGCATGTATACCTAAGACATTTCATCTATTCTAAGAGGTGTGTGTTTTTCGTATTTTAACATCTCTGGAAACAGTCTGAATCTTACTTTACACCTAATGGCATCTTATAACTGCAGTTGGCCCTGAAGGAATCATGACATGGCACAATAAAAAGAATGGTGTATGATCGATGGCATCTTCCATTTGATACAATCTGGAAGATATATGTGGATCTAGACGGGGGCCTGTGTGATGTGGACTCTGTGCAGGCAAGTGCACATACATTAGTGTGTGCTTGAATGTATCCTGTGTGTGTGTGTGTGTGTGTATGTGTGTGTGTCTTGGGCATAGGCATTGGCAAACATCTATGTGGAGGTACACGCGGGGCAGGTATTAGGTGTCTCTTGGTGCAAGCACATGTGTGTGTATTTGTGTATTATCTTACAAACAGTGAAAACAGTTAACAGCTCAGCTGTTTTTAACAAGATCACTATACCTTCCCCCCACCAAAAGCTATCAATCCTCTCCTAACATTCTGACTCTGTAAGTCGCTGGCCTGGCCTCTCTAAGTGGGCTAAGAGGGGTCCCTGGGGTCCTGCTGCTCAGGCAGCCAGAAAACATGTGGGGAGGATGGGCGGGAGGGAAGCAGCCAAAGAGTTCTGCATTTCCCTGCAGAGTCCAACTCCCCGCCAAACCCAGGCTTCTGCAGTACAAGCAGGATTGGCTGGGCTGGCTTCCCCCACTCTCCACTTCCCCCACCAAATCCTGAGCATGGAGATGCTAATGGGAGTAACCAGATGGGGAGCATTTTAATGTGATTTATCTGTTAATCAGAAAGCACAAATTTGTGTTTTTATTTAATTGGTTTAGTGATTTGTGGAACTTTTACTGCAAATGTAACACAGCGTTTATTGGGGCTGCAGCAGCGGTGGCAGTTGCAGCCCCTCGCAGGTACTCAATGCTCCCTTTGAGGAGCTGTCACCGAAGCATTTCCCCACGACATCTCTCTTTGAAAATACTCCCCACGGGAAGGGAGATGCTCAGTACAGCCTCTCTCAGGTCCTACTTCCGTTCATTTTCTATTTCCCTAACCCCGCCTGGCCCTCATGCCCATCTCCCCAGGATCTGGGGTGAGCTGAGGCCCTGAGCACCCAGCCTGCAGGGCATTCAGCCTTCCCAGGGGATGCCTTACCAGGTTCTGGCTGAGCAGCTCATAGTCAAAGATCTCCATCTCGTACTGTTCCGCCAGCTCCTTGCACAGACTTATGGCCTCTTCCCACATCTACAGGAAGGTCACAGGGACAAAGGTGAGGTGGCACCACCGGGTTTGCAGAGCGCTTGCTGAGGAAGGGACTCAGGCGTAGCTGTGCTTCCTGGGACTGAGGGGAAACCTTGCTCTGACCCAGATCCACCCCCATACAGAGGGGCCGGGGGCTTCCTAGAGAGGACGACCTTCCTCTGGCCTCTCACCGGAGTTTCTTGATAAACAATTGAGTAGGCACAGATGAGGCTAAACCCTTTATTTACGTGCTCTGATTCTTCACAACCACTCTGAGAGGTAACTGACAGCATCTTCATTGTCCGGGTCAGAAACAGAGGTTCAGAGAGGCCCAGCAACCTGTCCCGGGTCAAAACGCCTCACTAAAAGCAGGGTCAGGATGCAAGCCCCCGTGTGTGTCTCCAGGGCCTTGCTCTTCAGTCCCTGCCTCCCACGTGCTCGTGTTTAGTGAAGGAAACCTTTGATTCCCTCAGCCTCCTCAGGGAGGTGTTGGCCCCCTTTTCCAAAGATAAATGGTTCACAGAGAAGTGAGCAAGGTGGCTCAAGGTCAGAGTTTCCAGGGACAAAGTTGGGACCAGGCCCCAGTTCTCCTGATATGCAGTCCTGGGATTCTTCTACTCTGCCAATCCTGTCACTTTTTAATGGGATTATTTGATGTGTGGAAGTAGAGTCAGGTAGCATAGAGGTGGAAGGGGTGGTGCTAGAATATTAAAAAAAAATTAAGACTTTTTTTTTAATAGTAGGTCTTCTCCATCTTAAGAGAAAAAATTCTAAACAAAGAAACCCTAGACATAGTGGATAATTCTTCTCTCCTCTGTCTTAGACGAGAGTCAATAGATCACCTCACTCTCTTAGACCGAAGGAGGTCAGGACGGTCTGCAGAGTCAGGGGAGATGCAGGGTGGACCGGAGGCTGGCAATCTCTAGGGATAGCCATTACATTTCACCTTCAGTTTAAAATGGAAAATGCACCTAAATGGAGAAGCTGGGGGAGGTAGGAGGAGGAGAGAGGGGAGGTTGCCAAAATGCAGTGTGAGCTGTGTAGCAAAAGTGCTCTCTCTGCATCCAAGCATAAAAATAAATAAAACCAAGTGCCGAGTGGAGAAGCCACGGCTGTAAACCCACGGACAGCTCAGCAAGCAGCATAAAAATGCTTTATGTGCTGGGAAGAGGAATCAAGTATATGGGCCAGGCTGGGGTTTTCTCTTCACCTTGAACCTGAAGTTTGGGGTAATCCCCCTGGGCTGGGCCAGGGGACTGTTGGGCTCAAGTATAGGTCTTTGTCTACTTCTCACCATAATGTGAACAGGGAAAAGAAACGCTCTCCCCATGGGTTAAGAGATCACTAAGAGACCAGGGAAAGGGCGGGGCAGGAAGTCAGGTGCCTGGGATTTCCTCTCAGGTCTGCCTGTGTGGCCACTGGGACCTCCAACAGTCACTAATTTCTCTGAGTCTTACACATTCATTACTAAGCACACGGTGGGTTCTGGGCATGGTGTGGTGTGCAGTAATGAAACAGATATAAAGATGGACGAGACACAGACTCTACTCTCATGGAACATAAGTGGACAAAGGATATACATCAATAGATGAAATCGTTTGGTTTTGAGGAATTTAGAGGAGTCTATCGGGTGATGGCAAGATGAACTTATGGAGTAGAAAGCCAGCATGTGTGCCTGGAGCAATGAGCCTCCCTGAGGAGGTATAGGGAACGAAAGCTGAGGGGGCACTGAGGAGTTTGGGCTTCCTTCTAGGAGCTTCCATAGCAGTGGCTTTCAGGGTAAGCTGTACCCATCTGCTCCCTCCTCTCTGCTCTCAAAGTACTTTGGCACCACCCTGTTCCTTTGCCTTTTTCCCCATTATTGCACAATGCCAAAGGGCAATGCAAAAAATATTATTATTGGCATGTCTGTTTTGCTCACTAGACAGTAAGTTTTTTGAGGTTGGGGATCATGCCTTTTTCCTCTCTGCTCAGCACAGAGTGGGCTGAATTGAATATCTTGCTGAGGACAAAGCTCAACGTGTACTTTTAGGCTCTCACACTGCAACATACTTAATCAGCTGATAAACAAATAGTAAGCTCTGACTTGACACCCAGCAGGGCAGGAGGTTCAAGGGATGGCAGCATCTCTGCCCTCAAGAGGCTTATAATTGTAAATTATGAAAACAGTGCTCTCCAACTGCTTGAGCCTTGGGAATTTATAAGCCCTTCCACAGACATTACCTCATTTTATCTTTCCAGAGAAGGTAGAAGGGTCCGACTAAGACAGATGCAATAAACTACAGTGACAGGACAGGCCCAAATTGAGTGCTAAATTATGTCCTGATGAACTGTAAGAGGTCTTGCATTGCAGAGGAGAGGGAGGGCTGCAGGTAAGCCAGAGGACTCAGGAAAGGCTTGGGAGAGGAAGCGGTGGAGTAGGATAATGATGACGGTTACTGACATTTCACCAGCTATTACTATGCACTAGGTCCTATGCAGGGTGCTCTACGTGCATTTTCTCACTCTATTTTCACGGTACAACTAGAAAGAAGGTACTATTAGCATCTCACTGTTATGGGTGGGGAATTGGAGTCTCTTAGGTCAAGGGAAGAGTAGGTGGTAGAGGAGCAAGGATTGCAGATGGGCCATCTGGCCCCAAAACTTGAGCATGTGGCCACCGAGCAATGTTCTCTATAGGGTGCATGGCAGTTTTGGGGCTGGTACTTCCTGAAGGTCCACCAGAGGCTGGAGCTGAGCAGCAGCTGGTCTGGCCAATCTCCTGACCAAACCCAGCCAAGCATCCTTGCTGTTTAAAGATCAAGGATGACACTGCATGTCATTTATCCATTCAGTTCATTCATTTATGAATGCCCAGTGATTAGAACAGAACCTAGGACATAGGCCTACATATTCACTGGGAACTTCCTAGGTTCTGTCCTAGTCACTGGGCATTTAGCAGTGGGCAAGACAAGTCTCTGCTCTCATAGCATTCTAAATTGGGGAGCCAGAAAATAAACAAGTAAAAAGAAAATGAACAAGATGATGTCTCATAGGAACAAGTGCTTTGAAGAAGCCATAAGGGTAACCTGGGGCAGTGGTGCTGCTGGTTTGCCTAGTGGTGGTCAGGGAAGGCCTCCCTAGCATGTGACATCTGAGTGGAGCCCAGCGTTCCAGTGGGCAGCTATGGTGGAGGAATGCTTCCAGCTGGGAAAAGCAAGTACACAGTCCCTGAGTTTGAAAAGAGCTTGGCATAGAGCACGTGAGCAAGAGGGACCCCAGCAGGGATGAAATGAGAGAGGCAGCCAGGGCACAGCTCATGTGGGGCCTCATGGGCCATGGGAAGGATTGTGTAATTTGTTTTAAGTAGATTGGGAGAGCCATTGAGAAACTGCGAGTGGGGGAATGGCATAATCCAATCTATGCTTTATGATCATCCTATCTGCTATATGGAGGATGATCTGTTGGGGGTAGTGGAGGAAGCAGGAAAATTGTTTAGGATCCATCGCAGTGTCCAGGTGAGCAATGTCGGTGCCTTACATGGAGGTGGAAGGAATGGAGATGGAGAGGAAGTGGAGAGAAGTGATCAGAGTTAGGATTTGCAGGGATATCTGACAGAGCTGAGGATGGATTGGATGTAAGGTATGGGAGAGAACCATCCTTCCAGTGGCCAGGGTCCCCACGGGGGGTGGGCAGGGACAGATTACCTTTCCTTTGTCAAAGTAGCCTATGATGGTCTCGTAGAGCGTCTCCTTCAGCTGCCGGTGTGTCTGGGGGTGCTGCTGGCCTGTCTGCATGACCTGTGATGCACACTGCTCATCCGACCACTGTGAAGAGAAGACACAGGAAGTCACACAGGGCCGAGAGGCTGCCAAGAGCAGGTGTCTTCCTAGGATTAAAGGCAGGAACCACCCTGCCAACACACACCCTGTCCTTTCCATCTCTCCTCCTTTCTTGAACTCAGCTTATTTCTGGAAACTTGGGGTACCACTGGAGAGGCTGCCCTTTTGAGGCATGAGTACTCAGGATATTTGGAGGTTGCCCTCCAGGCAGCACTAATGTCCCAAGTCCCAAAACAGACAAATGAGGGAACATGAAATATTAAAACCACAGTGATCAGGAGTCAGATGAAGCCCTGCAAACACCCTCCCCTCTGCTAGCTTCCCCCTGCCTGTCCTGGGTGCCAGTGTCAGTCAGAGAGATGCTGGGCTGCAATTTCCACTTGTGAAGGCTCCTGGTTTTTGTTGAGTTGCACTTATCTTACTCTTTATTGGCTCTCTGTGTGTTGTTTGTAGATATTTACATTGAACCCCTAAGAAACATGCTCCCAGCTCTCCCAAAGCCAAAGGAAATCATTCTGATTTTTTTCCCAGCTACAGCTAAGTTCTCAACAGAAGGAATGCAGCTCAGTGGGCATGCCAATGATTTACCGTTAATAGCAGTTTAGATATTATATAAAGCTGCAAAATGTATCTCGAAGAGGGGTTGTTTTTGCTAAATGTAAAGATCACTCAAAACCACATGTGACCAGGGAAGCAGTGCAAAAAGTATCCTGCCAGCTCAAGAGTTTGGAGACACAGGGCAAAACAAAATATTTGGATTCTTTTTCTTTTTTTTCTTTTTTCACTCTTCAACTTGCTGTGAGGCCCTGTCAGGATCCCAGCATAAATGCCCTTCACCCAAAGTGACTGTACCTTGAGAAGCCAGGTGTGGAGAAGGAGCGTGTAGGCAGCCTCTGTGTAATTGTCACAGTCCAGGTGAAGATCGCGGAGTTTGTACAGGTACCTGTTTGAGGGAAAATATGCAGTAAGCTACCAGGTGCAGTGAAAAGGAGACACCTGGCAGGGACAAGCAGGAGCCCAGAGAACAACTGGGCACCTCTCTGGGTCGCAAGAAAGTCCTCCTCCCTGGATAACCAGAACTTTGTGTGGGTAATGACAGCACCTAGTGTGTGTTGGTTACTTAGTGCATGACAGGTACTAAGTTAACTATTTTAAATTTCTTAGATTACTTAATATTTATGACAACCCTATGAGATGAGTCTCAGGAATTCCTCTTTTCAGATGAGAGAACTATTGCCTGGATAAGTTAGGTGCCATTCCAGCTAACATGCAACTTGATAATGAATGGTCTGGCCAATGCAATATGACAAGCAAGAGAAATAAAGGAAGGAGAGAGAGACAATTTATCAGGAGTTCTGTGCTAATAAACAGAAGAGTCAGGACATGATGCCTGCTCTTAATCACTGTGTCATTGAAGGAGTATGAACAAGCCACAGCAGCTATAAGGGGCAGTTCCTACCCCTCTCTGCAGAGTTCTCTGGGTGTAAGTAAGTGCATTTTTTGGTAATAAAAGGAAGTGGATCGGGGCTGGAGAATAGATATTCATATGTAGACCTTGAGCTGTCAGTAGGAAGAGTTAGCTATTTGACTGCAGTCACATTTTAACTTCCTGTCCCTTTGAAAAGTGAGATCCCAGTTATGAACCATGAGATGGCAATATAACTGAGGGTACTGAGGATGAGAACAAGGACAAAGGAAGGGCGCTTTGGAAAATTCTTAGATAACTGATCCATAATAGGTATTAAGGGGCAGTGAATTAACTTCTCTGTGCCTTAGTTTGCTCATCTGTAAAATGGCAACATTCACAGAACCTATCTATAAAGTGACTGGGCATATAAAGGGCCAAGGAGACCATGTGTGTCTTACAAAAGGCTCAATACATGACAGCTTGCATTGCTGCTAAGAAATGCAAGTATGCACTGAAAGTGATTAGCCTGTAGCCGGCACTGAGCAGTGACAGTTATTACCTATTATCACTGTGAACTAGATTCCTCTACAAAACATTCTCTCCTGCCACCGTTGGAAACAGAATCCAGAGGCAATGAACCACTGCATCGGTGACCTGCATATCATTAGCAGGATTTATTTAAACCCAACTCTAAGTAATGTGGTGAGGGGATATGCTAATTTCTTCATGTGAGAGGAGAGGCAGGGAATGCCTGCCATGGTGCCAGCATTCTACCCTGACCCACTGTCTCACACCAGGGAACACAGGGTTTCTCGGGTATCTCCACTCAATGCGTGTCTCAATGCTCTGGTTTATTTTCCTTTTGGGAAAAAGGCTTTCTGCACGAAGCTCACCAAAGGAGAAGTGAATGTTCAGTGTTCCTGCCACATAAAATGGGTCAGTGGGTCAAATGTAGGCTGCCTGAAATCAGGGCAGGGACCGCCAAAGATTTTGAGGCGAGGAAAGGTCACCTAGTGGTGATTTGATAGCTGCTGTGCTGGGATGCCCTGGCAGTCTTTTGTTCATTCACTTATTCATTCAGCAAAGCTGTACCGGGCATCCAGGCTATAACAGGCCTTAGAGATAAACAGTGACAAACGCAGGCACTGTTCTCAGGGTTTGGGATTAGAGTCTAGGAGAAGAGACAGGCATGAATCAAATCATCAGATACATAACAGCAAGAACACAGCGATGATATGTGTTGTGAAGGAGTGGTCTATGGTACTAGGAGAGCACGCTTTATCCAGGTGGGGAGAAGAGGGGCTTCTAAAAAGGTTCCCATGGCATAACAGTTGATCTGAAGGGGAAGGGGATGAGTTGGGAGAGCTTCCCAGGCAGAAACATTTGTTCATTCATTCATTCAAAAAATGGGTGTTTTATTATCATGTATTTTTATCAATTCATCCTTCCAATAACTCTGTTAAGATGAGAAAACTGAGATCCAGGTTAAAAGAGCCAGAGCCAGAAGCAGATTTCAAGCTTAGTGATTTCTGCTTTCACAGACACAGCCTTTCCACTTTCCTCCCGCCTAACGTTCTGCCAATCGGAGTTAACCGTGAAATTGCACATGACCTCCATGTAGAGAGTTTGGAATTTAGAAACACCTGTGTGTGCACACATGGCTTAATTCTGCCTTATCTCCTCCTGCCCATCCTCGATGCCTTAGACCCCTAGATGGCTGAGTTCAAAAAACCTGGGGAGAGCAGCCCAGGGGAGAGCTTCCCTGCTACTTTCAACTCCTCCTTTGGCACCCTCTCCTCTTCCTTGTTAACTCAAGGGTCTGATGATCTGCTACAGAACCCAAAAGAAGGCACCCTAGTAAAAAGAAGACGTCCCTCAACCAGGGATACCAAACTCAAGCACCTCCAGATGGCAGGTGCTTGAGCGAGGTGGACGGGGAGTAGCACAGTAGGGAATAGAGATGATGTCGTGATGACAGTGCTCCAGGCCTGTCCAGAATGGCTGCCACCACCCGGTTCGGCTAACAGTCGTCAGAATAGGACGAGGGCCCAGTGTTGTCACACCTTCTGAGTTTTCCAGGAGAAAAGGGAAATTTTGATTTTTATGTAAAATCTCCAGATTTTTAAATGTTGGCAGCCAATTAAAAATGTTTTTAAATATTCTGCCTGCCAAACAGAACAGATTTTCAGACTATACCCTGTTTGCAGTCTGGTTTAGATAAATATGGTTTTCTTAGATTACTACGGGCCTCAAATCTCCAAAGCTTGTGGAGGTCTGGGATTTGCCGTCTGTGTTTCTAAAATGAGAAGGGGAGAAACAAGGTTGGAGGGAGGAAACCATGTGGCAGCCATATTACCTATAGTACTTCATTTAATCCTCAAAACAGAAGGTAGGACGGAAACATTCTACAGGTAGGAAAACCTCAACCCAGAAAGATTGAGTAATTTATCCAAGGTTACAGAAAAAGTGAGGCAAGGACCGAGGTCCTTCAGACCCCAAAGCTTTGTGCTGCTACAATAAGGTATGACTAGTGATGTTATAAATATCCCAAACTCAGGACAACCTATAAAATTATTTTTCTCCAAATGATAGCTCCTATTTCTGGAGTAATGCTAAACTAGGTACCTAGATATATCTGCCGTAATAGCAGAGTGAGCGTAGACTTGAAGTTTCTGCCCTCTGACAGAATGTGACAAAAGCCCTGTAAATACCTTGCTCCTCAATCTTCTGGTTGACTCTACCTCAAGGGCTCCAGCCTCATAAGGATGTGCATAAAGGTATACGTCCAAGAATTTTGTTGTTGTGGCCGGACGCAGTGGCTCACGCCTGTAATCCCAGCACTTTGAGAGGCCAAGGTGGGTGGATCACCTGAGGTTGGGAGTTCGAGACCAGCCTGGCCAACATGGTGAAACCCCGTCTCTACTAAAAATACAAAATTAGCCAGGTGTGGTGGTGCAGGCCTGTAGTCTCAGCTACTCGGGAGGCTGAGGCAGGAGAATCACTTGAACCCGGGAGGCAGAGGTTGCAGTGAGCTGAATAGGCACCACTGCACTCCAGCCTGGGCAACAAGAGCGAAACTCTGTCTTTAAAAAAAAAAAAAAAAAAAAAATTTGTTTTTGTGCTTTTTATTGTAGAAAAAGTTGGAAACAATCTAAATGTTCAACAATATAGGATTGGCTATATAAATGATGATATATTCTGGAAAAAATTTTATAGTTTCATTAAAAATGATGTTGATATACATCTGTCAACATGGAGTTCTTGTCAAGTTAGAAAAAGCAAAGAATAAATTACAAGTAATATAAACCCATTTTTGCAAAAAATATGCATGCATAGAATTCAATGTATATATAAATATAAAAAAGTCCTGGAAATATGTATGGATTATGGGAATTTATTTCATTTGTTGTGTTGCTTGCCCATATTTTATAAGTTTATTTTTGTTTTGTAATAAGTATATATTTTTTATTATAAATAAAAGTAACAATAATTTTTAAATTGCAGAAAAAAATATGAGATTCTGAGAAAAACTGGCAAAGGAGTTCTTTGCTTCAGGCTAATGTCCCCAAAAAACCTTCATGATATATTCAAATAATATCATTTAAATGCCTACAAGGATGCAGATATCATGCATCTTAGTATCTTTTTTTTCCCTTCAAAACTGGGCTAGTCAATGGTCTTACTACATGTCTGGACTCAGGCTTCACAGTAATTTATCCAAGGTCAGGCCCGCAACAATGCAAATGCACCCCAACAGTTCAAATCACAAAGTATTCACTCTTAAGGAAAATATGATCTGTGGGAACAACAGGACAGCATGGAAGGCCAGACGATTTCACGTGGTTTTATGGGGCTGACTGTGGGAGAATGAAAGGAATTGAATCTGGAGAAATTGACAGGAATCAGAACACAGAGGGCCTGAATGTCAAGAAGAGAAGTTTAAATTTTATCCTGAAGGCAGCAGGGAGCCATCGATGGATACTGAGCAGGAAAGTGACACAGCAGGTCTGGATTTTAGAAAATATGAATCTTACCTTATGTACATCTCCTCCCTGTTGTTATCTTTGTAGAAATTCTAGGTAGGGGAGGAAAAACAATGATGAGTGTTGTTCTCTGCAATATCACAGCGGTCAAGGGTGTGGTGATGAAGATGAGAGGAAGATTGCTGTCTAGTATCTGGGTACCCTGAGATAGGAATAAGAAACTTATTTTCCTGGATGCCCCAAAGATGCATCAAACAGCCTAATTGGAAGATTCTGCTTTGAAAGTCACTTCCCTGACCCTTAGACTATAAAGGAACAGAGAGGACTTGATGTGTCTCAGCCATCACATATCAGGAGGGGCAGTTCAGTGTTTTGCTGCATTGAGAGGTGGGCTGCCAAGACTGGGGTAGTCTACTTTAACCAGGCCCACATTGAAAGGCAGCCCAGCTTGATGTTTCAAAGCTCAGGCCTTGCACTGGAAAGAACCTGAGTTGGAAAGTGAGTGGTAGCACCTCGGTAATAGTAAGAGATCAGAATTCCTGATAGTGCAGAACTATCAGGAATTATATGGGATTCTGTCGCCAAAACATTTAAACTTGGCAATACGTAGGAATCTAGGTCCCTATTCCAGCTCAGGGGCCATTTAGATTAGTAGCTGCCCTGGACTTCACCACCAGAGATCCTAATCCTGTGGCATTTTTTAAACAAGTCCCTACAGATTCTGAGCCAGGTGGTCCTGGTCCAATCCATGAGCCACACCAGGTGTATATCCTGGTTTAATGCAGCACACCCACGTGCACCTGAGGGTCAGAGAAGGGTGGTGACATGTTCCAGAGCACACAGTCAATGGGTGGCAAATCATACTGGACATCATTTGTCCTGATACCACCTCCATCCCCACCCTCCTCCTTGACACCATATTTAAGCAATGCACTAAAAACTAGTGGTGTCTCAGTGCTTGGAGAACTGTCTGTCCCAAGCATTCTCCCTGATCTTAGCTGGCTGTTAAAGGTCACTTTCCTCAACCAACTCTGTCTCTCCTTAGAGAGAAGCTGCTCAGCTCGTGGAAAACACCTCTTCATGATCTTTATGTAAACTGGGCCTGGTGGAGTTATTAGCAATGAATTCCTTTCTGCTGTCATCGGGATTTTTAAACTCTCCTTGGCATTCTAGAAAATCAATGGCAATATCTAGGCTGTTGAAAAAAAAAGTCTATTTAGGGTAAAGGGAGGCCACACAACAGAGCTCTGGGGACAGGTTTTGTGTTTCAGGAGCCTTGGGAATGGTAGGGAGGTTGATGTGATGGATGTCACGTGGCCTTTTGGTCAACTTCATTCTTTTAAACCACTTTAAGGTGGGATGACACGGTGAATATGAAGCATTATGGCTGCTTACCTACCTGTCTCCTGGTCGAATCACAGAGCGTGTGAGAGAGGCTGCTTGGCAGCCAGCCCATGGGAGCTCATGGAATATAGGGGTTAAGAACTTGGGTCTGGGGTTAGCTTCTCTGGTTAACCTGGTTCATAGTAACAGCAATTCTAGTTATTAGTGTGACTCCATTCTATAAGAAGAAGGAAACTAATACGTAGTGAGCATTTAACCATGGGCCAGGGCAACACAACCTAATGAAATTGGAACCATTATTTTCTCCATGTAATAGATAAGCAAACTAAGACTTCAGAACATTTCCTTAGCTTGTCCATCCCATTAATTATCAGATATAGGATGGAAACCCAGAGGCTGTGTGACTCCAAAGCTCATACTCTTAGCCAGTCTATACTGTCATCTTCCTTCCATGTGATGTGTTGAGTGCTAAAGGGAATATGCATTAATCTCATGTTATAAATAAGGAGGCAGGCATAGAAAGGTGAAGTGACGGCCTCAAGACACAAAGCTAGCAGAAAGCGCAGCAGACGTTCCATTCCACATTTGTCTGCTTTCCAAAGCCCTTAAGCACTGCTTCCCTATGAAGAACAATCGTGAGACCCAAAGCCAAGCCCAAGCCCCCCCACAGGGTTCTGGTCTGACTTGGACCCGCCAGCCCCACGCACCAGCAGGTTCACGGTGCAGCTCATGCGGTTGTCTTTGCTCTCATCTGTCATCACACCCCGGTAATCCAGCAGCTTCTCCAGGAGGCCTTTGACCAGGTTCACGAAGTTCTCCACCGACTTGGCAATGGTTGGGTGCTCTGCAGCACATTCCATCAGGCTGCGGCAGAGACCAGAGGGCAGTGAGCTCATGGCTGGGGAGAAAGACTGTGCTGGGGCCAGTGGGCGGTGGGATGGAGCACATGCAAAATCAGTCAGTCAACCCAAGTTCCCTGACTGCTCCTTTTGTTCATTTATTCATGTATTTATCCATATAGTGCAGCAATTTTTTTTCTAACATCAGAATGGGAAAAAATAAAAATAAAATAGTTTCCAATATAGATAATGATGGTGGGGGAGATGGTCACTTTTACCCACCCCTGCTGAGAATAAATCAAGAAAACTTTTTTGGGGAAGCAATTTTCAAAGTATCTGTAAAAATTGTAAATGCACATATCCTCTGACCCCACAACTCTACTTTGCAGAATCTGTTCTACAGAAATATTCTCAGAAGTATGCAAAGATATAATACTCACAAATGTGTCTAATAGTGAAATAGATGGAACCATCTTAAATGCTCATCAATTGGGAAAGGCCTAAATAAATTACAGTATATTCACCAAATGGAATTCTATGAAGACATTAAAAATATTGGAGAGATTCAATATGTCTGGGCATGAAAAGCTCTATAAAATATAGAGCTAGGTGAGAAAAGTAAGTCTCAGAACAATATTTGCTTTTCACTTAACCAACTAACATAGAGCTTAGCATGGCCAGGGTGTTATTCTAAACCTCATGCAAATGGTAACTCATTTAACCTCCTGTCACAATTTTATGAGATGGGACTTTTGTAGATAGGGAAACGAAGGCATGGAGAGGTCCACTAAGCTGTCCAAGGTCACATGGTCAGGAATATCAAAAAGTCTGGCCCCAGCATCCGTGTCTCTACTGCCGAACACTGCATGTGTGTGCAAGTGTACATGGCCATCATGTGTCTCTATGTGCTTATAAAGTGCCATGTACAGTCAGCAAGGATAGACACCAAACTCGTAGTGATGGCTGTTTCCAACAAGGCTTTAGGTGGGAAAATAGGAAAGAAAAGCCTCCATTTTTCTATTTAAGTATGTGTAAATTATTTTTTAAAATTATAATATTTGTTTTAGTATTTATATTCTAAATTTTAAAAACAAAAATAAAAATGTAACATCTTTAAGCATCTATTAGTTGCTAGGCATTGTGTGGTAGAGAGAAAGACATCAATATAGAAAAGAACCACACCTACTGTCTGGCAGCCCACAGACTAGGTGGGGAGAAACAGATGGGTTAAAATTTTGTTTGATGACTATTTCTTCTTAATTACTTATTCTGTGCCAGACACTGTACTAGTCACTTTTCTTAAGAAATCCTCACAGTAATTCTGATAAGTGAGAATTATTTCCCCCATTTTGCAGGTGAGAAAATGAAGGCTGAGAAAGATTAAAGGACCTTCCCAGTATCAGTGTGATAGTAAGTTGAATCAAGCCAATCATTGTTAAATTTAGGGGAGATATTTTTCCCACAGAGAAACACCAGAGCGTGTTCCCAGGTATCTCAAGTAGACATTATGCAGGCCACGTGATTTGTATCTGTCTACTCTCCCCATGGAACTGAAACTCTCCAGGGGCCCTTAGGAGGGTAAAGGTAAGAAAAGCAAGGACTTCTGAGGGTCATTTCCTCCAAGAAGCCAAGCCAAGCTGCAAGAAGGCGACGTCTCAAACTGTGGCTGTGATAAGACAAATCCATCTTCACTCTGGGAGAAGCACCTGTTCCCTGGCTCTCAATGGGAGATGCAAATGGCCCTGTGATTTAGACCTGTCTGGCTCAGCCACAGCTGTGCATGCCTCCTCCTGGGACAGTCACTTCTAGCCCTGTGTGCCACCCTAATGACAATGCAACAAAGCTTCTTCCCAGTGTTTGGTGTGTGATTTTTTAAAGCTTTCCAGGGCAGGAGACATCTCGGGGTCTGAGCTTGGCCAGACCTGAGGTTCTCAGCCCTGGTCACATGATAGAATCACCAGGGGAGCTTTTACAAAGCCCAATGCTCAACTTAGGTCAATAACCTTAGAATCTTTGAGGGTGGGACCCAGGCAGCAGTATTTTATTGTTTACATTCTCTAGGAGATTCCAACATGGAACTAACATTAAGAACAACTGGGGCCAGGCGCGGTGGCTCACACCTGTAATCCCAGCACTTTGGGAGGCCGAGGTGGGCAGATCACGAGGTCAGGAGATAGAGACAATCCTGGCTCCCACGGTGAAACCCCATCTCTACTAAAAATACAAAAAATTAGCCGGGCATGGTAGTGGGCGCCTGTAGTCCCAGCTACTTGGGAGGCTGAGGCAGGAGAATGGTGTGAACCCGGGAGGTGGAGCTTGCAGTGAGCCGAGATCGCGCCACTGCACTCCAGCCTGGGCGACAGAGCGAGACTCCGTCTCAAAAAAAAAAAAAAAAAGAACAACTGGTTTTGTCCAAGACTTTGCAAACTTCCATGTGCATGGGGATCACTGGGGCATTGTGTTAATAGATTCTGATTCATCACATCTGGGCTGGTTCCTGAGCAGCTGCCTTACTAACAATCTCCCAGGTGATACCAGTGCTGCGGGTCAATGGACCACACTTGGAGAAACCAGGGTTTAGAAGAAAAAGGTCTTGGCTTTCTTTCTTTTCCTATTCTTTATGCATGGAGCAAGAAAGGTGCTCAAACCATCTAGGATTGGTGAAATGGATGGGAAAATTGGCTAGAAATGACCCATCCATCCACTATCCATCCTTCCACTCAACATGTGGCATTCTAGAAACTAGGGATTCAGAGTTCCAGGAGATCACAGTCTAGCATGGGAAACATAGATAAAAATTAACCATAATATATAATGATACTACCACTTATTGAGTACTTCCTGTGTTCCAGACCGCATGCTAAGCCTGTTTAATTGTTTACCTTGTAATCCCACAACAGAGTATGACAAAAGCTTTGGGAATCATAAGAAAATATAGGTAATTCCTCACGCAGTGGAATGAAGGGTGGTGGACACTTGCCACACTGCTTCTGCTCCTGTTGTGGGAGGACTAGAGGGGGCTCACTCCTCCCTGCAGTTGATTTTCACTTGGCATTGGAGGCTTTTAGAGGGAGGATCCCAGACTCCCCCTCTCTGTCAGTGCTAATGAAACTGGACTTTCTTTCATTCCTTGAAATGAAATGAAATGACCTGTGACAGGTCCTTTTCCAGGGATTGAAAGGGTCTGGGTAGGATAAAGGCCCAAGAACATACATCTATCTGCTTCAACCTTCCGATTCCCTCACCACTTCTAGAACTATTCGCAGGAATGAAATACAGAAAGGCAGCGGTGTGTCTTATGAATCCATTCAATGTGAGACTTACACTTTCAGATATACGTGGATCAATGAGCGTGGGCTCCAAAGAGAGCTCTGAGGGTAGGGAGAACTGGAGTGCTGTGTAAGGTTATATAGCTTGTGCACTGCGCAGAGCACATGAGGACTGAAATTCAGCCCCACTCCATGCCTTAAACCTTGTGTTCCTATGCAAGGCTGCAGTTGCCACAGGGGGAGTAGCTCTGCTCTATTCACCAAGGCCCCATCCAAGCCATGTGCCCACAGGACTGTATCTGCCCAGTGGGGGCCCTGTGTATCAGTGAGGCCCTGAAAGAGGGGCTGGGAGGAAAGGCTGGAGGAACTGAGATGACTAGCCTAGGGGAGAAAAGATAGGCAGGCTCATGGCTTCAAAAACCCGCAATGCTATCCACCTGTAAGTAATACAAATTGACTGTCCTCTATGTGAAAATGTGAAATTCAAACTTTCTGAGCACTAACATGACACTCAAAGGAAATGCTCACTGGAGCATTCTGGATTTTGGATTTTCAGACTAGGGACACTTAACTATTAAGTATAATTATTTCAAAATCTGAAAAACAAATCCCAAATCCAAACTACTTCTCGTCCCAAGCATTTCAGATAAGGCCTAATCAATCTGTACTACTAATAATTAATATTGCTAGACTCCCAACAAAAACTCTAAGGGCTCGATAATATTTTATCCCCAATTTTCAGATAAGAAAACTGAGACTCAGAGAGGTGAAAGGATGGAGCAGGCACAGGGGCCCCATGGATGTTCTGATGGGGACCTGGCTCCCTGTGTCGGGCTTGATTTGTTTTGTGCAAAAATCATTCACACCTCTGTTTCAGGAGAAAAATAATGAGCTGTCTTTAATTTCTTTGACCTCTAAGGACTCCTTTTATAAATAATCACTCAGGAAGGATTTGAAAACCCTGCTGATCATCTGAAGACCGCCGCAGAGCCCCATCCGCTTATAAAAATGGAAATTGCCAGCACTGTACATTGCTTCACTTCTGGTCAATATTTTGATTTTCTTGTTTAGAACTTTAAGATAAACACTGACTCAGCCAGAATATTGTTTATTCCCCCCAGATACATCAGTCTCCATATCCACCTGAGGGGCAGACAGTGGGTTTCTCCTTCTGGCCAAATGGCATTTGCATTCTAAGTGTTTAGTGAGGGCCATGCATGGTGACAGGAAGGGGACAGGGGCCAGCTGAGATGGCACTGCCTGGGGCGCCATCCTGTCCTCTGGGCTCTGCCTGCTTGGGCAGGGTCGAGAGGCTCATTGTAGGGGGTCAGAGCAAGGCCTTCAGTTTGCCTTTCTTATTGAATTTAAAACATTCAAAAAGGATTGAAGAAAGAATCCAAACCAGAGTGATCTCAGAGAATTATAGAAATCAGAGAATATGCACTTAGCGAGAAGTGGGGATGTCTGGGTCATGTTCCTAAGCCTTAGGAGAAGGCCTCGCGGGAGAAGGGGGCAATTACCAAGCTGTCAAAGACAGAAACTGGGAGCAAGTCCTGGAGATGGAAGAATATTTATGAAGCATTTACCTGCTGTGTGCCAGATGCTTTATAATTATTCAGTTCTCACAATAACCACAGGAGCTTATTATTCCCATTTCAGAAATGGGGATACTGAGGCCAGACTCATGTGATTTGTGTGAAGTCTTGCAGCTGCTAAGTGGTAGAGCCAGGATCAAAACCCAATGTCTTTCTCCAAAGATATACAAGCGACCCATAAGCACATGGAAAGATGCACAGCCCTGTGAGTGTACTGAAAATCAATGAATTCTACACATCGCGGAAATGCAATTCAAAACCACAATGAGATATCATTTTACACCCGCTGGGGTGGCTGTAATCAATAAGACAGATATTAACAAGTGTTAACAAGAATGTAGAGAAATTGGAACCCTTATACATTGCTGGTAGAAATATATATGGAGCTGCCACTTTGGAAAATAGTCTGGTTATTCCTCAAAAGGTCAAATATAGGTGCCGTATGATCCAGCAATTCAATTTCTAGGTATATACCCCAGAGAACTGTAAACGTTATGTCCACACAAAAACTTGTACCTGCATGCTCACAGAAGAATCAATACGAATAGTAAAAAAGTAGAAACAGCCTAAATATACATTAACTGAGAGATGAATAAACAAAATGGGGTACATCCATATGGTACCAAATATTTTAATTACCAAATATTATTTGGCAATTAAAAGGCATTAAGTACTGAAACATGCTACAACATGGATGAACCTTGAAAACATTATAGGCAAGACAAAATGCAGAGTAATGGTGGCCTAGGGCTAGGGGAGATGGGGGAGTGTTTGGGTGTGTGTGCGCACGCGTGTGTGTGTGTGTGTGTGTGTGTGTGTTGGCAGAGCAGTGGCTAAGGGGTGCAGGTTTGCTTTTTAGGAGTAATGAAAATGTTGTAAAATTGATTGTGGTGATGGTTACATAGCTCTGTGAACATACTAAGAGTCAATGATTGTACACTTTGGGTAAATTGTATGGCATGTAAATTACATCTCGATAAAGCTGTTAAAATGATGTCCTGACTCCAAGTCCAGTGGTCTTGGGCACTGTTCTCTGTCCACTGTCTGCCCCTGGCCTGGACACTGGAGTCAGGCAGAGCCAGGTTCAGGATGCAGCTTGTCCACCCCACTAGCTCGTCCTAGTTTCCTTGAACAATGTGCTTACTTCCCTCAGCCTCAGGGCCCACCTCTGTGAAATGGGCATCAAAGGGAGTAAGTGTGATTAAAGGAGGGATTACACAGCACATTGCACAATAGCATGCTAAGTTATTAAGTGTGCTCAGTAAACGTAGGGCATGACCAACATCTGTCAAAAATTTAAATAGAAGGAAAAATAGCAATCACATTCCACAGTTAAGAAGTAATGAAAGTAGACATTTTGGTAAATTATTTCCCTCTTCCCAACACAGCAAAGATTCTTTTCACCTGGCCCATTCTATCAGTTCCAAAGAAATGGCCACTCCAGAGAGAAATGTGAGGTTTCTTCCAAAAATGGAGTTTTGCCAATACCCATGAGCCTCTAGATCCATCTCCAGGGGAGGACAGAGCCACTCGGAGCCCCCTGGAGTTCTGAGCCCTCCCGCCTCACCTGACCTTCACAGGCTGTTCCTACACACAGGGCACTGAACTTACATTGACTCCAGGAGCTGCATGTACTGCTCGTCGCCTCGGCCCCCTTCTACCTCGTGGTCCAGCTTCAGGATGATTTCGTTTTCAAACTGAAGATGTAGGAGACAAAAATCAACAATAACATCAGAAGGCTGAGGGCTGAAATTAGTCAATTCATTATTTCAACCAAAGCTTTAGGGAGCACTCTTTATCTCCCAGGTTGAGTGCTGGGATCTGGGAATGCAAAATGGAACAGAATACTATGTCTGCCTTTTTGGAGTGCCCAGAGAGTGAAGGGGAGCCATGGGTGATAACTGCTAGAGAGAGAGAGAGAGAGCACGTGCGAGAGAGCGCGAGTGCAGGAGAGGGAGAGAGGGAGGAGAGTCAGGGAAGACTTTTCACAACTCATGTTATTTGAGCTTGTTTTCAAAGGTTAAATAGAAATTTCGCAGAAACAGAAAAAGGGAAAGGACATTCCAAGAAGACAGCACCACATGTGCACAGGCATGGAGATATGTGACAGAACACAGAATCTTCAGGGAATGCCATGTTTCCTGGTCAGCTATTGTTTCTGCCCACTTGGCATTCCTTCATTCCTTTCTCCATATTTTGGTGATCACACCAGTCCTAACCACAGTCCTTGGGGCTCTGGTGGGCTGAGCATCCCTCCCTAGTTCCAGATGTGGAAACCTGACACAAGCCTAGCTCCTAATCCGAATATTTCATTGCCCAGGTCCCAGAATTAATAAAGGTCTGGACTGAGACAGTGAGACCCTAAATCTGAGGCTTTATTGGACCTCTTAGCAAAATGAGTCTTTTTGCTCAAGCTGAAGATGGAAGGTTGTGAGCCTCAGGCTGCTGCTGACCACAATGAACGAGTCTGTCTGAGAATTACACCAATACAGGGCAAGCAGAGAGGGGAAGATACAGAGAGACAGAGACCTGATGCCATTTGTGAGCCCCTGCATTCAGCCACACCTGACACTTTCCCATTCATATGAGCTCATCTGTGTATATATCAGCCAGTTTGAATTGGAGTTTTGTTCCCTGCAACCAAAGAAATGATGAAAAATACTCATAAAACATGGAGCAAATGTCAGGTCTCAGAGAGTCAAGACTGGTGACAATGGTAATGATCAGAGATCAGATTAGGTAAGTGATCAGAAAGCAAGTATCCATTTACAGTTCCACCAAATCTTGTTGCATTGAAGCCACAGAATGCTTTGTCTCCCTACTTTCCATGTTAAGAAGCATTTCACCCACTGGAGTGCATGGCTTATTCAACGCATTGTTTTGAAGTCACCCAACGTCTTTTTAACATGATTTTGTTGCAAAATGGTTTTTACTATTTTAGTATTATACCCTGAAGAGTCCATCCAAATCATGCAGTCCACCCTTCCCTCATTTTACCATTAAAAAATAAACTGGCACCTGGAGAGGGAAAGGGGAGCTTCGCAAAGGTCACCAAGACCAAAAGAGGACTTGGGGAGTCCTGACCTCTAACTTGACCTCTTTACACCCGGTCTTCATAATACTTCATGAAGTCTGGAGGTCACGGATCACCTTTAAATGTGACAATGCATGAAGAGCAGCCAGCCCTTGCTTGGTACAACCCTCGGTGTCAGTTATTATTACGGATGAAGAAGTAGAGGCTCAGGGAGTTTAAGTGACCTGTCTAAAGTCTTAGATGAATGGCAGAGACCTTTGGCAGGCTCTTTCCTGGGCATAAAGGATAGAGCTCCATGGAGTTGGAATCTTTAGGTGATGAAAAGGCAGGGACCACATTTGCTCTTCCCTCTGGTTCACACATCATCCGTGATGCCATCGTTCCCTCACTTTTGTGCACAAAGGATCTAAGGGAGGGACCAAAAGCTTGTGCTGATACAGCACAAATGCCAAAGAATTTCCGGTGAGTTGCCTCAGTTGGGGAAGACTTATTGAAGGAGATATACCGGGCCTGGAAAAATGGGTAGGACTGTGATAAATGTGAAAAGGAAGGCATTCCAGATGGGGGAAACGGTGTGAGCAAAGCTGTCGAGGTGGGAACGTGGAGAAAAATGAAGACAGCAGTTCAGCTTGAGCAGAGAAGAATGGATGGACGGACAAATGGAAGGAAGGAAGGAAAGAAGGAAGGAAGGAAGGAAGGAAGGAAGGAAGGAAGGAAGGAAGGAAGGAAGGAAGGGAGGGAAGGAGGGAGGGAGGGAGGGAGGGAACAGACACCTAGATGAGACCCAGTGTGGCAAGAGTCTAGACTGCCAGTCTGCAAATGAATCACGTCCCTTCTATGGTGCATCCTGTCAAGCATTATGTCTGTGTTGAATATTATCCAATGTCAAGGGTTGGGGACTATCATGCTTAGAGATGTCTTCTCTGCCAAGCCTAGAGCAGGAAGAAATACAGCTAAGGGGCTATACAATGAGTCTGCTGTGCGGCTGTCTGGCTTTAAATCCCTCACCGCTTCCCTCTGCCATCTTGGGAAAGCTGGTAGGTCTTTCTAATCCTCAGGGTCAGGATTTAGATCAGGGACTGGCAAACATTTCCTGTAAAGGGCCAGACAGTAAATAATTTAGGCTTTGGAGGCCAGATGGTCTCTGTGACAACTACTGAACTCTGCTGCTGTAGCACAAAACCAGCCCTAGACAACACATACACAAATTGGCATGGCTGTAGTCCAATAAAAGTTTATTTACAAAAGCAGGTGGAAGGATGGATTTGGTCTGTGGGCCAGAGTTTGTCTACCCCTTATCAATACAATGGGCATAACAGTAGTACCTACAGTGTGGAGTAGCTATAGGGCACAGAGATTTTATATGTAAAGCACTAGCAAAGTGCCTAACATTAAGTGTGTGCTGTGTCCCTCGACTTGTCATCACCACTAATGTTATTGTTATTACTGCCGAATGTTACTAGAAAGCAGCGCAGGGGGAGAAAAGTGCATTTTTTCTTGTCTGAGTGGTTCACTGGGAAATGCTGGCATGATTCTTCCTGGTGAGCTGAACTTTTCTTTGGAGCACAGAAGTGGTTGAGGTAAATAAGCACTTGTCTCAGGATCACAAAAGAGCCTGCCAGGAGGGAAATTACAGGGTTCCAGGGAGTGTGTGAGACAAATGATACCATACCACCATGCCTGAGCCCTTGGGGTGAGCTGGAGGGGTAAGGTCTCAGTCAGGCATATCCCAGGGTCAGTACTGTGCTCAGAAATGGCTATGCTCACAGTCTGTGGCATTGAATAGACTTGGTTTGAGTCTTGCTTTGACTTTTTTCCCAGCCCTGTGACCTTAGCCAAGTTAATAAACATTTCTAAGGCTTAATGTGCTCATCTATTAAATGGAGATTTGAAATAGCATCTCCTTCATAGTGGTACTGTAACAAATTAAAGGGCAAACACACGTATAAGGCACTTGGCACATAGTAAGTGCTCAATAATTGTTAGCAAAGCTCATCATGCTATTGTCATTGTCATCATCATAGGCATCATACTCTCATTTAATCTTTACAACAGCCAAGGGAGAAGAATGTCATCATCCCCATGTTACAAATGAGGAGGCTGAGGCAACGTAGGACCTTGGGTGACAGAGTGTAAGACTCTGTCTCAAAAAAAAAAAAAAAAAAAAAGGCTCTCCCAAACATACACTCCATCATGATGCTGCAACAGTCCTTACCCCCAACACTGTCACCATCCAGAGTTGAGGATGTAGCTCTGGCTTCTCCAAATTACTTCCATTTTCATCCACAGCTACATGACTGCATCACATCATTGACTCCTTACCCCACTGCTGCGAGGTGGATGTTTGCTAATGAGTATCCACAGATTTGTATTGAGCCACTACAGAAGTCAGATTCTACAGAGGCCCAATACAAATCTTGAGAAGCTCTAATCGAGAAAGGAGGAGTGGACTCCAGGAGCCCAAACCTTCTGCCTGGGCCTCCCTCTTCCAGGAGACTGGCCTGATATGGGCCTCGTGTTTGCTTCATGCCTTCCCTGCATTGCTTCTCTTGCCTCTCCTGGCTGCTTTAGAATATCTTGGCTATTTTTATCATCTTGTTCTCCTAGAATGTTTTCTGATTGGAGTCCAGCCCTGTAGAAGTATGAGATTTGGGGAGTGATTGCTCTTCCTCACACGTCTGGTGCTGACATTGACATGGGAAGAGCAGAGATGTTATTAGAGGCCTGGATGTCAGGAAGATGACAAGGATGACATCAACACCAGTAAGTCTGCCTTTGACCTCCTCTGTTATGAAATGCCAGTTATCCTGGGTGGAAAGAAGTAGAGTTGGGAGGAACCTGGAAAAGAGAATGTCACGTGAGAAGGGGTGTCTGGAAGTCAGCGCGGCTTTCTAATTTTGAGTTGTCTCTAATCGTTCCAATTCATCCCCCAAAAGAGCTTGGGATGGGAACCTCTAATGGCAGTTGGATACCCACTTTACAGATGAAGAAGCTGAGGCTGAGAGAGGTTAAATAACTTACCCACATTGATTCAGCTTATAAGAAGTAGGTCTATCTGAATCCAAACAACAGTACCGAGAACGCAGCAAGCACTCAGTACAGATTTATTGAATTGATGTAATCTTTTCCACATTATGTTCTAAACAATTTAAATCACCAGCTTACTCCACGCCAAGATGCAGTCTCAGTGGAATCTGCTAACATGGCTATCTCCGTCTATTAATTAATTCAATGAGCAAAGATTGAGCTCCTACGGTGTTCAGGCACTGTTCTAGGTGCTGCTGTCAGATGCTATCCCCTCTTCTTTCTCTGAGAGAAGAATTCTCTCTGGGATCTCCTGCCTGCTGAGGGCTCAGATCCCCATGCTGACTGGTACACAGTCCTGTTCTACAATCTGCATCTAGCCAACCAGTCTCCAAGGTCTCTATACCCCAGGACTCCCACTCATTCCCACCAATAGCATCCAGAACACCTACATCCCCTCTTTCCACAAAGAATTGGCCAGCAAGACAGCTGGTGTACTCGGGGCAAGGGGATTACTCAAGCAGTCATTAGCAACCCCCATTATTCTAGTTTATAAAAACATTTGCTGGAATGCACCTCCCTGTGCCGATGTGGTTCCCCTGAATGACATGGGATGGGGGTCTAAATGCCTCCATCCATTCATTCTGGGAACACTGACATTGTGCCCACCACGTGCATCTCAGGCACTTGACAGGGACTGGGAGTTCAGGACTGAGAGACCAGCTTTGGCCCTCAAGAGCTCACAGTCTGCTGTGGAACACAGACCTATGAGCAGGTAATTGTGCTGTGTGGGACAAGTGTGATGACCGCTCAATCCAGGCAGGATAGGATACGTTTCATTCTGACTAGCATGTGTCCTGGCCAAGCCGGCCACAATGGGGTCCACCTAAGGCCCTCTTGCTGAAACTGTCCTTCCACAACCCCACCAAGGGAATCATGTGGTGTACCAGGGGTGGGACATCCAGTCCTAGACAATGGACAGAGACCCCCGAGATGGTCTGGGATGAAGTGCTACACTCATGAGGGATAAATGTCATCAGTCAAACCCATCAGCTGTCTATGAAATTTGGGTGAGAGGTGAGACAGGGAAATCTGGCACAGAGCTTATAAAAGAAACCCAGAGCAGAGAAAGAGATTGCCCTGGGGTTGCCTCTTGTTCAGCCCCCAGAACCGTGAGCCACTGAGAGTCTAACACCTTCCTGTCCTAGTTCCAGCCTATGTATACTTGGCTTGAGAAAATCTTTGTCTCTTGTACCCAGATGAACCACTGCCCCAGGAGGCAGGAAAGCCTTTCCCAAAAAGTAAAGCCTCAGCTGAAGGGTGTCTAGGATCTCTTCAGGCAAAGATATAAAAGGAAGAGCCCATACAAAGGCATAAGAGCTAGAGAACTTCAAGAAACTGGCATCAGGCCAGAGGGTTTGGTATGACCTGGGAGCAAAGCCCCTGCTCAGTTTCCTCTTGGCTCTGCTATTTCCCTTAAGCAACCCACATTTTAGAGAGGGAACAATGTGGTCTTCTGGGGACCTGGTTCTTCTCTCATGGGATTATTTTGGCATCATGTACTAATGCCACTTTGCACACCAGCCCTCCTGGATTCTAGACCCCAGTATTGGGGTTCACTCTCGTTCTGGCCATCAAGGCTGCTTGGGATTCAGCAGGGATTCACCTCCCTTTCCTGGAGACACCTTCCATGACTGCTTACCCTGAACCAAAAACCATGCCTGGGCCGGCGTATCCCCGAGCTGAGCTCCTATGAAGCACGCCAGCTGGTTTTCACATGGGCATCTGCCTCATTAGTCAGCCTGATTGTCCTGTCTTTTTTGATAAGGGAGCTGCGAGGAGAAGTGATTAGGGAACATGCTCAGAATGAATGCACACTGGAGTGAGGAGCCCAAGGAATGACTCTATACGGAGAAAACAGGTGGGTGCATGCCACAGAGAAACCAAGATACGAGAATCCTTTAGGGAAGGAAAATCACACTAGAGTGAAACTCTCTGAGGCTGCCAAACATCTGTCAGGTCACAATCCAGGCAACGACCAGGTCTTATTTCTTTTTGGGACATTGTACACCATCAGGCACTTGGTGTGTTTCTTTTGCACACCTGTTCCCAGGAACTCTTCTAAGGCACCCGCTGGCCTCAGAAGTGGGTCTGAGGGTAAGTAAACTGCCCTTCGTCTCATGGCGTGTGCCCTTTACGTGGTCCCAAGCTGCACAGACCTTGCTCCCACTTAAAAGGCAGCAAATTCCAAGCTGCCTTCAAACACTCAATCCAAGCTTTCACCTTCCACTCCCCCTATCCCAACTGCTCAGATACGGCCTCTTTCTCCATTTGACCTACTCAGCCAGATTTCTTTACAGGCTCTTCACAAAAAGGCAGCTGGCCACTAGCCCTTCTGGCACTAGAGTCCCTATAATGCTACCTCTCACAGTGATATCATCATAGCAAACTAGTCTCTTATTCCTCTCAGAACAACTTTCTCCCATGTGAGATTAATAGGATGGAAAATCCAATAGATGTTTCTTGCACAAATAAATTTAAGAAATGACAGATCTGTTTGCCATGGAATGTCTCAGTGCCTTGACTCTATTAATATGCACTGGGAATCTCTAAGATGGGTTCCAATATGCAGTGATTTCCAAAGGTATTTAACCTTGAAACCCTCTTCCCTGGAGCATCTTGTTGGATCAGTGCTTCATGGACATATTTAGGGAAAGCACTGCTCTAGCAGATACCAATCAGCCAGTATTACTGGGAGATACTGGTGGCTGGATAGTACGGGTTGCAGCATGGGTTTAGGAATCGCAGTGACCTGCTTGCTGCAGCCTTTGTTCTGCTACTTTCTTGATTGTGACTTTCAGCAGATGACGTCAGCTTTCTAAGTCTCAGTTTCTTTTCATCTTTAAAGTGGGTAAGATAAGATAATGTTACCTACTTCACAGAGTTGTAGTTTAAAAAGACTGCATGAACTAATACATAGAAAATAGGTGTCATATGCCTGATATGTAGTAAATATCTAAAGTCAGTCATTATAATCATCATCATCATCATCATTAGATGCAGATGAGGAAGATGAAAAATGCACAGAAATGAGTATAAAGCAAGGCAGTAGATAATAGTCATACCTTAGACATCAAATAACAGGAATGGGGAGAAAAGACCTTCTAGGTGACATGGCATTTGGATGGGCTTCGCAGGATCAGTAAGAGTTTAGAAGGTGTTGAGAGGCAGGGTTGTGACTGTGCAGAGAAGTAGCAGAAAGAAAAAAAATGCCCGAAGGACACCCACAGAGGCAATGCCATTCAGGTGGGCTGCGGGGATGGTGGAGAAGAGGTAAGGCGGGGAGAGTTGGAGAGGATGGCTGAGACATTCTTCAGAAGGCTGGAGCCGGGAGGGCCGGGGATGCTGGCTAGAGGGTGTGGGCTTTATTCTGTGGGGATTAGGGTATTAATGGGTAAAGGAAGGGAAACATCCCTAAGGATCTTAAGGAAAGGCAGTTTGGAATCTGCTGCCTTTTAAGTACCCATTTTAAGGCAGGATATGGTAGGAATAAGAGGTAGATGCACTGGGGGAGAGAGGAGGGTGAGAAGCTCAGTTAGAGGTAAAACTGAGGATGTGGGGCAGAGAGGACAGGGGGTGAGGCCTGAGGGAACGGCTCAGGCAGCCTTGATGGGACTTAAAGACCAACCTTCCTAAACAGGGTAATGTCACTGAGCAGTACCGGGAGCCAATTGTGGCAACTGGTGCTTCTTCCACTGCCAGAGCTCCCAGTGTGACCAGGCCCGGGAAATGGACCTCATTGTCCAAGTTTGACGAAATATTCAATGACAATATTTGGCCAATGGCTCTCGTGTTTCACAGAGGTTCTGGCGCCCTCCATGCTGAGGCCAGTGTCCTATTCCCTCACAGATCCACAGGTCCCTCCTGAGCAACACGTCCCTAACTCCATCTGCTATCAGATTTGGTGTGTGGACAAGTGTGACACCCAGCAGGGCCGGCGTTTTCTAGATAATGTAGATCCGCAGAGTCAGCCCAGAAGATGAAGTACTAGACAAGAGTGGGTGAGAGAGTGGGACAGGTGGGACGGGTGGGCCCTGGGAACACATTTTTAGGGAATCATTAGGTAGAGATGTGGGGTTCTTAGATTCTTGAGAAAGAGGCTAAGCAAATACACAGCCAGAAACTGCATTTTAATCTTGTCCTTGGACGGAAAAGCTTGATAGAATACCGACCAAATCTGATCTGCCAGCTCATTCCGGACCCATGAATAAATGTCCCTATCCTGCCGCCGAGCCTCTCAATGAAGCTCAGGGAGATGGAATGAGGATATCATTATGGGGAAATGGGCTGGGGATTAGGCATGCTGGCATGAGTTTCCGGCCTCATTTTTTACCTTTTTGAAATCCCCACTTCTTTGATATTCACACAGCATCATGTCGAAGAAGATTGGTATGGTGGCTTTCCGGAGCTCAGCCTCAGGGATAAGTGTCATCTCTAATATAGGTCCTACCATGCCTGGGATGAAGCAGATTTTGTTCTGACCTGAAAGAGAAGAGGAACATGAACACATAAAACAGTTCGGCGACGCACAGGTCCTCCTCCGACCAAGCCTGGGGAAAGAAAAAAAGGGAAGCATAATAGTAAAAACAATAGTTAACACTTATATAGTTGTTTACCATGAGCCAGGCACCGTTTTGAACACTTAACATATATTAACTCCCGTTAGAGCGCATGCATTATCCAAAACAAGCCCGATTATTAAGGCTAATAACACGGGCGTGCGTGTAGAAAGCACTTCACTGTTTACAAGGGTTTTCACCTGCAGTGTCTGCTCTGCAAATAGGGCCATGATTGAATATGTTAGAGATGGCAAAGCACAGCACATTTGAAATTATGTCTGTCTGAAATACATGCCGTGTTGCTGAGAGTTTTTAAATGGGATTTTACCAACTGTTTTATGAAATGAGAAAAGCAAAATTTGCTACTAAGAACTCGCTATAATAGTGTGGTCAGTGGAACGGGGAGATTTAAAACATAGCTTGAGGATCAGATGAACCACAACTTCTCGTCTCTTCTGCCTCATTTCAAGGCATTCCCTCCATCCCCTCCCCTGGCTCCTGGCATTCTAGCCTAGCTGGGGTTGCTCAAATGTCACAATTTCACCTTGCTTCCCCCACAGCAAGGCTTGTGCACATTATGCCCCTTTGCTGAGAATACTTTTCCCTGTCTGCTCCCTAACCCAATACCCATTACCACGCAGCCTCCCCCAGATGGGTGCTATCTTAGCTTAAACACTCCTTCCTCTGGGAGAAAAGCCCCCTCTCTACACCTCCCACCCTTAGCTAGAAAAGATTCCTTGCACTGCCTTTATATGTTTTGCCAATTTTGAAATGATATCTTTATATGTCGAATCGTTTGATTAACATCTGCCTCCCCCACTAGAGACCATGTCTGTTCTCCTCATTGTGTCTATAGCACTGAGCACAGGACTTATCAGATGATCAGTAAACACCTGCTGAATGAGAAAATAAATTTTCCAGCTCCTACATTCCCTGGCTATGGGACTTGTATATATGTCTCATAAAAATGCAAAAGTGATACCCAGCTGTTGAGAAGATCTTGCAAAAATATGTCCGCATGTACTTAGCACAGAGCGCAGAAGAATCAGTGCCAAGGGCAGTGTTGCCCAGTGGTTAAGGGCACCAACTCTGGAGCCAGACGGCCTGAGTGTGTAAATTGACTCCACTATCAATTACAGCTGTGTAATGTTGATCAAGTTTGTCTCCCTTCTCGGGGCCTCGGTGTCCTCATCTGTAACTTGGAACAATAACAGTATTTATCTTATAAGGTTATTGTAAAGAATCAAAGAAAAAATGAGTGATTATTTAGCAACTGCCCAGGACAATGCTTGGCACATAGCCCACTTTCTACAGCATTAGCTATTAATATTATCTTTGTGATGTTTGGTCAAAATGAACCATAAAGGGGAGCCGTATTGAGCAGAACTGAGCAGAATCTTCAGAAAATATGCATCAGAAGTAGCAGATAGGGAATAAAGAGGAGCACTTAGGAATTGCAGGGATTTCCTGGGAAGTGAGGGTCAGCATATTCAAGCAACCCTATTATTGAAGCTCACACCTCTATATTTCATCAGCTGCTACCTCCTTCTCCTTGTGAGTTTTGGCACCCATCCTGGTTTCATCCATTGTCAGGATGAACATTTGTGGTCTTCGCCTGGGGCAGAGAGCACCTCAGGGTGCAGAAACTCAGGTGGTATGGCGTGTGGCCTGGCACAGCTGCTTGCGATTAAAGCTCAGACAAGGA
Source organism: Homo sapiens (assembly GCF_000001405.40). Lineage (NCBI taxonomy): Eukaryota > Metazoa > Chordata > Mammalia > Primates > Hominidae > Homo > Homo sapiens. Next base: position 170,017,177 of record NC_000005.10, on the reverse strand, counting down.
GCTGAGAGGGAAAGCAGTAAGAAAATGAATTTTCTTTCAACCTAAATGAGGCTTAATGTTGGAGTAGTTGCCCAGGATTCAGATTAAAATAAAATAAAAAAGGCATCATCCTAGGAATATCCTCAGTTAGTGAGAATGAAATGGTGGAGTCAGGCAGAGTGGAGTGAAAAATAAAGACACTTTTCCAGGATATAAGCTTCATTATATGATGCATTTGGATTACACTTAAGCCTCAGAGTCTTTGCTTTGGCCCAAATAGAAAACAATAACAACAACAGCTTCCTTTCTGGCAGGTTTATAGTAATTGCTAATCTAGGTTTCTGATTTCATCCTTCAAGATCCTTTAAGTCTTTTTCAAACCACAGTGGAGTTTTAAAATTCAAAGTCAAGTGCAAAAACAGGTAGAAGGTAAATGGGAAACTGTCAGATAAGCCACCACGGAATGGAGAAATTGCTTATGCAACAAAGGCCTTTAGAATACTGGAGGGCATTGGGCATGATAAGGATAAATTTTAGATGGTTTAAAATAAAGGGCAGACATGCTGTAGACCCGTGATTTCTTAAATACTTTTGATCTGCATTCTTTACAGTCAGTTGAGGAGATATTTGGCAGAATAGGGAAAGCGGAGAGAGAGATGGTGATCTCCAAATACAGTGTGACCTCAATGGCCCTTACAATGCTCCCTTCAGAAATGTTATTCATTTACATAAAAGTGGAATTTCAGCACATTGGATTTTGTGTTCAAGTATCCAAATGCATATGTGTTTGCATATCTTTACATACATAGATGCATACACATGCACGCAGAACACATTTGTGGCTAATTGAATACAAACTCACTTGGGAAAAAAAGTGCTCATGCAAGAGACACACCTGCTGCTGTATTCGAGAAAAGCCAAGGAAGGGCATTTACTAAGAGGGTCTTTTTCATGTAATTGAAGCTGAACTTCACTGGGAACAGATACCAATTAGAAAAGGCTATTAAAGTGCCAATAAGCCAGCAGGAAAAATCCAAATGCCAGATTACACAGGCTTTGGGAGAGGATCTGCTGATAATGTAAGCACAGAGAAGAGCTCAGGGGGGTGTGGGTGGAAAGGGGTCCCATGAATTCTCTGGTCTTGGTTTCTCATCTGTACAGTGGCCTCCTCCATCACTCCTCCCAGGAGTGGACTGTAGGGTAAAATGCAAAGGATCTGAGGGCACTGAGGAGATGACCTTGAAAGAAACAAGAAGGAAGGAGGGAAGGAAGGAAAGGTGAAAGGAAGGAAAGAAGGAAGAAAGGAAGGAAGGAGGGAAGGAAGAAAGGAGGGAGGGAGGGAAAGAAGAAAAGGAGGGAGGGAGGGAAAGAAGAAAAGGAGGGAGGGAGGGAAGGGAGAAAGGAGGGAGGGAGGGAGGCTTTTGTGAACTTGGCTGAGAATTAAGTTGGGCAAGCCATGGGCTTCTGAGGCTGACATGTAACAGAAAGGTCTCTCCAAAGGCTGGCACAGACGCTGCAATGAACAAGGATGAGGGCAAGTTACGACTCCCTGGATTTCAGAGTCCAGCAAGCCTCCGGGGGACTTTGAAATAAAGCTGAGCTGATTAAAAACAAACAAACAAACAAACAAAAAAAACCTAAAATCAGTTCAAAAGGGGAAGACAGAACACAGATCCACCGATCTTTGCTCCTCTGTCTTAGGCTTGGAAAAGCTCCCTCCTGGCAATGCTCTGAAACAGGCAATCAATTCTCTCCTCATTGTTCAGGACTTGCCCAGCCTCAGCTTCCTTCCAGGCCCCGTAGAGTCTTCGAGTCTGACAGCCTGGGTCAGGTCCTGCCACTGCCACTCCCTGGTTGTGTGGTATTGTGCTTGTCATTTACCTTCCCTGAGCCTCCATAATCTCATCTGTAAGATGAAGATAATAAAATCTGCCTAATAGAATTGTCGAAGCTTAAGTGCAAACGAAGGGCCCTGCACAGTGTCCGGCACATTGCAAAAGCTCAGGAAGTGTTGATGCTGTTGCTGCTGCTGCTGATGGTAAGTACTTTGGGTTCAGCTCTATGCCGAGTTTTAGATTAAGCAATATGAAAAGACAAGGCCTAACCCCATGGAGCTCCCTGAAGCATTTCATGGAAATTTTCAGGCTGGTCATTTTATTTGTTCACTTTTAAAGCAAACAGCTGAACTGGGGAAAGGGTCAGATGGATTTATCTTCCCTACCATGGCTGACACTCACAACCCTCCACTCTTCTCTGTCTCATTGAAATATTTTCTCATTTGTCCTCAAAGATGTTTGAAAAGCCCCAGTTGGATCATGTTTATTCACAGAGTATTTTCCCTATGACTTTCCTTGCTCTCAGGATAAACTACCTGGGAGCATGTCTGGTCCTGTGCTCCCTCCCCATACCCATTGTGTGCCTCTCACCTAGCCACCCTCCCTCCACCTGCCTACTGCCCACTCCTCCAGGGCACACTGCTTTTCCCACCTTGGGCCTTCCTCCACCAACGAGCTCTTCTTCCTTCCCTCTCCTGGACCCCCCCTCCATAGTCTACCCCCCCCAACACATGTCTCTGCAAGTAAACCCTTTCTCATTTTCTAGGGCTGTGCTATTCTGTATGGAAGCTACAAGCTGCATGAGTCTTTTGAGCCCTTGAAATGTGGCTAGTCCATTAGAAATGTGCTGCAAGTGTAAAAAATCCACCAGATACCCAAAAAAGGAAAACAAAATCTCAGCAATATTTTATATTGATTACATGTTTAGTATAACACTTTAGAATATGGTGTTAAATGTATTGTTAAAATTAACTTTATTCTTTTAATTTTTGAAAAATAAAGACACTAAAGCATTTATAATTAGAAGGCTTGTATCCTATTTCTAAAGAACAGGTAACATATTCCACAGGTTCTGGGGATTAGGACATGGACATCTTTGGGGAGCCTACCACAGTGCTCGATGTTGGTTATTACATGAATGAGTAAACAAATAGACGGATGGCCACTCTAATCCCATTTCCTATTTATTCCCAGCAGCCTCTCCCCAACCCCAGGAAGCCATGCTTGCTTGGGCTGGTTGCTCCCTTGTAATATCTGCCCTTTCCCTGTCTTTCCTTCAGCCCTGACATAGTCCTCCTTCCAATTCAGGGATTCTGGCTCTTCCTCATGGAGGCCATCCTTGGCTTACTCACTAAGTAGGAGTCTGTCACCAATTCTCTGGGTGCCCCAAGTTTCCATTCTACAGCTATTTCCCCTTCGCAACTGTCATTAAATAATGCTGCAGTTAGTAGGTAACTATTCAGTGCAATGATCACCAGTCCATGAAGTCAGGGGCTATATCTCTAACCTGATTCGGGTTTTAACCCCAGCTACTGGCATAGTACCTGGCATGTAGAGGATGTGTGTGTTAGTTTCCTACAGCTGTTGTTATAAATCACCACAAACTTAGTAAATTAAAACAGTACACATTTATTTTGTAATAAGTGTAATACTTCTGGAGATCAGAAGCCTAAAAGGGGTTGCATGGAGCTAAATCAAGGTCTGGGCAAGACTGAGTTCCTTCTGGAGGATCTAAGGATTAATCTATTTCCTTGCCTTCCCCAGCTTCTTTTTCCAGCCTCTAGAGGCTCCCTGCATTCCTTGGTTCATGGCCCCTTCCTCCATCTTCAAAGCCAGCAACACAGCTTCTTTAAATTGCTCTCTGACTCTGATTTTCTCCAGCTTCCGTTTTTCACCTATAAGGATGCTGTAATTGTACTGAGCCCACTTGGATAGCCCAAGACACTCCCCATCTTCAAGATCTTTAACTTTATCACACCTTAAAGTCTCCTTTGCTGTGTCAGGTAACATATTCCACAGGTTCTGGGGATTAGGACATGGACATCTTTGGGGAGCCTACCACAGTGCTCGATGTTGGTTAGTAAACGAATGAGTAAATGAATGGACGGATGGCCACACTAATCCCATTTCCTATTTATTCCCAGCAGCCTCTCCCCAACCCTAGGAAGCCATGCTTGCTGGGCTGGTTGCTCCCCTAGAATACCTGCCCTTTCCCTGTCTTTCCTTCAGTCCTGACATGGTCCTCCTTCCAATTCAGAAGCCATTTCCCCACATGGAATCATCCTTATAGTCCTCACTTATATCCCTTTTGGCCTGAACTCCTGAGTCCCCACTACACATTTCACTTTGTCACTTTTCCCTACTAGATAGCTCCACTCCCTGGACCTCCGCACCAAGCTGAGCACTCTGTAGACGCTTAAACAGTAATGGACAAATTGCCCTCGAGGCTTGGCCAGGCCAACCTCCCTACATGGGAGGCCGAGATGCCAGGCGCTAGAATGTGTCCTTCTTTCCCACAACGAATGTTAATACAGCAGCTCAGTGTTAACCCAAGTGAATGTGGGAGGATTAAGTGCAAAGTCTTTTGAGCAAAATGTGCATTTCTTCATGCCGAGCAGAAATCAAGTGTTACGATGCTATACTACTGGGAAAAGTAAATTCCATTTGGCGTCCGCCCGGGATCCAAAACAACAAATGCCATTAACCCCTGAGTGGCTGGCTCCTTAACCACATGTTGTCTTTCTCCCCATGAAGACCTCCCTGCCCATACCTCCTCTCCACACACACACAATTTGTCTAGATTTGCCCCTGAAGAATGTTAAATAATCTTCAAGCCTGAGATTATAGCTTTGCAATTAGCTATCTTATAAACACAGGGTTGCTCAAGTTGTTCTTGATGAGAAGAAGATGATGATACTGATGATGGTGATGATGATGCCCTGATTGCTTCTGGCCTTAAAACAAAATTTAGAAAACTAACATGCATTATGATTTACTCATTATCAGTCATCTTTGAAAAAACGTAGGTCGTTGGTTATTTCACACCCTTTGAAACAATATGCATACACTTTGAAAAAACGTAGATCGTTGGTCATTTCACATCCTTTGAAACAATATGCATACACTTTGAAAAAGCGTAGATCGTTGGTCATTTCACACCCTTTGAAACAATATGCATACACTTTGAAAAAAATTATTTGTAAGAACATTGCACTTGGGATCAAGAGACAGGACAGGCTCTTTTAGCCTCAATTCAGTCACTGGCTTGTTTTTGACCTTAGGAATGTCCTTCTGCTTCTCTTGGCCTCGTCTGGCAACTTTACCTATAAAATCGGCAGGGTTGAATTAGATGATGTATCAGTTAAGGATGCAACAGAAATCTGACTACCATGACTAAACTGAAGCTTTAATTTTCTTGTTTAACAAGAAACCAAAAGATGGCCAGTCCAGACCTGCTCCTTCATTCTCAGAATGTAAGTTTTGTCCTCATGGCTTTAAGATGGCTACTGCCCCTCCAGCCATATTGTCCTTTTCCAGAAAGAAAGAGAGGGGAGGGCTGTGGGCAAAAATGCATTTTGTTCATTCAATCTGTCCTCTCCTTGCCTCTTTTTTGTCTTGTTTTGTTTTTAATTGGAAAAAAATACTTTCCTGTAGACCTAACAGGTATGTTTCTGCTGATTCTCATGGGACAGACTTGGGACACGTGGCTGTTAACTGCTACAAGGCATTGTTAATTGAGCACATTGCAATCCTAAAACACTGAATCCTGGGTTCAGGTAGCCAGGAACAAGAGAAGCCTGGTTCTTCGGCTCTTTCTTGCCCTTCTAATAAATACCTTCTCTGATTAAGGCAGCTGCAGTCAATGCCTTTTTTTTGCAACCAACCCTCAACCCCTGACAGATGTATCTTTTAATTGCATTAATTCATCCTACAGGTTTTTGCTAACAGCAGGGAGTCTGTGATGCTTCAGAGCAAACACTCTGGCTAAGGTGCTTGACCAGTTTCTGCCTCTAACCCACTACATGATCTTGTACAAACCCCTTCTCTATGGACTTCAGTTTCCTCATTAGTAAAATAGTGAATTGGACCAGATCAGTTGCTTCCAACTGTTCTCTGCAGTGCTCAGGGCTTCCCCCTAGAAAACCCTCTACAAGAGAAGTTCAAGAGCAGCTTGTTATAATGGGCTCTGGGTCTCCCACCTCACTTCAATTACAATAGTTCTGCTTTCATCCAATTTACTTATTAAGCAGGAGAATTTTTTTATTGGTCCTCAGCTAAAAATAAATATTTGAAAAATGCTGGACAATATGATCTTTGAAGGGCCCTTCCAGCTCCGATGTTCTGTGATTCTAAGCAGGTGGAATATTTGGTAACATCTTTTCATTCATCAGCATAATTGGGAGTGCAGGAATGCCTGCCAAAACATAATCTATATCTAAATAAAATCTTCTGTGTGCAAAACAATGGCAATGAAGGACATTCAGAAAAGAGCAGGCCATGTGGAAGGACTTGAAACAAACAAAGCACAGATCCCTGTTTTGCAATTCTGGCAGTGCCTGGGGTGTCGAGCTGGGGAAGGAAGCCCGCCACAGCTTTCTCCAGCCTCTGCTGTTGTACAGCAACGAATGCAAACTTGGAAGTGAACTGAATCTGGGTCCATCATGTGTTGAGCACATCTGATGTTTTGAAAACTTTCAATTAGTTTTCATTAGTATTCATAAATTGGAAAATACATTGAAAAACCCAGTCTCCCGGCTTCTTTTGAAAAACTGAAAGGTATGACAACGTTGGGATTGCATTTCAGTAGGACAGCTATTAACTGGAGAGGAACAGTGACTGTCTTTTTTCTCTGCTTGGGCATGTCAGTTTCACTCTGCCGCAGGCCCTTACTCCTTCTCATCTTCCTGACCCTGAGGCCAGGTGCCGGCTGTCGTGTGGGCCTGTGCTTGCACCATGTTCCCCCATTCCCCTACCATTGCAAAGCAATGGTAAATGAAACGTCAATTATTTCCTATATCCCAGTCCTTACCCAGAGTGGAGAAACAAAAGATAGACTGAGAAAGACATGCCTTTCTAGAAAAACAGGGTAGAGGTGGCACCCCCTTCTCCCAGGGGATATTTGGCAATGTCTGGAGACCTTTTTGGTTGTCATAACTAGGGAGGGTGCTACTGGCATCTTAGAGGGTAGAGGCCAGGGAGAACAGAAACATTAGGTTCCATCCTGATGGGGCAAGGATGACAATAATGATAAAAACTCTGATGTGGGTGTGGTGGCCTCCATGGCTCCACGTGCCCCAGCTTGTGCTCTGATGACCCTCATAAGCCCCCTGTGAGGGTGCTTATTTCCCCAACTTAGGCCTGGTGATGCTAGGCCTCACAGCCTGTAAATGTCAGAGCAAGGCCCAAAGCAAAGAAGTGGCAGTCTGTTCTGGGCTTGGGTCCTTGGCTCTGCCTTGGGCTTTGTGAACCAACCTGCAACCTCCCTGTTATCCAGCATGTACTTCTCTTAGCTCGAGTCTGATGCTATCAGCAACCACAGAACGCAGACTGATCATCTATCCACTGCTCTATGCTTCCCCCACAGTGGATAGAACTCGCTGGAAGGGGCATGCAACTGCTGCCTAAAAAACCCATGGGAACTGGCAGATAATAAGAGGTCTGGGGAAGCAAGAAGCGTAGTCTGAAGAGGGAACAAAAATTAAATCCAAGAGATGGGCACAAGTTAGTACTTGCAGGAAAGTCAATATCCACACCCAGGGCAGAGCAATTTAGAATCAGAGAGTCAAGGAGGGACAGAAAAATAAAAAATTCATTACTGTTCGTTCATCCATCCACCCATCCATCCTTTCAGCACATATTTATAAAGGAGGATTCAGGACATGAGCAAGGTTTATAGCCCCTGTCCTTGTGGAATCAAAACCACACTTGGAGGCTTCCAGCTGTTTGATTTCAAGCAAGTTACTTCCTTTTCTGAGTTTCCTGATCAGTAAAAGGATGGGGGAACAATTCCGTCTTACAGGAAGTGATGTGAAGATTAAATATAATCTTCTTAGCATGGGCCTGACTCAGACTCTCAATAATGTCTCCTTCGTTCCATCTCTCCCTCCACAGGTATCATTCAGGTAATCACACAGAATTCCTGAAGCTCCCTGAGGCAGAGACAGCTTCTGGGGTCACTTTTCAGCTAAAAAGACCCTCTCATCTTTCAGAGAGCCAATTCTCCTTATGAGGTTGGAGTACGTTTTGTGGACCACGCTATACAGGATGCAGAAGGACCCTCCAATCAGCAGCAAGCATCCGTGTCATGTGTGAGCACGTGAGTTCCCATGACAGTCCTGGTCCCTCTTATAAATTTCCATTTGGATCTGTAACCCATTGGGGGCATCAAGCAGAAGCATATTCACAGCTGCTTGCAGGGCTGGGGGTAGAAGTGGGTATGGGGAACCCCTCTTATTCAGAGTATAATCAGGCACTTATTAGGAACTGGGGTACACACAGTAATGAACTGTTATTTCATGCTCCCACTGCTAAAACCCCTGTGGCCCTCCAACAGATGGTCTTTAAGAAGGAGTTTGGTGCCTGCAGATGTGAGTATCTGGATGTGTGTGCCTACTCACCAAGCTTGTACCACATATCACGGATGGAGAAGCCAATTAGCCGTCTCATGTCCCCATACCTAGGAGGAACAAAAACCTCTGCTTCAGGCACCATCTCAGAGGATCTCATGGACCTCCCCCTCTTCAGGAAATCCAAAAATGCAACCTACTTATTCAGGATTTTGTTGTATTTGGCGTGTGAGAACTGCTCCAGCTGCAGAGAATCCTGGGTGATAAAAGCCACTGCCAGATGAAAATAGTTGTTCCACAGCTGTAAATGAAAGAGCAGAGAACAGTTATGGAGAGGGTCTGAAGCGGGAAGGCATAAGCGCTGGGTAGTGTGAATAATTTATGAAGATGGCAGAAGACAGAGGCCGAACCAGTTTAATTGTGCCCACTGCAATTTTCTAACTGGCACTGACTCTGAAATTAACATCCTGGCCAAAGTGAGGACAATGGATGGATTTCTCTAGGCGCTACCACGTCCACTCTCAGACAACAGGATTTGGGAGAGGAGGAGAATTTTAGGTTTTTTTTTTTTTGTTGTTGTTGTTGTTGTTGTTGTTGTTGTTTTTGTCCTTGTGCTTTGTTCTGTTTTTTGAAAGACAAATAATTTGCCCTAGCTGCGTGCTGTGGAGAGCTGGTTCTTGCCCTGGAATTAGAGGGTGACGAAGGGTAAGATAGTTCAGGGATTCACTGCCTCTCTGGAAGTCCTCCCTAATTCACCTGACAGCTTGGAGGACCAAACTGCAATCCATTCTGTCTTAAAATATTTTGCCTTTACTTTCCCCTTAGTTGAATAGTTTCAAAGTGTGGTTGCCAGATCAGCAGCAGCACCTGGGAACTTGCTAGAGATACAAATTCTCTGGCCGCTGCCTAGACCTACTGAATCAGAACCTCTGGGGGTGGGACCTAGAAATCTGCAGGTTAATAAGCAGTCAGGTGATTCTGATGCATGTTTCAGTTACAGCCCCTGCTGGCCCAGCTGAGATGCAGGCTTGTAAGGATTTTTGCATGTACCTGATCTGTTGGTGCTAACCCACTCCACCAGCCTGCAGTGAAATAGAGCAGGTAAAGGGGTCAGCACATGGTGACTGCTCAAAAGATTAGCCACACTGATGGCAATATTGATACAGGATACAGAACCAGAGATATTATAGGTCCAAACCATGGATCTACAATCCATGGATTCATCACGGAGCCTCGGTAAACCTGTCTGCAAAACTGAGGTGACTCTGGTACCCACTGCAGAAAGCTGTGATAAAGATGACACAAAATGATGTGTTTAAAGACATGAATCACAGTAAGAGCTCAAAAATCCTTGCTAGCCTTATTGCTGTTGTGCTTTTCCTTATTCCAGTGGTTTCTTTGGTACGAAAGCCAGTGATACAGCCTAGGGTTTTGGTGCTCAAGGGCAATTATTGCAAGATGCCAAGGTCCTGCAAGGAGCATGTGGGAGACAGTTTTGCTGAACAAAGCCCACCCACTTTAGGCCCCTCTCAACAGTGTATGTAGCAAGAGGATAGGCAACATTAGCCAGAGAAATCATACTGCCATTGAAACCTTCCTCCTTAACTCAAAGACGTTCATTCGTGTTTGCAGATGGCCAAGACTATGAAAGAGGCAACTCTTCCACTGATAACATAACATCATCATTGCTGCCCAGAGTATGACTTTCAAATCGGTTTGCGGTTCCAGTCTTTGAAAGAAGCAAAACAAGCAATCTAATTTTACTATAGGCCAGGAACTTTCTCATACATCTTCCTTTCATCTCTCAACACTTGACAGCTCTTATTCCTCTATTATAGATGAGGAGACTGAAGCTTGGAGAGGTTGAGTATTTTGCGTAAGTCTCTCATCTTGATGTATACACAGCAGAGCTAAGATCTGCACGCAGACCTTCTGATTGACATTCGGGGTTCTTTTAACACACCACGGTCAGTATTCAGCTGGGGATGCATTTAACAAATATTTCTGGAACATCTGCTAGGTGCCCTGGCATTGCCACAGTGTGGTGACAGAGCAGTGGTTACACAGACAGCGATCCCTGGCCTCACGCAGTTTACATTTTGTTGAGTGAATGCTTTTTTCTTTACTTGGACCTTTATCACCCAGGGCCCAAAAAAACAAACTGCTCTAGGGATTCAGTGAAGTGGCCTCTTGGCTCATGGCCCCCTTAAAGTCAGCTCTCCATGCAGAGACCAGAAGAACCTTTTAAAACACATCAGATCATTCGAGACCAGCCTGACCTACATGGTAAAACCCCATCTCTACTAAAAATACAAAAATTAGCCGGGCATGGTGGCACACACCTGTAATCCCAGCTACTCAGGAGACTGAGGCAGGAGAATCACTTGAACCCAGGAGGCGGAGGCTGCAGTGAGCTGAGATCACGCCACTGCACTCCAGCCTGGGAGACAGAATGAGACTCCATCTCAAAACAAAAACAAAAACACATCAGATCATGCCACTCCCTTCCTCAAAGTCCTCCAAAGTTTCTTGTAACATTTGGAATCAAATCTCCTTGTTTCCGTAGCAACGTTGCTTATGTAAACACATGTGGCAGGTTGGGTCTCCTGTCCACATCCCCTCAGACTGCCTTTCCTCCCGGCATCCCAGTGACTTAGCAGTTTCTCCAGGGCTTTGCTTTGAAAATGTGCAGCTTTGGTCTGCTTATGTCCGGAGCTTACACCTTCTCACATTTAAGATGGGAATTTGAAACAACAAGCCAGGGCAAGAGAAAACTGTGGCCACAGGACATGGAAATGAGTGTTTCCATGAAAGTGAGAAATCTCTGATTTTAGGGGATAGCAAAAGAGTAATTAAGGTACATGGGAAATAGGTATCCAACAAAGCAAGTCAATTTACAATTACTTGTGAGAATAATTTCAGAAATGCCCCCTAACACATAAGACACATCAAATATGGTTGAGCCTCTTGCCAGTATCTATTCTACCCTGAATGAATCCATCAAAAAAGCATTTTCTCTGTCATCCCATTCCTGATTTTCTTTTTTTTAAAAAAAAATCTGAGATATAATTTATATACCATAAAATTCACTTTTTAAGTGTATGATTTAGTTTCTAGTATATTCACAAGGGGTTCAACCATTACCATTGTCTAATTTTGGAACATTTTCATCACGCCAAAAGAAACCCTCTACCCGTAAGAGTCAGTCCCTCTTCTCCCCACCAACACCTTCCCCTACCCTGTCCCTGGAACCTATACAAGCATGAGGCATCCACCACAGGCTTGGCACACACCGAGCACTCAGTAAATGCAGTGGTGGTGTTGATGGTAGCACTGGGTGTAGAGTATTTGTATGCCCTGTCTTCTCCAACTGTAAGCTCCACAAGTACCCAAATCCTGTCTTGCATTTCATTGTATCCCTAATGCCATGCTCAGCACAATGACTTGAATACAGCTGGGCTCCAGAAAATATTTGTTTATCAATTGCTATATTGTCACAGAAATTCTTCAAAAGGTCCCAGATTTTTCTGTCTGCCCTGCTACAAACTGCCTGGAAACTGTGAATACTAATGTACTGTCTGTCTCTGTGGATTTGCCTATTTTGACAGTTCATATAGGTGACATCATAAAATATGTGACCTTTCATGTATGATTTCTTATACTTAGTGTAATGCTTTCAAGGTTCACCCATGTTGTAGTATGGATCAGTACTTCATTTTTTTTTTTTTTTATTATACTTTAAGTTTTAGGGTACATGTGCACATTGTGCAGGTTAGTTACATATGTATACATATGCCATGCTGGTGCGCTGCACCCACTAACTCGTCATCTAGCATTAGGTATATCTCCCAATGCTATCCCTCCCCCCTCCCCCCACCCCACCACAGTCCCCAGAGTGTGATATTCCCTTTCCTGTGTCCATGTGATCTCATTTTTCAGTTCCCACCTATGAGTGAGAATATGCGGTGTTTGGTTTTTTGTTCTTGCGATAGTTTACTGAGAATGATGGTTTCCAATTTCATCCATGTCCCTACAAAGGACATGAACTCATCATTTTTTATGGCTGCATAGTATTCCATGGTGTATATGTGCCACATTTTCTTAATCCAGTCTATCATTGTTGGACATTTGGGTTGGTTCCAAGTCTTTGCTATTGTGAATAATGCCACAATAAACATACGTGTGCATGTGTCTTTATAGCAGCATGATTTATAGTCATTTGGGTATATACCCAGTAATGGGATGGCTGGGTCAAATGGTATTTCTAGTTCTAGATCCCTGAGGAATCGCCACACTGACTTCCATGAACAGACACTTCTCAAAAGAAGACATTTATGCAGCCAAAAAATACATGAAAAAATGCTCATCATCACTGGCCATCAGAGAAATGCAAATCAAAACCACTATGAGATATCATCTCACACCAGTTAGAACGGCAATCATTAAAAAGTCAGGAAACAACAGGTGCTGGAGAGGATGTGGAGAAATAGGAACACTCTTACACTGTTGGTGGGACTGTAAACTAGTTCAACCATTGTGGAAGTACTTCATTTTTTTATCATTGAATAATATTCTATCATATGGATATACTCATTTCGATTATCTATTCATCCACTGATGGTCATTTGGGTTGTTTCCAGTCTTTGACTATTATGAGTCATAGCATTGACGCTATGCTGCTATGAACATTTTTGTACAAATCTCTGTGTGGACATACGTTTCAATTCTCATGGAGTGGACCTGGTTTTGTTTTGGTTTTGGCTTCCATTCTGGAAGACCTTTATGAGCCATGAGGCTGTAGCTGTGCCTCATCTTCTTAGTGGATCAGAAATGGCACATCCAAGTACCTCACCCATAGCCCCTGCCCAGTTTTGGCCATGGGGCTCTGTGGGAATGACTTCTGGAACTCAGAGGAGGTTGTCACAGTATGTGGCTCTGTGTAGCGCTCTTAGAGGTGAGCAGTGGTCACAACTAGATATTGCTGAATACTTATAAGGCCTCTGCCCCAAGCCTTTCTTCACTCTTGTTCCCAAAGAATCAGATCCAAAT